>NC_000012.12:87460128-88085128 GCF_000001405.40 Homo sapiens
TTCTACCCTTGGCCCCTCCCAAATCTCATGTCCTCATATTTCAAAACACAACCATGCCTTTCCAACAGTCTCCCAAAGTCTTAACTCATTCCACCATTAACTCAAAAGTCATAGTTCAAAGTCTCATCTGAGACAAAGCAAGTTCCTTTTGGCTAGGAGCCTGTAAAATCAAAATCAAGTTGGCTACTTCCTAGGTACAAGGGGGGTATAACCACTTGGTAAATAAATACACCCATTCCACCACCCACTCCATGGGAGAGATCTAATTTACCTGCCCTTTCATCTCAAGAATAGTGGTGTAGGGTCAAAAGGAATGTCCCTTTCACCCTCTGAAGATTTGATAATTTGAGTCTATAAAATAAACAGAGAGTAGACAAATTAATACGGGAAAAACCCTTTTAATTATGTGCATACATACAAGATTCCCACAAAATACAAGACTCAAAAAAGGGTCAGATTAAAGTTCTTATAGCATCAGAATAGGAGCTTAGAGCTTCTGGTGTGAGAGGGTGACAAGCTATGGGAGAGTGAAGGGAGAAAATGCAAGGTGAACACATGTTGTTTTGTCATGCATATAAAGTCTCTCAGGTAATAAAAGTTGTCTCAAAGAGGAACTGTCAGAAGAATCTGGGTGGGAAATTACCCTTTAGTCAGTCACTTCTAGTCTCTCCTCTTGTGATATGGTTAATCTTCTCTACTTGGTTAGATTCCAGGGAAGCAGGATGGGAACAAATGAGGTTCTTTCAGATAAGGGGACTTCAAAGGAGGTCCCTGTCTGAATTTGCTCTTTCCTAAGTTCTCTGTTTGAAGTAATCAGCATGCCAAACAAGCATATTGTGGGGTGATATTTCCTAGACTCCTTCCACTGAACTACACTGATTGTAATATGTGTTATTTCTACTTTTAGAAAAAAAAAAAAAAACAGTAGGCTAGAATCTCAGTCCTGGCTGAGGACTCTGGAGGGCAACAGAAATGAGATTGCAAATTACTTTGAAAAGACACTAAAATTGAGCTACTGTTGCTTTAGAATTAGCTTTCACTCTCAGCATTGATCTTTTCATGAACAAGACAGGAGTTATATCAGATAGACACAGATGGCAAGGTGGTCAACTTAGACCATGTCCAATAGGACCAAACTAGCACAAAAGCAAAAAAAAAAAAAAAAAAAAAAAAAAAAAATTCTGAGATGCACTGCTGCTTTTATGAAGCTTGCAGAGGGAAATGCAACTGATTATCAATGTTGAGTGTCTATGAGGAGCCAATAAAACTGGTTATCAAAAGACTATGCAATATTTAAATATCTGCCAGGCCCAGAGAGAGCAAGGACAACTTGTGAATGTACAAATTCAAGACTATTCTTATCGCCCTTACTTCTATTTTCTCCCTAAGTCTCAACCAAAGAGATGCCAGAAGAATATATTAGTTGGTGTGTTGAGGGAGGAGCAGAAAAAAAGAGAGAATGACCATGCCATCTTATCCTTCTTGAATTGGCCTATCAATACTATTGTGATGGTTAATTTTATGTGTCAACTTGACTGGGCCAATGAATGTCCAGATATTTAGTCAAACATTATTCTAGGTATGTCCATGAGGGTGTTTGTGGATGAGATTAACATTTGAATTAGCAGACTAAGTACAGTAGATTGCCGTCCTTAACATGGTTGAGTTTCATCTAATCAATGGAAGATCTAAATAGAACACAAAGATTGAGTAATAGGGAGTTTCTCCTGCCTGACTGCCTTAAGCCAAAACATTAGTTTTTTTTTTTTCCTATCTTTGAACACTTCTTTGAACTGAAACAAATTCCTCTCTTAGATATCAAGGCTTTTAGACTGGAGTTACACCACTGGCTCTCCTGGACCTCCAGCTTGCCAACTCACTCTGAAGATCTTGGGAACTCTCAAACTCTATACTCAATTGAATTGATTTTTTTATAATAAATATGACTAACACAACTGTAGAGGAGATTTGTTGTTGAGTGTAAGATTTGTACTATTATTGGGATTGTTAATTGTGATTCCTGATTTGAGCTGGTATTGGTGTAACCGAGCCTATGTTATAAAAATCATAAGGTGTTTGTTTTACTTATTTTCCTTCTCATCATTTTCATCCTCTGGGCATGATAGCTTGCACTTAGTCATTTTAGTAGAGGGTAGTCACTACTAATTGATCAACATTACACCCTGACTCCCAGGGGGTGCCCACAATATTAGTGAGTTTGTTTTTCTTTCAAATAATAATGATACTTAGGTCATGTAAACTTCTTTGATAACATCCTGATGTTCAATTGGCAAAGTAACAAAAGAAGCTTTGATCACTGGGATCCCACCTCTTGCATACCTACCTTACTCATAAAAGCTCTCAGTTATGTTGAAAGGCAGATTGGATCTGAGAATTTGCCTTTACCACTCTCACACTTGGGCCAAATGGAATAAACATTTATCTGCTCTTAAGCACTGATGTGTAAGTATTTGACTAACTGCACATCAGGTATTTGAACCTAGCTTTTGAAGTTCTACAGCTTTGGGACCTAAAATAACCACAGGTCTGTATAGGACATTCTAGTTCCTAACACTAAACTGAAAATTCATGGAACTGGATCTCATTTCCATTCAAGGCTAGAGAAGACCCTTAAAGGAATAGTACAGGACAAAACCAAAGTTGCCTTATAATTATATTTTATAGATTGAACTAACACTTACAAAGGGATTAATTTTAGTAATAGTGTTTCAGTGAAATTAATCTGAGTATGAGTAGAAATGAAAACTGAAGTAGGGTAAGTGTCAATGAAAGATGAGTAGAGCCAGTATAATTTTAAAAACATGAAGAAAGATACTACTAGCAGAAGTGAAATGAAAAGAAAAAGGTCAGAATCATTTAGTGGATAACCTGAAATCAAGATTTGGGAGGCAGTACAATTCCCATTAGTAATAAAGGCTAGCATGAAATGTTGGTAGGATAGCTGAGATTAAGTGGAAGAAATGATCATGTGAGTGAGGAGGCTGAGCAACTAAGAGACAAGGTTTCTGGGCTGACTACTGATATAGATGTTAATAAAGAATGATGGTGTCAGTGTTGTTGCAGAGGCAGAACTTGAGCCAGGTGTCAAAATCCTCAGTGAATGACAGAGAAGGAGCAGAATTAGGGAGATGATTACAACAAAGAAAGGTAGATGGTAATACAGTATGATCACTCACTTTTGAAAAGCTAATTCTAACTTTGGGTTCCATAATTTTTATTTCAGAAGTGATTTAATAAACCCTGCATTAGTTTTCTAGGACTGCTATATAATATACCACAGACTGCATTGTTAAAAATAACAGAAATGTATTCTCCCACACTATTGGAGGCTAGAAACCCAAAATCAAGGTGTTGTCAGGGCCATACTCACTCGAAAGCCTCCAAGGGAGGATACTTCCTTGTCTTGTCCAGCTTCCAGTAGCTCCACGTATTCCTTTACTTCTGGCAGTACAACTTCAATCTCTGCCTCCATCCTAACATGGACATCTTTATAGGCCATTTTCCCTGTGTGGATCTGTCCAAATTTCCATCTTCTTATAAGGACAACAGTTTTATTGTATTATGGCCCATCCTGATCATCTGATCTTAACTAGATTTCATCTGTAAAAAAGCTATTTCCAAATAAGTTCACATTCACAAAGGTTAGGGCTTCAACATATTATTTTTGAGAAACACTGCTGTTGTCAGAATGTTTTTTTCCACTCAAAATTTATATGTTGAAATTCTAACCCCCAAGATGGTGATGTTAAGAGGTGGGACCTTTGGGAGGTGATTAGGTCATGAGGGTAGAGCCACCATTTACTTCCTTATAAAAGATGTTCAAGGGAGCCATTTGCCCTGGCCACCATGTGATGAAAGTGAGAAGGTGGCATCTATGAACCAGAAAGTGACCCTCACCAGACATGGAATCTGCCAGTATCTTGATCTTACAATCCCAGCCTCCAGAGCCATGAAAAATAAATTGTTTATTAGCTATCTAGTTTATGGTATTTTGCTATGGCAGCCCAAAATAACTAAGACAGACACAATTCAATCAATAACAAACCCCAAGCCTCATATACATTAGATTTTTTTAAGAAATTAGCATCCAAGATGAACCATAGGTAGATTGGATTAAGCATCAAGTACCCTAGATATAATGGCAGGAAATGTGTCTCTTTCATTTTTCAGATAATGTCATTAGGTAAGAGTAATAAGAGGGTATTTGTGTTCAATTTAGTTGTTATAGTTGCTGTTATTTGGGAGAATTCCTATTTCTTCAAGTCAGAATGCTATGAAAATCCATTTTTCCTTATGACAAAATGTGAATTATCTCTCAAGATATAGGAGATAATGTCTTAGAAAACCTCCTAGTTTCATATTTCATCCTCTTGTTATATAAATATACTAAATTTAATAAAGCAGTATTAAAAAAGGAAAAAATACAATAAAGAGGAGCCAGTGTTTGTCACTTAGGAAGAAAATTACGAACACAATAGCTTGGTAATGTCTTAGAAAATATTTGGATGTTACAATTTAATAAAAGAACTATAAATATCAGTTTGAACTGTAAGTGCCCCATACAATATTATTTCTCAAGAACAATGAAACCTAATCTGTCTTCATTTTCATCATACCAAGTATGCTATTGCATACTACTGCTTATATAGTTGGCACAACAGTTGCTTGATTTTTTCAGTAGCAGCATGTTCTGCAACAGCAATAGCATGGTTGAGTTTTAAATATGGAACAAGTGCAGAATCCAATTTATTAGCATATAATTAAAAATAAACATGTGCCCATAAGATCTAACTCATGCTAGTACTAGATAAGTAGGGTTCAAACTCTGCATCCTATTTATAAATATAATTTGAACTTAGAAAGCTTAAAATTGCCCTATTTTCTGGCTTCAGGTGATATGGTCCATGATTTGACACTCTGTCATTCTGTACTGACATTTAGACCACTGGATTTAAATACACAGAATGACAAAGGCATTTTTGCCTTGTTCTTTCAATTTGAGATAGGATCATTCTGCTGAACAAGTTAAAGCCTTTCATCTACTCGTATTATAGAAAAAAGCTTGATGGCTTAATGGATAAAAGTTCTGACCTTTTCAAGTCTACATTTTAAGCACTAACTTCTAGTGAAAAGTAATCCACGTTTCAAACAGTTCTCGTCAGTCAACTTGGTTAGAGAAACCCCAAGGAATAGTTTGGACCTATTTTTCCACATCTTCACTGTGCATATTTACTCCCAAGAATGAAAAGGAACAACCAACATAATAAATGTAGACTTTTGTTAAGCAGGAAGACTTCACTGAATAAAGGAAATTGTTTTTCACCAGCGCATAGTCATTATTTTCATCTATGCAAAATAACTTGCAACGCTATTTCATCCTGGGGCAAACTCACAGCTGGAGTTGTCTCAAAAGCAGTGACAACAGAGTTCCCATAAGGGAATGCCCCAAACTGTGCAGAGATGGGGCTGACTGGGATTTCAGATAACAAAGCATTTAAACCCTAAGGTGATCAGTCCAAAGCATTTATTAGGGGAACTTAGTGAAGGGGCAGAAATAATCCTTAGGATGGACAACAAGAGAAAGAGATGATGTGCAAGAGGGGTTTGGGGTATGGGGTTTATATGAGGGTTTAAGGAATTTTGCTCAGAGCCAGGACTACTTTCTTTTACTGTTATGAGCAACAACATAAATGTCTATCAGTGCCTAAGAATGTTCAAGGCCCATGCTTGGGTGCAAGCCTGTAGTAAAAAATATGTGGCTGGCTGTGTCACAGAAAAGTAAAGGCATTCTGTATTTCTCAGTTAGGACAGAGAAAAAAGCAAAGGAAACTGGGAGATCCTACAAGCCCAGTTTCAATAATAAGATAAATTTTAAAGTTGCTTACATATATTTCTTAGGTTTTTTATTTTTTTAGTTGTGATGATATATCAACCTTCAAGCAAATAAATGATTTAAACCAAAACTTTCAAGCAAAAATTCCACTTTGGTCTCTTCCTATGGCTAATTCTCTTATACGAAAATTCCCAAAACCCTAAAATAAAAATCTATATGTTGGAGTCAAGCTCAAGCTTCTCAAACATCTCATTTCTTAGTCTTAGCAACTGCACCTGGACAACACACAGAATGCTGAACTTACTTATTGCCTCTAAACCAAATCTTACTACCTTTTTTCTGAAATGTCTTTGCTTTCTATTTTTCATCCATGTTTGCCCAGAAATGCAAGAAGCTTCATCTTAATTTTCACTTTATCCCCTTATATACACATTTAACAAGGGACTAAAGTCTTTCTGTTTTTTAATTCTTAACATACTTTACAGTCAACCATATCTCTCCATTCCCACTGCCATTGGTTTTGTTGTATCCCTTAGGTCCCATAAATCTCTTTCCTCTTGTTTCCATCTTTCAGATCTTACAAGTCAAGCCAGACCAACCAATTTTTAATTTCTGATCCCAAAGTATTTAACTGTTTCTTTCCTTGCCTAGAAACTCTTTTAGTGTTTGTGGCAAATATTCTAGACTCAGATAAAATAAATGATACCCTTTCTGATGTTTCCCCTCTTTTTCACAAATAAAGTTAATAAATACATATAGAGAAAATATTTTAAAATGCTTAAAATTAATGTACTTGTATTAACCTCTTTCATAACAGAAATGGAAGAACCTATGATTCAGAGTTGAGAGCAAATCAATTCCATGACTTCACCGGAGTGTCACAGGTTGGGTTGGATTTACCAATGGAAGACTTAGTTGAGACTGTGGAAGTTTAACAAGAAATATTTTCAACAACAATTAGATATTGAGCAATAATTAGGTACAATTTAGTTGCTTCCTTTGGATTATTTGCCTAAAGGATGGAGTAAATAGACCTCGAATAAATTTTTTAAATGCCAAATGTGGAAACGTAACTCTTCACTTGTCATTTCACAAGGATATTGAAGCTCATTTTTTTTTATCAACCCCTCTGTTTTCAAACTGGAGATACTATTTTTTTTTCTGATAGACAAAAGAAATTGACTTTAGCTTAAATTTTTGTAAGCCACAAAATCTAGAGCTTGATATTTATGTTTCTCTCACTAGTTTTTAAAACACAATAAGAATGTAAAAACCAAAACCTTTCATTCGCTTTTTGACATCTAGCATTGTACAGCTCTAATAAAATTTAATAATATTTTTCAATACATGTCATTTCCTATGAATTTCTGAAGTATTCTGTTTTCTATGTGATGTGTTGAATGAAGATTTAATTTCCTCTGCAGGCATATTATTCTTAGTGTAACAAAGGACAGCTTTAATTTTGTCTTTTCATAAGAATTTCTCAAAATGTATTCACATTCTAATTGATTGGATAGAAACTTAATAGTTGGTAAATTACAACATTTCTAGGATAATATATAATTGAGAGAAACCAATATAATTCAACAAATATTTATTGAATGCTCTTTGTAAATTCTGAGATTTCAAGCAACTTGAGAGAGACAAATAATGCACATAAGTAACTGACTCAGGAGCATATGAAGTTTTTCTCTTTGATATTTTTTAAATAACTTGCGCATACTGTGAGAAGTGTCATCATATAGGCCTAGAATTAAATATAGTATGTACTGAGAATTTCTGTCAGGCACTTAGCTAAATATTTTATGTGTTATTTTAATTATTATATTACATAAAAAAAAGGATTCATGACTTTTCACAAGAACGTAGGTTTTGACCAATAGGAGTTTTATTCCTTGGCACAAGTAAGGACAGTAAGAGTCATCTCCAAAGCAGTGTCTCCCCAAAGGAAAGTGATGGGAGAGTTTTATGGGATGATGGAGAGGGGAGAGGCTGCATCACTGCATATAGAAGATGGGTCCCAATTGTGCAGACACAGTGAGTCATTATGCCAGCACATAGGTCATATGTTATGGTAATGAAGCTATAGCTCCTCCCATGGTGGAGGTGTTAGCATGATAATGAGGAAAGTTCACTTGGGTTCATCTGTAAGTTGCAGGGGGTCTGTCAGAAGCTAGTTCCAACCAACAAGATGACTACATTCCACACTGTTTGGGGAAAGATCAGGATGGATGTATGGCAGGAGGTTGTAAAACAGACTGATTGCTCAAGTTGACTAAATTTCTATAATCCCTGTAGACCCTCCCTGTCTGCTTATACTTTCAGAAGCTGTGATTACTCACTTTATAAATCAAGAATTTGAGGCATAAGAAGGATGACTAATTAAAGTCATATTGCTGAATTTTAATTCAGGCTTCTTTGATTTTAAATCCATATTTAACATTGAAATATAAATAGAAATGTACATATTTTGTGGGTCAGGACTGTCTTAATAAAGGACAATATAAGCCATAAATAATAATAAAGTGTTTTTCAATTAAATTTGGAATGGGAAGAGAAGTTGGTAGGCAAGGATGAGTAAAGAGGAGAGAGGATATTCTAGGCAAAACATTTGATATTTGTTGATAGCTGAGGTTTCCAATAGAATACTTTTGAAAGAGAGGAAAACATAATTTTCTCTCTCCTCTTTTAAGTTCTCACTGGGGCCACTGTAACAAAAGACAGATTAACAAGAGAAAAATAGAAGTTTGTTAGCATGTATATCTCATATACATGGAAAATACACAGAAAAATAATTCTTAAAGAGGTGGTTTAGATTCTGGCCAGAATATCATTCCAGCTAAAAACAAAAAAGAAGAGTATGCCAGAGGCAAGTTATGGGGGTGATCAGGAAAAAACATGATGTTTTATGCAGATTTAAGTGGTTTCCTTCTTTATTGATGAGTCTTTTGTGAGTAGAGTCATTCTTCTATTCCTAGTATAGAGAGGGAGACAGTCTTATGAATGGAGATTTTCTTTATAAATTTCTGTTACAAAGGGTAACTTCTTTCTTCAGAGCTTCTGTCATATCTGCTCTTCCTCAAAATAATTAGTTCAAAATAATCCTTCGGCCAAAGAAGCATATTTTGTGGTCACATATTCTGGTCTCCTACATTTTGAACAGAATACATATGGAAACATGGGAAGTCAAGCAGAAGACAAACCACGTGGGCCTCTATACCATGCTGTGGAGTGTAAACTGTATCTTTCCATGACCAGCAAGTCTTAGCAAATTTACCAAGTTAAGTGATTGAATTTAAATTTTACAAAGACAACTTTGACAACAATGTGAAACAATGTAAACAATGTAATGATGAGAAGGGGACAAGAATAGATCTTAAAAATTTTGAAAATCCTCTATTGTAAACCAAACTAAAATTCTAAGTCCCCCAACTGAATGAATGGATGCTTCTCTCTGCCAAGAGCATTCCAGAGTAAATATGAAAAATTAGTTCAGGCCATGATGGGAGGTAGGGATCAGACATGACTCATTGCATCCTCCTCCCTTTGGAAATCAGGCACAACTGAGTAGCATTAATATCAGTACAGAGATCATAAGACTGACAAAACAGACTGTAGCAATAAAATACCAAATTTCAACCTACCTCTAGTACAGCATCACATGGCAGATAGCAGGCCCTGAAAGAAATCAAAGTATTTTACCCCCAAATATATTCCTTTGACATATTTTGAAATGGCCCTGAAAAGCTGTTTCTAATGGAGAAAATTTACATTCTATATAGAATCCCCTCCCTTTCAGAAGTATTTTCCTAATCCAAGAGAGATTTAACTTAGAGTCTAGTACCTTTTAAGGCCTGATAAGAGACATTTACCATCTGTTCTATATAGTAAAAACCTTGGTCTCCACAACCCCTTACCTTAACCCAGACACTACTTTCTAATGATTCTTTGTCTTTGGATAATGACTTAACAATTTCAAACAATTGCCAATCAGAAAATCTTTGAATCCACCTTTGACTTGTAAGACCCTACTTTGAGTTGTCCCACCTTTATGAACTGAACCAATGCATGCTTTACATCTATTGACTGGTGTCTTATGTCTCTCTAGAATGTAAAAAATCAAGCTGTAATTCAATCAGCTTAAGCACATGTTCTCAAGACCTCCTGGGGCTGTGTTACAAGCCTTGATCACTCATATTTGGCTCAGTAGAAATCTCTTTAAATATTTTACGGAGCTTGACTCTTTTCATCGACACTGCTGGGGCTCAGGAAACAATACCGCAAAATGAAGGCCTTAGCAGCAGCATCAGAAGCAAGATTTTTCCTTGCCTTCTCCTGCCCTCTTGTCTTTCAGTTCCATTTTCCCTTTAGGCTAGGCGTAGAAACTAGAATCCCTCTTCCCCAAGGCAGGTCATAAAAATGAGCATCTCTCTTCTCCAAAGCCAGCCATAAGACCTAAAATTATTACTCTAATTTTCCTCTGGCCAATCTATATAAAAACTGGCCACAAAGAAATTATCAGATCTACCTTGCTTGACTGTAAGTCATGAGACTCCTATTCTAGAGAGGGCCCTGCCTTTCACCCACAAAGAAGGAATGCATGCTCAGAGAAGCCAAGAGGAAATTAGACAGTCTTTGTTAAGTTTCCTAACTCAAGTCTGTTATCATTAGAAAATACCCTTTTGTCCAATCATATTTCTACCTAGCTGTCTATACTGTGTTCAACCTAAACATAAAAATGGACAATTTCTCCTGTATCTTTGGGTCTTCATTCTGAAGGCTCCTGTGTACACAAGTTAAATAAATGTGTATACAAGTTAAATAAATATGTATACACGTTAAATAAATGTGTATGCCTTATCTTCTATTAATCAACCTCCCTCATGACAGTGACTTTTCCAGCAAGCCTTTAGGGGGATGAGGGCCCTGTCCCCTACATTTCATACATTACTCATTCAAAGGTATCTATACAATATTTAGCATCAGGCCTCATGATAGGAGTTGGGTTTAGAGGGTTAAACAGACAAGATCCTCGTTCTCATGTGGCTTAAGGTCTAGTAAGTGTAGATGAGCAGATATTATAATTAAAAAAACAAATTAAAATACAAAATATTATATATTATATAAACAAATTAAAATACAAAATATTACATATTATATTATATTATAATAAAAAAAAATACAAAAAAAACCCCACAATAAATAAGGATAACTTAAGTAGCAAAGGAAAAGCAAAGGAGTGAAAAAACATTTCTTGTTTTAGGTTGGTTAGACATCTTACTCTATACTTATTGTGTTTTGTAGGGGCCAAGGGAATACTTCCCTTTCATTCTCTGAAGGTTTGTTGAAAATTAACTGACAAATGACATATCAATAGGAAAAAGGCATACACATTTATTAATGTGGATGAGGGAGAACCACAGAGACTACCACAATCCTTCAATGGGATACAAAAGCTCATATATCATCTTGAGTTTACAAAAAGAATAGGGGCTCAAAGCATGGCCCAAACCAGGTTACAGTCAGTAAATGAGGTTACAATGGCAAAACAGGTTATCAAAGAGAGACAAGAGGAGGTCTGACTGCAAATTCCCCCTCACCCCCACAAAACACAGCTTTAGAGGGCTATTTCTGTTTGCAGAACTCAACAGCCATCTCAAAATATGTCAAAGAAGTATATTTGGGGTAAAATATTTTGACTTCCTTCCACTTCTTTACATAGGTACCTCTTTCTCCCATATTTATATATTTTTTCTGGTGTTTTCCTTTGTTCCTATGTTTTCCTTCTTCTTTAACACCCTTACTACCACTCTATCTCCCTTTTTAATGTAAAAATTTCCTAACTGGTGTTAAACAAAGTTTATCTTAAAGCTGCTTGCTTACATATTTTACGTTCAGCCTAATGGATTCTCCATGCTTAGTGACTGTAACCTAACTGGATGTGTAAACAGACTGTAACCTACTTTTGTACTAGTCACAGAGTTTTGGCCAATCACAGGTAGCCATCTATTCAAACCATGATCAAATATGAGAAATGCCAAGCTGTAACCAATGCAGATGTTTCCGTTCCACATTTGATGTTCTGTATGCTACCTTCCTTTTCCTGTCCATGAAGATTATCCCACCATGTGGCATCCCCAGAGTCACTCTGCACCTATTCTGGCTTGCAGGGCTGCAGATTCATGAATCATTCTTAATTGAATTCTGTTCACTTTGTCCAAAAGTTGTTTTGTTGTTGTTGTTGTTTTTAAACAGGTTTTTCTAATGTTTTGTTTCTTTGGGCACCTCAGTTGTAAATATGTTGGAAATCCTTGGCCTATCATACATTTCTAACACTTTCTGAGAGTCTCAATTTATTTTTTCTTATTTTCATTCTCTTTATTCTTTTCCTGTCTTTAATTCCTCTAGTTAAAATATTCTGTTAAATGTATTATCTCCTGAGTCCCTTGTGATTCAGTCTTTCTTAATAATGTGATTTTATTAGTTTCTTTCTTTCATGAGTATAATCAGCTTAGTTTTTGAATTTCTGATTCAATTGTTTTCATGTTTCTAAATGTTTGTGTTGGAGAATATTTAATTTAGTTTGAAGTGTTGAGTTACTTTTTTATTCTACTGAGTCTGTTTTGCGGGGATGTTTTTTGGAAGTGGTAGGGGAACATTTTTATATTTTGATTACCATTTTTAGCTTTTTGTAGAGCTGCTTTGTATAGATGCAGATTTCTTTCCTTTATTAATGTTCTTGATGAAGATGAGGGTTTTCATGGCTTCCAAGAATCCTATTACAAGAATATCTTTTTCTCCTAGTATGGTGACAAGGAATTTCAATAATAACTGAATTTTTTTTTTTTGACAGTTAAGAATGGTGCTGATGTGCCTTGCATTTTGGGGTTTTACAGTTTTGTTCTTCAGAATCCACACATTTCTTCCTTTTATCTTTCTTTTTCTTCATTTCACCTCCAGAAGTGTCTCATTCTTTCTATTTACCTCTTCCTTCCCCAGAACTGACACTGTCCTGAGACTGAAATCTCTGATCTCAATGCTTTCAAGTACTTTCTCTGTAGCCAGTGGGAGACTCCTTTGTTTTTACTTTTCACCTTTCTTCCTACATCTAGTGTTGAACCTGTTTTTCAATGAAAATTTTTTCAATTCTTTTTATGGTGATTTTATCTGTCATCTTCCTTCTCCAAGCCTTTCACTTTCCTCTCTTGTTTTCCACAGTTTCTTTAGATTCCAGTTGATATGGTTTGGCTCTGTGTCCCCACCCAAATCTCATCTTGTAGTTCCCATAATTCCCATGTGCTGTGGGAGGAATCTGATGGAAGATAATTGAGTCATGCGGGCAGTTTTCCTCATACTGTTCTCAAGATAGTGAATAAGTCTCATGAGATCTGATGGTTTTATAAGGGGTTTCCACTTTTGCTTCTCTCTCATTTTCTCTGGCTGCTGCCATGTTAAGAAGTGGCTTTTGCCTTCCACAATAATTTTGAGGCCTTCCCAACCATGTGGAACTGTAAGTCCATTAAACCTGTTTTTCTTCCCAGTCTTGGGTATGTCTTTATCAGCAGTGTGAAAATGAACTAATACAGTAAATTGGTACCAGTAGAGTGGGGTGCTACTGAAAATATACCTGAAAATGTGGAAGCAACTTTGGAACTGAGTAACAGGCAGAGCTTCGAACAGTTTGGAGGGCTCAGAAGAAGACAGGAAAATGTAGGAAAGTTTGGAACTTCCTAGAAACTTGTTGAATGACTTTGCCCAAAATGATGATAATGATATGGAGAATGAAATCTAGGCTTAGGTGGTCTCAGATGGAGATGAGGAACTTGCTGGGAACTGGAGCAAAGGTGACTCTTGCTATGTTTTAGCCAAGAGACTGGCAGCATTTTGCTCCTGCCCTAGAGATTTGTGGAACTTTGAACTTGAGAGAGATGATTTAGGGTATCTGGTGGAAGAAATTTCTAAGGAGCAAAGCATTCAAGAGGTGACTTGGGTGCTGTTAAAGGCATTCAATTTTATAAGGGAAGCAGAGCATAAAAGTTCAGAAAATTTGCAGCCTGACAATGTGATAGAAAAGAAAATCCCATTTTCTGAGGAGAAATTCAAGGTGGCTGCAGAAATTTGCATAAGTAATGAGGAGCTGAATGTTAATCCCCAAGACAGGGGGAAAATGTCTCCAGGGGACATCAGAGGTCTTCATGGCAGCCCCTCACATCACAGGCCTAGAGGCCTAGGAGAAAAAGTGGTTTTGTGGTCCCAGCCCAGGATTCCTGTGCTATGTGCAGCCCAGGGACTTGGTGCCCTGCATCTTAGCTGCTCCAGCCTAGGTTAAAAGGGGCCAAAGTAGAGCTTGGGCTGTGGCTTCAGAGGGTGCAAGCCCCAAGCCTTGGAAGCTTCCATGTGGTGTTGAGCATGCAAGTGCACTGAAGTCAAGAATTAGGATTGGGAACCTCTGCCTAGATTTCAGGTGTATGGAAATGCCTGGATGATCAGGCAGAAGTTTGCTGCAGAGGCAGGGCCCTCATGGAGAACCTCTGCTAGGGCAGTGGGGAAGGGAAATGTGGGGCCAGAGCTCCCATACAGAATCCCTACTGGGGTACCACTTAGTGTAGCTGTGAAAAGAGGGCCACCATCCTCCAGACCCCAGAATGATGGATCCACTGACAGCTTGCACCGTGCTCCAGGAAAAGCCACAGACACTCAACACTAACCCATAGAAGCAGCAGAGAGGGAGGCTGTACCCTGCAAAGTCACATACGCAAAGCTGCCCAAGACCATGGGAACCCACCTCGTGCACCAGCGTGACCTGGATGAAAGATATGGAGTCAAAGTAGATTATTTTGGAAATTTAAGATTTGACTGCCCTGCTGGATTTTGGACTTGCCTGGGTCCTGTGGCCCCTTTGATTTGTCCAATTTCTCCCATTTGGAATGGCTGTATTTACCCACTGCCTGTACCTGCATGGTATCTAGGAAATAACTAACTTGCTTTTTATTTTACATGCTCATAGGCAGAAGGGATTTGCCTTGTCTCAGATGAGACTTTGGACTATGGATTTTTGAATTAATGCTGAAATGAGTTAAGACTTTGGGGGACTGTTGGGAAGGCATGATTGGTCTTCAAATATGAGGACATGAGATTTGGGAGGGACCAGGAGCAGAATAATATGGTTTGGCTGTGTCCCCACCCAAATCTCACCTCATAGCTTCCATAATTCCCAAGTGTTGTGGGAGGAACCTGGTGGGAGATAATTGAATCATGGGGGCAATTTTCCCCATATTGTTCTCATGGTAGTGAATAAGTCTCATGAGATCTGATGGTTTTATAAGGGGTTTCTGCTTTTGCGTCTCTCTCATTCTCTCTTGCTACTGCCATGTAAGAAATGCCTTTTGCCTTCTGGCATGATTGTGAGGCCTCCCCAGCCACATGAAACTGTAAGTTCATTAAACCTATTTTTCTTCCCAGTCTTGGGTATGTCTTTATCAGCAGCATAAAAATGGACTAATACACCCCTCTAATCCTAAATACATGAGTTTGTGAAGGTGGCAATGAGGGTGAAAAACATCTGTTGGAATTTGGTTATTTTTTTTCTCTTCTTAGTGCAATTTTGAATTGTGTAGTAGTCTCTTTCTTAGTAGTGATGAAACTAGTTTTTTATTATTTTAATTTTTGTTGTGCTCATTTTTTGGCATGTGTAAACTTTTGGAGGATGTGTAAAGTTTAGGATGATACTATTTTTATAAAGCAAATTGGAATATGTACAATTCAAGTTTTTTACCCTTTAATTAAATTTTAAAAAGATATATCTTCCACTTGTTTAGTTTGCATTAAAATTTGGATGTTGCAACTTTTTCTCTACTGCTTCAATTATTATATATGGCATATAGTTATGACTTTACTTATGCCTGTCTTTGTTTTTAACTTATTTATTTGTTGTCTTTATTGAAATAAAAATATATACAACAAAGTGCTCATATAAGTGTCCAGCGCTCTGGATTTTTCCAAAATGAACACCCCACAGTACAAGAAAATGAAGACCATTACCACTGTGCCAAAAGCCCCTTTGTTCTTATTTCAAGTCTCATACTCTTCCTAAAGAAAACTAGTCTCTTGACTTCTAATAGCTTATATTACTTTTGCCTGTTTTTCTCTAATTTTATGCACTACTTTTTCTAGTTACCTTATGTTACATTGTATTACATTAGTGAAATGAGTACACATTGTTTTATGTGGTTCATTTGTCATCCTGTATAGTATTCTATTTTGTGTAGATACAATTCATTTTTCCATTCAACAGTTGATGAGCAATGACAACTCATATTTACTTCATTATTGATGTCTGGACTTACTCCTTCCATTTCTTCTGTATCTGCTATGTATTATTCTCCTTTGTCATACATTTATACAATATTTTTAATTGATTTGGTTTTGTTTATTTTTCTTTGGTTTTTGAAAGTTACCCTTAACTCTTAAATGCACATCTTTCAAAACATATATTTGCATATTTGTCATAAATCAAACCAAAAGAGAATTCCTGTTTTTCCTTAGAACTGCCCCTACCCTTTTCTTCTCTGCCTCAGTTTAATATATCAAGTTGCTGAGACTAAAATAACTTGAAATCACATTCAATTTTTTTTATTCACCTCCCATATGCAAACCTGTATTTCTAGTACCCAAAATGGAGTTTGCCAAATATTAGCCACCTAATATACCTTTGCTGTGTAAATAAATATTTCTAACAAAATATTTAATGTTTTTTGTTAGAATCTAGAAGCAGGTTATACCTATAAACCCACAAACTAGGACACAGAAGGTATCATTTGCTCTTCTCCCTCCATCCAACATCAACTGCTGATTTGAGAACACCTAAGATTTTAGTTTCATGTAACTAAACACTCTTTTTTCCTTTCTTTCTTTCTTCCTCCATCCCTCCATCTCTGCTTCTTTCCTTCTTCCTCCTTCCTTCCTTTTTTTTCCTTTCTTCCCTTTATTCCTTCCCCTCCTTGCATTTTTTCCTTTCATTTTTTTCTTCATTCTTATAGGTGCATTTGTTCAATACTGTTTCTTATATTCTACAAATTTCTTTGCATTTTCTGTCTAGCATATACTCTCATCTTTCTGAATATATTAATTCTATTTCAAGCTTTCCTTAACTTTACCTGATTAACTGCATTTCTTCAATATTATTTCTCCTGTTTTATTTTTTATTATTTTTAAGCTTAGGTCTGTTTCATAATATTGGTTTTCTGTAAGTATTTGGAGATGATAATGCGTTTCTTTACAAGAAATTTTTGTTCAACTATTTGCTTGTGTCATTTCTATTTAGTGTGCCTGTCTCGAATGACTGAGCTTCTAGCCCCTGTGTGTCATTAGTTCATGTTCCGGATGGGAAAGGAGCAATATCAGCATCACCCTCAGGCTACTGTCACATTTTATATCACACATATTGCTCTCTTTTTCTAATGCAATTTTTCAACCAATCACCTAAATGCTGGTTCCTGCCTGCTTCTAGTGTCTATTCCTTTTATTTTTAGTCACAGTGAAATCACTCTAAATTATGGGTGGTAATTCCTCTCCTATAACCTTCTCCTTCATCTGTTAATCTATCATGGAAGGTTTTCCCTAAATTTTTCAAACCAATGTCACTTTTTATTTGCAAAGTTTTAATGAATTACTTTTTTCTCCTTTTGCTTTCATTTTTTTCTTCTCTTACTCATTATTCATTTTTATTATATTGCCTATCATTTCTAGTTATGTGGGAAACTAAGATAAATTAGTTCTTGTGCTTAGTTTGCCACTCTTATCTAATCTTTTTAACATCCTTTTTTGTTGTTAAGAACAAAAAAGCTTTTCTAGTGACTAAATTTCACATGCAAAAATCTTTGTTTGCAAAATAAATTACACTAAAAATTCTGTAACAAAATATTCCTAGGACCTTCATGGTTCATTCTCTAATAACTTGAAATAATGGCTTGATGCCCCATTGTATGCAGAATTTTTCATTCCTAAACAATTGATACTCTCTCCATTCATTTTTTAATATAGCATTCTACCTCTGGCAATTGTCAGTGTCACTCAAATCTTTCTTTCTTCTTTTCTCTAGTCTTGTTTCTCTGCCTCTCATTACCCAGTTTAAAACAAAACAAAACAAAAAACCCACAGCTCTCATCCATTGATTTCCTGAACAATACTCACACAAGACCATTTTGTGTAAAATACGATTACTCAAGATGTGAGGGTAATAGATAAGAGGATATTATGCTATATTAAGCACAGCTAAAAGCCTAACATTAACTATTACAACTCTGTATTTACAAATTATTTATCTCTTTGCAAAAGCTTTGCTTAGTTTCTGGCTACATCTGTGTGCCTTTCCCACTCCAAACCTCCACCCTCCCATTTTGCCTGACAACCTACTGTTGAGGACCCTTTCTTAAACTAACTACTAATTTTGTCATTTAAAAAATTCCTACTACAAGTCATTTTTGGACAAATGAAGTGAACTTTTATTACTGAAGCTAATATTTGAAGTGAGTAATCATTTCTGGTCTTTCATGGTGCTGGCAAAACTACATTTTCCATCTTGTTCTTTAAGATGTTTTAATTATAATAGGGTATCTAGTATAATATTACTTTTTTAAATGTGGTTTTCCCTTAGTTTCTGGCTCTAACCCTGCTTCTCTGGAGTGCTGTTGACCTGATATAAGGCATAGAAGTCAGCTACCCTAATTGAGAAGGTAGTTGTGAATAAGTAATTTGGGAATAAGAGAAAAATCAAAGGAAGAAACTGAGTCATCCTTCAAAAAGTAAACACCTAACCTTAAAGGAGAGGACAAAAACAAAGTCTCAAAAACTAGCAAGAGGTAGTCAGTCACAAAGCGGTAAAAATATTCCAGCAGAACTGAAAGTCAATCTCCTTTGAAAAGAAAAGTTTGCAAATGAAAGTTCAAAGATGCACAGAAGCTTGAGGCAAGTCTATTTTCAGAGGTTTCTAACTTTCATGCAAAGTCAAAGGGAGGAAAAATTTTATCTACATGAATACATTTATGTATAGATGTCCATAAACCACTAGGTATAAAGTATATTGATTCAAGAAGTCAGAAAGGGGTAAAAATAACAGAAACTCAAATCTTCCATATTCCTCTATCCATTTCTGCTAAGAGACCCTCATCAGGTATCTGTGTATTAATAAACAATGCCCGCATTTCCCATATTTCTCTAGAAATAGAAACTGATTACTAATGATATGAATGCTTATATGATCTGATAACTTTTTAAAGAATATAAATATTAGTGTATAACTGCAGTATTCAAAAAGTCAGAGAACATAGTTCACGTCTTTGGTGTGTAAATTCTTAGCCTGGGTCTCCCACTTAGATATGTATACTAATGCCAGAGAAATTATATATTATATCAAAATGTAGAGAGGCAGGATAAAACTAGAACATGAGTTCTTACTCCATTTACCCCAGGAAGGAAATGAAAATATGGAATTAGATGACATCGCCTCCTCAAGAAACAATAAAAATGGCTTGTTTTAAGAGAGGCGGCATTTTTTTATATGCCCTTCTGATCCATGATCATTTTCTGAGGACTCAAAGGAGAACAGAAACTGATACCTAGATATTTCTTCTAAAAGTAAAGTATCAGCAGCCTTAAAATACTTTTGAAACGCAGCTCTATGACAGAAATCATGCCATTAAATCATATAAAATAATACCTAAAGATGAATTACAGGAGGTGAGACATTTTCCCATGGTGTTACCATTTCAACATAAGATGCATCACATCCCCCCGGAGAGATGGGTTGGGGGAGGGCCTAGTACTATGTGTGGCTAGTAGCCTATGGAATACAGGGTTGAGGGGTAGGGAATCATTAGATTTCCATTTCCCATACAATCAGTGAGCCAGTTTCCACCACTGGCCATTGGGAATTCTCACTCATACACAGCATGGTGGCTGGTCTGTTTCTACTCATCAGCTTGGTCCTTCAGATACAGCACTTTGTTGTCTTCACACTTGGATGTCTCTGTCCAGTCCCTCCATTCATATACATATGGTCCAAATCAATCTTATGCTTCTTTTGTTGTTTTCGTTATTATTGTCATTTGGACTTTAGTGGGGTATTGGGATTTTTATGAACCATTGGGTAAATTTCAATAGTTAAAATTCATTCAAATATGTAAGTAAATACAAATTAATATCTTACTTTTAAATGGTTTTCAAGGCATTTTCCAAATTTAGAAACATCCTTAAGAATATCTAGTATTTTCAAGAAATATAAAATTGCCGAACTTTAGCAATTCTTCAGTTTTACTTTTCTCCTCTAAGAGTAGTTGATTCCAGGTAGCCTGATTAAAAAAAAAAAAAATCAGCTTCATCAATGCATGTGTGGTGCTTATGTAATTCCTCATTCAGCTTTATTCTTTTTGTTTTTAGAAACAAATCACATGAAAGGAAATATCTGGCTCCAGTCAGGCACCATTTCAGTTATAAAAGATAAGGAATTAAAATTTTACATCTCAGAATGAGCTCCTTGCCTTTTGGAATATTCTTTATGGCTCTCTCTTATAGCTGCAGCCATGCCACTTTTTCTCTTTTGTCTCCTGAACACTATTACTCAGAATCCATTGCCTGTTGTGGGTCTTGCATGCATTTTGGGCCGATAAAGGTTGTGGGGAAGAGGTAGCTTTTGTCTACTTTTACCGAAAATGGCATCGGGTTTCCGTTTTCCTTTACCTCTCTATCATTTACAATCATCAAACTGGAAGTTAGATTGATATAATTACTTGTTAAAATACCCCTTTTCTATAAGCTTGAAGTAAAAAGATTTTCACTTCGGGAATGGAGAGTTTTCATTTGGTGCTTTTCCTGAATATTTATTACAGAGATGCGTAAGAAACTGTAATTTCTGTCTGTTTTGTATGTGCCCTAATGCCCATCCAGGATTCCTCCCAAGCAGGTAATTAACCTTTTTAAAGAGAGAAAACTTGGGACTTAGAAACAAAGCACTCTACTTTCAACCAACCTCTGTAGGCAGAGGAATTGGGGGTTTCAACTGGGCTAAAATCTCCTATGATAGTCATTCTTTATTTATAAAAAAATTAATGTCTTGCCTACTATGTGTTGTGTTCTATTGCAGGTGACAAAGATAAAGCAGGAACTATTAAACTAAAAATCAATATTAACAATTCTGCCTTCAGGGATTTTACATGCTAGTGAGGAGACACAGACAATAAACAAGATAAATATATACTATGTTAATGATTATATATTACATTATATTATAATACATTTATATAAATATTTTATTTATATTATCTATTATAATACAATTTTTAAGTATTAAGAAAGAAAATAAAGTAGGGCAATGGGACAGATAGAGTTGGGGGAGGGTATTAAAGTTACAGAAAAAGGAGTTAAGAAAGACCTTACAGAGGAGATCTTTGAGGAAATACTTGGGGGAAGTGAGGAAAAGAACTATGTGGCTTCCTTCAAGTATTTCCTCAAAAGTCTCCCTATTAAGCCTCTCAGATACTTTATCTATAACCATAATTTCAGCAGACTCCTCCAGCTGTCTTTGTCTCTATGCCTTACTTCATTTTTTTCTTCAATATTTAAATATTCTTATTTGAAGAGAAAGTGCAGAGGCTCAGATGTGGGAGTGGTTGGGCATGTTCAGCTAACAGTAAGGAGGCTGAGTGGCTGCAGCAAAACACTCAGATGAAAGCTGTAGAAGAAAAATAAAAGGAATAGGCCGGGCACGGTGGCTCACACCTGCAATCTCAGCACTTTGGGAGGCCGAAGCAGGCGGATGACTTGAGGTCAGCAGTTTGAGAGCAGCCTGGCCAACATGGTAAAACCTCATCTCTACTAAAAATACAAAAATCAGCCGGTCGTTGTGGTGCATGCCTATAATCCCAGCTATTTGGGAGGCTGAGGCAGGACAATATCTTGAGCCCAGGAGGTGGAGGTTGTATTGCTGAGATGGTGCCACTGCACTTTAGCCTGGGCAACAAAGACAGACTGTCCTAAATAAATAAATAAATAAAAATAATCAGGGGAGTAGTGGATGGTATGATTGTGAGGGCCTGGTGGGCCATTATGAGAACATTGGCTTTCATTCTGAGTCAGATGCAAAGCCATTGAAGGGTTTTTGAGAAAAGAGACACAGGGTACAATGATTCAGACAAGAGATGATGATGGCAACACTGAAGGGGTGACAATTGGATGTAACCTGGGAATATTTGACAGCTACAGCAGTAGGCTTTACTGATTTAAAAAAAAAAAAAAGATGTGCAGTAAATAATGACTCCCAGGTATAAAGTCTCTAATAGATCTGAAATTGCAAAATCATCCCTTCCTGTATTCCATGACCTCTGAATTCAGAGAATTTGGAGTTCCTCTAAGGCCAAAATGGGAACAGATTCTGCTATGACCTCTGCAACAGATTTTTCATGAATGTTTATGGTTTTCATTTAACTTGTTCAGCCTCTCAGTAAGTTGTATATATTCAATTTGCTTTCTTCATGAAATTCCTTAAAAATGTCTGCTCCAGCCAGGTGTTTTGGTTCACACCTGTAATTCCAGTGCTTCAGGAGGCCACCTCCGGAGGATTGCTTGAGGCCAGGAATTCAAGACCAGCCTGGGCAATATAGTGAGACCCCAATCTCTACCAAAAAAAAAAAAATCAGCCAGGCATAGTGGCACATATCTGTAGTTTTAGCTATTCAGGAGGCTGAGGCAGGGGGATCACTTGAGCCCAGGAGTTTGAGACTGCAGTGAGCTTTGAACACACCATTGCACTTCAGCCTGGGCAACACAGAGAGAGCCTATTTCTAAAAAAAAAAGTCACTCCATTCATAACACTCTTTCCTGTTTTCAGTATAATTATTGCTATGGTTTGACTGTCTTTGCTACTTTTAATATTCATGATGAAATTTAATTCTGGATGCAAGGGTATTGGGAGGTGTGGCCTTTGGGAAGTGATGGAGTCATAAGGGCTCTGCTCTCGAGTGGGATTAGGTGCCCTTATAAAAGGGCTTGGTCAGGCACAGTGGCTCACACCTGTAATCCCAATACTTTGGGAGGCCAAAGAAGAAGGATCTCTGGAAGCCAGGTCAATACAAGCCTAGGCAATATAGTGAGACCCTGCCGCTAAAAATCATTTTAAAAAAAATAGCTGGGCATGGTGGTGCGTACCTGTAGTCTCAGCATCTTGGGAAGCTGAGGTTGCCTTGATCCTCAAGGCAGGAAGATCACTTGAGTCCAGGAGTTATAGGCTTCAGTAAGCTATGAACTCACCACTACATTCCAGCCTGAGTGACAGAGAGAGACTCTATCTCTAAACACATTTAAAATAAAATAAAAATAAATAAAAGAGCTTGATTGAGGCAGTTTGCCCCCTTATTTCTCTTCCACTGTTCTGCCATGTGAGGACATAGCTTTGGTCCTCACTGAGGGATGCAACCCTCACCAGACAACTGGACTTGCAGGTACTTTGATCTTGGAGTTCTCAGCCCCCAGAACTGTGAAAAATAATTTCTGTTTTTGATACACTATCCAGTCTCAGATATTTTGTTTAAATATCACAAAATGAACTGAGACAGTTATGGTTTCTTCTTCCTTTTTAAACTTAATTTTCTGTAATTTTAATAAGATTTAAAGGGAGACGAGAATAAATCAGGCAGAATTTGACAAAGAATATGCATCCTTGTGATTAGAAATGAGAGCTCTGGCACCAGATTTTCTGATTTTGAATGTAAATTCTTACCCACACTGCAGTTCAGTGGGACTGTGGTCAGGTCAGTCTCCGTGTGCCTCAGCTTCCTCGTGTATTAAATGTGAATGCTATCTACCTTATATATGAATATTAAAAAATTAGTCCTGTAAAACACTCAGAAAAGTTCCTGGGACTCAAAATCATTTAACAAGTACCACATAATTGTTATTGTTATTTAAGTTTATCTCTTTGCTCTGATTCTTTATAGTTTTGGTGGAAGTCTAAGAGTTCTTTTGAAATACACGCAGCCATATCTGCTGCGAAGCTGAACTTGAAAATATGTTTACTTTCCTCAAAGAAATAAATTATTCAAAACCTAGACACAAACATCACACAAAAAATGAAAAATAGAACATTTTTATCTCTGAACAGCAAAAAACCTTGAAGATTAAGGTCTGACAACATTTCCTGTATAATTAGAGTTCAGAAGAACACAACATATCTCTGTGCAGGTCTTCTTTATAAAGCAAAGTTTGACTTGAAAGTTATCATTTTAAAGCTTCACTCTTCCTCAGGTATTATCATTTAATAACATTTTACTTACAGCTATCCAGTGAGGAAAGCATCATTTATCTAGATGAAATATTCTTTATCCTCTACCAAAATGAGTGTCCTTGGTGATAGGTGAAGACTTTTGGTTTCCCTAAGGAAGTATTAATATGCATATGTAAAATCAGGTAGCTTTTTATTTAATTGCGTATTTTCCACTTTTCGTTTTTCTGATCTGCATGTTGCTTTCATTTTGTGTTTTAATTATCTCTCTCTCTTCCTCACCCCCTCCATCTGTAAATATTAGGAGTTTTCTTGCTTTGTTTACATTTTTATGTATGTCAGGATTTCTTAACAGATGCACTATTGATATTTTGGGTCAGGTAATTCTTGCTTGTGCTTGGTTGTGTGTTGTCTTGTGCATTTTACGGTGTTTGACATCATCCTTGGCCTCTACCCACTAGATTCCAGTATCACCCCTACCCTTCAAATTATGACAATCATAAATGTCTCCAAACATCAACATGTATTCCTCAGGGGACAAAATTATCCCCAGTTGAGAACCATTGATTCATATAATTTCTGTTTATCTTCTTATATATTTTATGATTTATGTGACTTTTGTCTCACATCACATCATGATGGCTTTGTGTTTTTTTCTGAACTTTAGTTCTCAGTTCACACAAGGCTTTGTGGTATACTGGGAAGAACATGGCACTAGCCTTCAGAAGATCTAGATTTTGGTTCCTGTACCTGACTCCAGAAATCTAAACTTAGACAACACACTCATTTAGTTGATTCCTGAGTTTCCTCAACCATAAAATGACTGAACTAGATGATGTTTAAGGCCTAAATAAAATTTAAAATGTTAAGATGACATTTAAATGGACACAAATGATTTCTAAGTATGTAATATTGCAATATATATATTTTAATCTTCTCTCTTTAATTTTACTGCAGCTCTAGTTTTCTGCATTTCTTTTCATTCTATTTCAACAATTTTACTTGTGATTTTATTACACTTTTAAACTATAAACATGGCTTCAACTATTACTTTTTTGGTAAATCTCTCTATTCTCATCTAATTTTTGTAATTTATTGTCAAAATGCAAAGTTCTCCTAACAAATTTACAAACTAGAAATGTGGGTATCACTCAGAGAGTTTAAGTTATTTTCTGTAGGTTAGGAAGAAACTAATTTATCAAATTGAAATAAGTTTAAAGACACAAATATAGATTATTCTTTTGTTACATCATTTTGCCTGTTAAAAAAGATGAGATAATAATGACTGTTTTGAAAACTTTGTATGTTTATACTTTGTATATATATACACATATATGTGTATATATGTATTTTTGATCCTATATGTATATATATGTATTCTAAGTTACTTCACTTAGAATAGTATATATATACACATATATACATATATACATATATACACATATATACATATATACATATATACACATATATACATATATACATACACATATATACATATATGCATATGTGTATACGTGTATACACATATGCATATGTGTATACGTGTATACACATATGCATATGTGTATACGTGTATACACATGCATATGTGTATACGTGTATACATATATACATATGTGTATACGTGTATACATATATACATATGTGTATACGTGTATACATATATACATATGTGTATACGTGTATACACATATGCATGTGTATACGTGTATACGTGTATACATATATACATACGTGTATACGTGTATACATATATACATACGTGTATACGTGTATACATATATACATACGTGTATACGTGTATACATATATACATACGTGTATACGTGTATACATATATACATACGTGTATACGTGTATACATATATACATACGTGTATACGTGTATACATATATACATACGTGTATACGTGTATACGTGTATACATATATACATACGTGTATACGTGTATACATATATGTATACATGCATACATATATGTATACATACACATATTTATATACACATATGTATATATACACATATATGTATATACGTATATATGTGTATATATGTATATATGTATGCATGTATACATATATGTATATGCACATATATGTATATATCTATACACGTATACATACATGTATATGCTCATATATGTATACATATGCGTATGTATACATATGTGTATGTATACCTATACGTGTATAGGTATACATACATGTATACATATGTGTATGTATACCTATACACGTGTATAGTATACCTATACACGTGTATAGGTATACATGTATGTATACCTATATACGTGTATAGGCATACATGTATGTATACAGGTATACATATGTATGCATGTATACATGTATACATGTATGTGTATATGTATACATGTATGTGTATATGTATACATGTATGTGTATATGTATACATGTATGTGTATATGTATAGATATGTATTTTTGATCCCCCAATTTTGATAAATTGATAATAAATTTTGATTTAAATTATATTTTGATAATAAATTATAAAAATTAGATGAGAATAGAGAGATTTACCAATATACCATATATATATATATATATATATATATATAATGGAATACTACACAACCATAAAAGGAATAAATAAATGGCATTCACAGCAACCTGGATGAAATTGGAGTGAATCATTCAGATAGATAGATAGATAGATAGACTACAATTCTTTATCCACTTGTTGAATGATGAGCCTCATTTGGGTTGGTTCCACATTTTTGCAATTGTGAATTTTATTGCTATAAACACGCATGTTCAAGTATCTTTTTCATATAATGACTTCTTTTCTTCTGGGTAGATACCCAGTAGTGGGATTGCTGGATCATATGGGGTAATTCTACTTTTAATTCTTTAAAGAATCTCCACTCTGTTTTCCATAGTGGTTGTATTAGTTTACATTCCCGCCAGCAGTGTAGAAGTGTTCCTTGTTCACCGCATCCACACCAACATCTATTTTTTTTTTAAATTTTTTGATTATGGTCATTTTTGCAGGAGTAAGGTGGTACCATATTGTTGTTTTGATTTTCATTTCCCTGATCACTAGTGATGTTGAGCATTTTTAAAATATGTTTGTTGGCCATTTGTATATCTTCTTTTGAGAATTGTCTATTCATATCCTTAGCCCACTTTTTGATGGGCTAAGGGATTATTTTTTTCTTTCCTTTGTCTTAACTTTAGAGAACCTGATGACAGTGTGCCTAGGTGATGATCTTTTTGTGATGAATCCCCAGGTGTTCTTTGAGCTTCCTGTATTTGGATGTCTAGGTGTCTAGCAAGGCTGGGGAAGTTTTCATCGATTATTCCCCCAAATATATTTCCCAAAGTTTTAGATTTCTTGTCTTCCTCAGGAATGCCAATTATTCTTAGGTTTGGTCATTTAACATACTCCCAGACTTCTTGGAGGCTTTGTTCATATTTTCTTATTCTTTTTTCCTTGTCTTTGTTGGACTGAGTTAGTTTAAAAACCTTGTCTTTGAGCTCTGATGTTCTTTCTTCTGCTTGAGTCTACTGCTGAGACTTTCCAGAGCATTTTGCATTTCTATAAGTGTGTCTATTGTTTCCTGAAATTTTGATTGTCTTTTATTTATGCTATTTCATTGAATATTTTTCTCTTCACTTCTTGTATCATTTTTTTTATTTCCTTACAATGGGCTTCACCTTTCTCTGGTGCCTCTCTGATTAGCTTAGTAACTAACCTTCTGAATTCTTTTTCAAGTAAATCAGGGATTTCTTCTTGGTTTGGATTCACTGCTGGTGAGCTAGTGTGATTTTTTTGGGGGGGTGTTAAGTAACCTTGTTTTTCCATATTACCAGAGTTGGTTTTCTGGTTCCTTCTCATTTGGGTAGGCTCTGCCAGAGGGAAGGTCTAGGGCTCAAGGCTGTTGTTCAGATTCTTTTGTCCCACAGGGTGTTTCCTTGATGTGGTACCTTCCCCGTTTTCCTAGGCATGTGGCTTCCTGAGAGCTGAGCTGTGGTGATTGTTATTTCTCTTCTGGGTCTAGCCACCCAGCAAGTCTACCAGGCTCTAGGCTGGTACTGGGGGTTGTCTGCAGAGTCCTGTGATGTGAACTATCTGAGGGTCTCTCAGCCTTGGATACCAGCACAGTATTTGGGGAGTCTCCTGGGTCCTGCAGGAGCAATCTGCTTCCTTCAGAGGGTCTGTGGGTTCTCTTGGATTTCCTACTGTATACCTGTAGTTGTTCTGGAGCAAAAGTTTACCATGCAAGCCTCCACACGCTGCTCTGTCCGTCTGAGTGGGAGCTGCAATCGACAAGCTTTAGAAAAAGAATTTGGCAGTTTTATTCGGAATGATTTGTTGGAGAATAGACTGAGCAGTAAGAACAGTGGTTGCATCTTTTTTTTTTCTATTCAGTTTATCCTACCCAATACATTTGTTTTGTCTTATAGTGTTTTCTATAATTGCCATGATTATATTCTACAAGTCCTTGAATTTTCCTCTTTGCATTCTCTTCAATATGGAAGATGTAAAGGCCAAATAATCACAATGATGTAGGGATTCTAAAGTAATTAACTTGATGTCATGATATCCCAGTATTCAGGCAATTTTTATTTCAAGCTTTTTTTCACATTCGACCTTTATTTCCTTATCTAAAACAATGAGCAAAACAAAAATAATAATAATTGCCTAATCGTAGAGATGTCTTATTTATCCAGTGCTATCACATATGAAAAAAGGAGAATAATATTGATTAGAAAAGGATATTATTTAGCTATGCCCTCACCCAAACCTCATTTTGAATTCCCACATGTTGTGGGAGGGACCCCATGGGAAGCAATTGAATCACGGGGGCAAGTCTTTCTTGTGGTGGTCTCGTGATAGTGAATAAGTCTCATGAGATCTGATGGTTTCAGAAACGGGATTATCCCTGCACAAGCTCTCTTCTCTTGTCTGCCTCTATGTGAGATATGCCTTTCACCTTCCGCCATGATTGTGAGGCCTTCCCAGCCACGTGGAACTGTAAATCTAATAAACCTCTTTTTTTTTTGTAAATTGCGCAGTCTCAGGTATGTCTTTATCAGTAGCATGAAAATGGACTAATACAGAAACAAAAGAGAGAATAAAAATGATCATTGATTAACCATAGAAGTTTCTTATTGATCCAATGCTACCGTATATAAAGAAACTAGAATAGTTATCTGTCAGAGTGCATACTCAATTTATGCTATTTTCTTTTCTGAACATAGGCCTTCAGAAACCATTCATCTCTCAGTATCTGGGAGCTTACTCTGTCTTTGAGAGGTTTTTGTATTTATGTAAACATCATTATAAAAGCAGAGTAAAATATAATTTATTTTCCAAAAACCTTCCCTGGGTGGCAAGAAAGAATATCATACCTGATTTCAGTACCAATCAAATACTGAAACTTTGATCAAAACTTCAGGGAAATATTCAAAATGGTAATGTGTTTTGAGGGAAATAAGTATTCATGGGGAATGCTGGATTGGACTACCATTCGAAGTATCAAACTCCTTTAGGGCACGAAACACCTGAAGAGTTTGTAATCGTAGCTCCAAACCACAGGTTACAAAATCACTCAGTTACTAAGGCATATGAAATTTAAAAGAAAAAAAAATTAACATATGTCCTATAAACAATAAAATCATTTTACAGTTTGGATAAGGAAATGTATAATTCTTTAAATAAGTTGCTACTTCATTTACCTGAGTTTAACATTAAGCAGAATCTCCTAAGTGAGACAATATATCTATAATAAAATGGGATGATTTTATTTAGCAAGGGTATTCTGCTCCCAGATTATCTCCCCCTCAAAGCTATGTACAAAAACAATTTTGTCTGTCCAATTTTGTCTTCTTCCAGGAGAGGAAGAAGGAGAAGGAAGATTATATTTTCATAATTTAGTTTCTTTACTTTCTTACCTCAGCCAAAATCACTCTCTAGATACAGACTTGTATAAATATCTCACTGTTTTTCTTTTTCTTAAGTACCATTATTCTGTCCCCTTTGTCTCTGGTTTACAGAGAAGTTAGGTAACTTCAGCCTACAATGTGACATAAGGAGTTTGGGAGAGTGTCACACTTTGTAATTTGACAAAAGATGTGCTAGAATTTCTCCACAAGTGGTTATCTTTTTGTTCGTTTCTGCTTTTCTTCTACCAATTTAACAAGACTTGTTGATGATAAGAATCTCACCAAGTAAAGTTCAAATAGCAATCTCATAGTATAAAGAGATTTCAACATAGAAGTCAAAGAAAAAAATAACTTAAAGCCATTAATTTTCAAAATATTAAATGAAAAATGCAGTAAGAACTTTGTACACCTGTACATGTAGTAAAGAAGGCTATTAAGCCACTATTTTTTCCTGAAATTACTACATTATAATATTTGTCTTGGAGTGTTGTTTTTTGACATTATTTTATAAAGTGAAATAAAGCAATGCAGGTTATATAAATAAGAAAATAAATTATTCTTATTATGAACGCTGAAGGCTTTTTGATTGAGGTAAATACATCTGATCAGTTTTGTATTGCAATTTCAGCTGATAGGCTTTTAGAGACAACACTGAAATTATTTTCTTGAAATATAGTTTAGAATTTGGTATAAAACAGTTGGGCTATTCTAAATAGCATATTATGCTAACATGCTTGACTAGTTTAAAGTTTAATTTTTGAAAAGAAATCAGATTCAAATTATGAAAGGTAAAAGGGATAGAAGAAATGTTTAAATATGAGGTGTTTTTCAACTATTTTCAGACAGTTTAGTTCTATTGCTCTATATTTTCCATAGTGATTCTATTCTGGAATAATTAAATTTGTTTTTCGCAATAAAATATTTTAATCAACTGACTTAAATTTGAACATAGAAAAATATTTGATGTTTCTAAAATTTAGATTTCAAATATGTTTTAAATTCAATCTAATTATATTTGGTAACAGTTTAAAGATTGAGTACTGTATTTATTAATATATAACTTATTCACAAATATGTATTGAGCAACTACTATCTGCCAAACATTGCTCTTGGCAGTGCTGCTATGGCAGTAAACAAACAGACATACCACACGTGCTTATGGATTATAGGATAACAGACAAATAACTACTTAAGTTGGGTTATGATAAGGTCAAGCAAGATAAATGGAGAGGAAAATGGGTGATAGAAAGTGATGGGGTGATGCTATTTTCAACCAATCTAGATGATCAGGTTAAGCCAGATAACTATCTAATCAGGTAATCCTTGAAGAGAAACTTGATGCACATGAGTAGTGAGCCGTATGGATATTGAGAGGTAAGTGTTGTAGGTTGGAAGGAAAAGCCAAGTATAAAGGCCCTGCATAATGTGTTGAAGAATACACAAGAGGCCGGTGTGCTTGTAGCACAATGATTGAGGAAAAATTTCATAGATGAGATTGAAAAGGTGGCTAGGGGCCAGATATATGGGACTATGTAAGAGTTTTGTCTTTTGTCCTGAGAAATATGAGAATCCTTTGGAAGGTCTGGGCAGATCTGACTCCATAGTACAGCGATCATTGTAACTGCTGGCTAGAGAATACCTGCTAGGGAGCCTAGGAAGGACAAAGCTAATGAAGACCAGGATCGAAGCTATTGCAACAAGCCAGCTGGAAAACAATGTTTGCATACTCTGTGATGAGAGTAGTGAAAGTGCAAAAAAGTGGCCAGAGATATGACAGAAGTTATCAGGGAAAGACTATAGAATTTGCTGATAGATAGGAGGAAGTTCTAAGGGAAAACAAGGAGTTTAACTATGACACTATAGTTTATGCTATGAGAAACAGGAAGAACAAAATTTCCAATCACTGAGTTGGGGAAGCTTGGAAGAGAAGCAGGAGACGGTAAAGTGGGAGTTGGTGGTTAAATTTTGGCCATTTCAGGTTGGAGATGCAGACATATAAATGGAGAGATGAGTACACATTTGAAGAACTCAAGGAAGCTATCTCAGATGGAAATGATATTTATAGGCATGAATTTCAGTCTTTGAACCTCAAATCATCAGCAGAATATCTTACCTACTATGATGCTGTCTTTATTTTAATATTTCATTTGTCATGGAATTTTTTCATTAATTTTGATTTTTAAAATAGTATCAAAGTAGTCTTCATCTTGTTCATTGAGTTTTTTGAAGCCCTTCTCCTTAAATTTTGTTCTTAAGGGGGAGTACCTAATCACATCCCTTCTTATTTACTCTCCTTGTTACAGACTTCTATATACCCTAGAGTTATTCTCCCCCAGTCTTTGAAGAGTTTAGCACCTAATCTTCTTTCTACATTAATCCTGTCAGAATTCTTAGAGATTTCTTTATCCTCATGAATGATTTATTCAATATCCTGGCATTGCAATGACTTGCATCAAGTATCTCAATGTTTCTTTATTCCAATGATCTTTTCCTCCCTCCTGCTTCAGCTGTGTTTCTATTATCATAATATAGAATAATACATATGGTATTTCCCTATTTTATACCATAGATTTGGTCACTTTTAACTACTATAATCTTTCCATAATTTTAAGCATAACTGTATACAATCTCCCATATTTTTAAAGCATTCTCTCTATTATCCTAATGGCTATAATTCTTTGATTCAATCAGGACTTAAAATATATTTGTTCTATCATCTTTTCACCATTCCACATGGCTCTCAATACCTATTTCCCTCTTTATCCAGCACAAAGTTATCAAACTTGCTGCTACCTCTGCCCAAAGAGATCTTATGTCTTTCATTTTCTAAAGTCTTTTTTCTAAAATGAATCTTATTGTGTGTATTTAAAGTATACAACATGATGTTATATGATATATATAGATATAGGTATACATATACACATATAGTAAAATGGTTACTAGAATGGAATAAATTAACATAGCCATTATTTCACATAGTTGGACATTTTTTGCTTCTGTGGCAAGAGCAACTATAATCTACTCATTTAGCAAAAGTTCTAAATATAATACACTATTATTAATTACAGTCCTCAGGTTGAACATTAGATCTTTCAACTTGTTCATACTACATATTTGCTACTTTGCATACTTTCACCTACATTTTCCCATTTACTCCCTTCATGTCAACCCTGATAATCACTATTTATTCTCTATGTGTGTATATTTGAACATTTTTTTCTAGATTTCCCTTATAAATGAGATCTTTGCTGACATATCAGCCTCTCCAAGAAAACTTCCCTTGCCACCTTCCTCATAGCATTTATAGCATTGCCTGTACAACTCCCAAATTTAATTTTTCATAGCACTTATCTTCATCTGACATTCTGTATGTTTTAGTTGTTTATTTGTTAATCTAATATCTCTCCTATACATACAGAAATTCAAGCAGGACAGGACTTTGTTGATTTGTAGTGTCAAGGCTCAGAAAAGCAACACCCCGAAGTATGTATCTTGGCATCCTGAGTAGTTTGAACTGAAAGTCAGGGAGAAAACCTCAGAAGCAAGGTTTCTCTGATTTTCTCTTGCCCTCCTCTCTCTCACCATTCTTTCTCCCCTGAAGCAAGTCATAGAAACTAGAACTCCTCTTCCCCAAAGCAAGTCATAAAATCTAGAAAGGTCACTCTTTTCTCCCTTGCAAACCCACATTCCAGAGAGGTTCTGCCCCATGCCTGGGAGGGAGGAATGCTACACAGAGAGGCCAAAAAAAGTCTGGACAGGCCTTTCTAGGTGTCCCCACTTCAGTCTGTTATCATTAGAACATATCCTTTTGTTCAATCACATTTCTACGTGACTATGTGTTCTTCATTGAGCCTAAGCATACAAATAGTTTTCAGTTGGTCTTTGAATCTTTATTTTTTAAGATTCCCATTTCACATAAAACTGTGATTGAATAAATTTGTTATGCTTTTCTCTTGTTCACCTGTCTTTTGTTAGACGAATGTTGGCTGTGACTCTTATGATGGTGAGAAAAGTTATGACATCATTCCATCCCTACAGTTTCTGGTGCCCATCGTGGACCAGCTGAACACTTGACTCACTCCAGAGCCTGCAGATGAGATCCTGGGACAACTGACAAAAAGCCACCAAAAGGTTAAGACATTTTTACAAAGGTCAGCTCTCCCATATGCCTGCCTATAATGTTCAGTTGAGAACCAAATGTAAACATTTCTCTTTAACCTCTGCCTTCCAAATTCAGGTTAGCAGAATAAAATTGTCTGTCTGGATTGTGAAAAAAAAAAAAAAAAAAAACAGCCAAGAAACTTGTTATGTTTTTCTCTTGTTAATTTGTCTTTTTAAATAGGCATGTCAGTTGTAACTCTTTTGATGGTGAAGAAAGGTAATATACCTTTATGCCCCTACAGTAGCAAAAGCCTGGCACAGAATATGTGCTTAATAAACATTTGTTGGAAATAATGAATAAGCAAGTGGTTGGATTTGCTCCTCCAAGAAGGAGAAGAAAGGAGTAAAGAATATAGGAGAGGAAATTGGAGGAGAGGAAGAGGAACAGGGTGTTAGGACAGGAGAGGTGCAGAGTCTAGGCAATGAATCTCTTCATTTGCTATGGGTCATGTAGATATGGACCATCGAAGGAGATGAAGAAGAAACATTTAATAGAGTAAGAGTAGAAGCAATTCTAGTAGAATCCTAAGAAGCAAAGGAAAAAGCATGTTTCAAAAAGAAACACTGGGTCACATGCTGTTGATGGGTCCCCCTATGTAATAAGCATGCAAAAGTTTGGAAGGGAGGAAGTATACAGAGTGATTAAGATAATTATTTGAATAGTCTTTCTGTGAAGAGGAAAAGAGAAAATGAGTCAAAAGCCAGAGGTGAATGAAAGGTTCAGGGAGGATTTTCAACTGTATTTGACTTTTACAATAAACTTACACATTGCTTCCATTGCTTAAACATATGACTAAAAATCATAACACCTTGAAAAAGCTTTCTTAAAAACTCAAATAATTTCCAATAAATTATCCCACTCCTCTTCACAGCAGGGGAGCATGGAAAATTAACACTTTAAAGGAGAAAGTTATGATATAACCATTTTGACCCTCTTGTCTAGCTTCTTATAATTTTTTAGTGATGATTTTGGAACTGAAACACTGTATAAACAAATTTTTCATTGCCTTACATAAAATACTCACTTGACTCTTTTTATCCTATAGAATTAAGTTCAGATGTTTTGGTATGATATACACAAAACTTTTCCAAATATATGATCCCAAACCAAAGCTTTGATTCAGTTGCTAGATTCTCCCTTATATCTATACTAAGCTTTTTAAAAAATTAAACACCTATATAAATGTCACATTTTCTACTGTCTTTGAATTCCCAGACATAGAATATTTGAAGACAACAAATAATTGCTTGGTATATTAACATATAAATTAAACTATGAATGAGTTTACTTATTGCTCTGTACCAGGTTCTTTCCCAGAATGGCTCTCACCCATTCTTTAGGACTTAAATATACTTCCTTTGTCAATTTCATACCTCACAACATTGCAGCAAAAGCTCTGTGTTACCACAAAGTGTTCTACCTGCTAGAGTGACAGGAGGGTAAATTGAGAGGAAGTGCTGCATGGGCTCAGTGGATATTTAAATTGCATGAAAAATTTTTAATGAGTTCCCACGGTGGTCTCTGGAATCATTCAGACTTTGCAAGTCCCAGCTCAGTCACTAAAAACAGTGATCTTGAGCTAATATGAAATCTGCCCTCATCTGTATAGAGGGAATTATGGTTCATGATTCATAATGGATTTTTCCAAGGACAAATGCGACATGCTAAATCCATATACAGTGCTATGAACACAGAAAGAGAGATGGTACATTCTGTTCATCTTTATGTTTCAGTGTCTACTGGAACCAGAACTCAGAATAAGTATTTTTGAAGACTTTTGTTGAATTACATCGATGTTTGTAATTGCAGAATATACATGTAGACCATACCTCAGTCTCTTCAGGTACACTACAAAGAAGGAAAACTTGCAACAAAATATTATGGAAAACAGGTCAAATTCAAGGATTGTAAAATAATTGCAACTTGTGCTGGCTCTAGTAGTAAGGGTACTCTGTGTTTCCATGTTAAGAAGTCACTGAGGCCATTTTGAACTTCTTTGTTGAATGCAATGTTAAGGAATTGGTATCTTCCAGAATAGTAGAGTAGGTGGTGGCAATGAATGCTACCTTTGCCTTTCATGGACACAACTTTCAATTGTTTTTGAAGAGTAGTAGCTTAATGTTATCAAAAACCTACGCATGAAAAACCAGAACTTAAGCTTCCAAAATGTGTGAATACTTGGTGAGATTCTTATCATCACACATAGGATAAATGCTTGAGGGGATGGATACCACATTTTTTGTAATGTGATTATTACTCACTGCATGCCTGTATCAAAACATTTCAAGTACCCCATAAATATATGTACCTACTATGTACCCATAAAACATTAAAAATGAAAAGATTATTAAAAATTTAACTATTTAAAAAGACGAAGGAACGAGAAAAAGTTCCACTGTAAAAACAATATAGAAAAAATTGTTTGTGACTCTTAGTATCTAATACCATGCAGTATGCAAAATCGATACTTCACACTTAATTATTCTCAGGTCTGGAGAGATTTGAAATAATTTAGTCTAATTGCCATAAAAGGTAACTATTGCATTTGAGTAGTAAGTCTGAAGATTCAGACAATAACACTAGCAGTTTAACAAATCTCAAATAAAACACATAGTCAATTCAACACCGCATCAGTCACAAAAGTCACAAGAGTTTTCCATGATGCTAGTGGGGTTATTTATTTTTTCAATCATTCAATATTTTTAACACAGCAAAATACAACAATGTCTCCAAAGGACAGCTCTTTATTATCAAGCATACATCCAGGTTAAATTCTTCTCCTAAACTCTTCTGGATAAAATAAAACAATTAGAATATTAATACATAATAAGTGACAATTTTTGAGGACAGATTTTCATATATTTGGGATGTTAATACTGGTATGTATTCATAACATTTAAAAAATACATGCAACTCTTTATGTTCTGGTGCAGTGAGACAGATTCTACTCTCAGACTGACACTATTCACATAATGTCGAAGTCCTATATTTGAAAAAATGAGAGGACTTAGTGAGTTGAACAAATTGATTGCTAAGACCCCTAATGGTTCTAATCTCTTTTTTGTTTTTTTTTTGTTTTTTTTTGCCTCAGGGTCTGAAACAGCTCTGTTGCCTAGGTTGGAGTGCACTGAGCATGGCTCACTACAGCTTGAACCTCCAGGGTTCAAGCAATCCTCCTCCCTGAGCCTCCTGATTAGCTGGGACCAGAGGCGTGCACCACCATGCTCAGCCAGTTTTTAAATTTTGTTTTGTAGAGACAGGATCTCTCCATGTTGCCTAGGCTGGTCGCAAGCTCCTGGGCTCAAGCAATCTTCCCCCGTCGGCCTCCCAAATTGCTAGGATTATAAACATTAGCCACTGCACCCAGCTTCAAATGGTTCTAAAATTGTGTTATTTTAAGAAGTTAGCTTTGTCCATTTGATATGACCCCTAAAAAGTATTCTATTGGAATTAAAGATGTACTTCTGAACATTAGTAAGTATATATTTTCTGAATATCTTCCTTATTTATTTTTCTAAAATTTATCTAAACTTCAGTGAAAAATTCATTAATTCTGGACAGCAAAGTTGTTCAGAAAATTCCATCAAAATAAAAATGGAGACACTTTCTTTTGATCTTATCTGAAAATAGTATCTCTCTACTTCTACAGGTCAGTCACCCCCAATTGACACAGTAATTACCATCTTTGACTGTTGATTCAGAGACACAAGGAATCCAAAGTGGCCAGGTGGTAGTCTTAACTTCCAGTTCAATGGGTTTATTGTCGTGTTTCCTGCTGGAAGCATCCTCCCTCTGGAACTAAAACCTCTAGGCCAGAAGACCAGAAAGTCACAGGAACAAGTTGTAAAAATTTGATAGTGGGTTACTGAAGTAACCAACTAACTAGAGGTAGTGAACAGTGAGTGGCCTCACTCCTATTTCCACCTTTTGATTTCTGGATTTGTGAATCCTGGCTATCAGTGAAACAACACAATGTATAGGCATTGACTCAGAGTTTAGATTGCCTTCTGGAGAACCTTGGCTCAGTCCTGAAAGGGATCGCCAACTAGCTGGCACTGTAACCGAGTCTTCAAAAGGCCATTCCACCATTCTATCACTGCTTCGGTTGTGAAGAGAGATTTTTTTATTAGAAGCAATGTTTTGTGAAATACCATAATAGTAGATAAGGCATTCTATAAGTTTATGAATGGTAGTTTTGACAGAAGCATTATGAGCAGAGAAGGCAAATCTGTATCGAGAGTAAATGTCTGTTTCAGCAAGGACAAAACACTGCCCCTTCCATGACGGAGGCAGTCCAGTGTAGTTAACCTGCCACCCAGTAGCTGGCTGATTATCCTGGGTAATGATGGCACATAAGAGTCTCAATGCGGGTCTCTGCTGTTGGCAAACTGGACACTGAGCAGTGGCCATAGCCAGGTCAGCCTTTGTAAGTGGAAGTCCATGTTGCTGAGCCCATGTATAACTTCCATCGCTGCCAACATGTTCACTTCTGTTTATGAACCCATGAGGTGGTGACGGGGTGGCCGGAGAAATAAATTGACCTGGTATCCACAGAATAGGTCATCCTATTCACTACTTATTAAAATCTTACTCTCCTGATGTTACCCTTTGGTGAGCCTTCACATAGAACAAATATCTGCATGCATTTTTGTCCATTCAGAGAGGTCTACCCGCATATCTCTTTTTCAAATTTCTTTGGCATCATTTTTCCAATTATGTTTCTTCCAAGTTCCTGACCATCCCGCCAAACCATTAGGTACAGCCCATGAGTGGTATATTATTACATATCTAGCTACTTCTCCTTCCAGACAAATGGCATGACCAGGTGCAGTGACCAAACTTCTTCCCACTGTGAGGGTTTCCCTTTACTACTTTCCTTCAGGGATATCCAAGAGAGAGGCTGCAGAGCTGTAGCTGTCCAATTTGGGGTGTTGTCTGCATATTGTGCTAAATCATCTGTAAACTAGACTTGAGTCTTCTCTTTCTTTGTCAAGTGATCATAGGGAATTTCCCATGATCTGTAGTTACATGAGGTTGTAGTTACAGGCTGGGAGACAGAGGGCAGTGTAGAAGGAGAGGAGACCATGGACATTTGGGCCACTTCTTTATGTAACTTTCTTGTGACTTCAGGATGTGCTGGGGCCCAATCACATATATACCAGTTCCACTTTGTGGAGTGCTGCTGTGCACAGCCATATTTATAAAGTGGTGTGTCGTAAACTCCAGTTCATGATGAGTAGCTCAGGTTATATTGTAACATGGTGGCCTATAGGCAAGTGTTCAGTTTCTAACAGGGCCCAGTAGCAGTCCACAGCTGTTTCTCAAAAGGAAAGTCGTGATCTGTGAATAATAGCGGGGCCTTGCTTCAAAATCCTGAAGGCTTGTGCTACAGTTCACCTATAGAAGCCTGCCAAAGTCTTTAAAAGTCATTCTTACCTGTCACTGACACTTTAAGCACCACTAGATCTACTGGATCATATGACCCAAATGGCAGAGCAATTTGTAGAGCAGGCTCAGCTTATTTCAGAGCCTTTTATCTTTTTGGGCCTATTTAAAACTAGCAGCTTTTTGGATCACTTGATAAATGAGCCCGAGTAACACATCCAAATGAGGAATATGTTGCCTCAAAAATATAAAGAGGCCCATGAGGCATTGTGCTTCTTTCTTGGTTGCACGCAGGGCCAAATTCAACAACTTATTCTGTACCTTAGAAGGATTATTTCTACATGCCCCACTCTACTGTATCCTGGAAATTTCACTAAGGTATAATGCTTCTGAATTTTTGTTGAATTTATTTTCCAGCCTCTAACATGCTGGAAAACATCAATACAGTCTGTAGTAGTTGATACTTCTAGCTCCCTAGATTCAGTCAGCATAATGTCACCAATGTAACAGACTAATGTGATATCTTGTGAAAAGAAAAGATTCCTGTGAACTAAATAAGTATTTTCTAAATCAATAGCTGTATACCAGCTACCAGTGGATGTATTAATTTGCTTGAGCAATGAATTCATATCTAGTACAGCAGCAGCAGGAATTGGAGTCACCACCTGGTTAAGCTTACATAATCCACTGTCATTCTCCAAGATCCATCTGTCTTCTGCACAGGCCAAACAGGCTAGTTGAACGAGAATGTGGTGGGAATCACCAACTCTGCATCTTTTAAGTCCTTCATCATGGCACTAATCATTACAATTCCTATTGGAATGTGGTATTGCTTTTTGTTTATTATGTTTGAAAATATTGTATAATCATTTAGCTCCTTGGTTCTTGAAAGTGGCTGATTAGGAGTATCAAATGAAAATATTTTGGTTATCTCTATAAACATTACACACCACAGACCATCAGTGGTCTTTACTACTGGAAATAGAATCATTAGCATCTTTAAATATAATTATATTGGAGAGCCAATTCCAGAAACCCAAGAACCAATTCAGGAAACTCATTCTTAAAACTCTGCTCTCCTAGAACCCCACTACCAATACTAAGTCTGTATTAGTCAAAGTTCTCCAGAGAAACAAAACCAATAGAATACATAGAGAGATATAAAGAAAGATATTTATTATGAGGTTTTGGCTCATGTGATTAAAGAGGCTGAAAAATCTCATAATCTGCCATCTGCTAGCTGGAGGCCCAAGGAAGCCAGGGATATAATTCTAGTCCAAACCTGAAGGCCAGAGAACCAAGGGAGCTAATTGTGAAAGTCCTGGTCTATGCTTGAAGGTCTGAGAACCAGGAGAGTCAATGTCCAAAGGCAGATGACGATGATGTCCCAGCTTAAGCAGAGAGAAAATTCCCCCTCCTTTTGTCTCTTCATATCCTCAACAGATAGGATAATGGCCACCTACATTAGTGAGTGTAATCTTCTTTACTCAATCTATTTATTTGCCCAGAATTCAGTCATATATGCACATAGAAGTAATGTTTTAACAGCTATCTGGGCATTCTCTAGCCCAATCAAGTTGCCCCATAATGTTCAGCATCATAGCTACCAAAAATGTACTTATGGAAAAATATAAGGTCTTAGAAACTTGAGTTTACTTATAGAGAAATTGATTTAAATATGTTAGAAAAATAAGATATCTAAATCTAGCATATGAATTGCCAAAAACATGTTTGACTAAAGAGTTTGATATCCCCAGTGAGTCCAGTCCAAAATGTTCATAGTTTATCTAACAAAATTATCTTCATCTAAATTAAATATGTAAAAGTAAAAATAATGTTCTTGATGAGTCCCAAAAATGACTTCAAAAATATATTTTTTCAATATTTTATTTAGCAATGTTATATTTTTTTATGATAGATACTCATTAAATGACAACAGACATTTAAAATATTTCCTCTATGTTGACTTTGTGATAAAAGTACTATCGAGTTCTTACACTAATCTTTTGAAATAGACTTTTCACCATAGTAGTCTATAAGAGAAAACATTGTTTCTTTAAGTCAATCACAAATTTACCTGCATCCTACACATCAAACTTTAAAACATTTTGTAATTTCAATAGCTTTATAATTTACACCTAAAATCTTCTCATCTGAAAAAAACAAATCTTTATTTGTTTTCAGGAGCATCTTCTCATACTTTATATTCAGAGATGATACTATGTGCAATAGTGTCATCAGAACTATAAGTTACTATTTATACTATAAAATTTTCATTGATTTCATTGATTCATTCATATATTTTCCAGTTGTTCATGTGACAAAGATCCAAAAGCAATTGCAACAAAAGCAAAAATGGACAAAAGGGACCTCATTAAACTAAAGAGCTTCTGCACGGCAAAAGAAACTATCAACAGAGTAAAAAGACAACTTACTAAATGGGAGAAAATGTTTGCAAACTATGCATCTGACAAAGATTTAATATTCAGAATCTATAAGGAATGTAAACAACGTAACAAGCAAAATACAAACAATCCCATAAAAACATGGGCAAAGGACATGAACAGACACTTTCAAAAGAAGACATACACACAGCCAACAAGCATATGAAAAAATGCTCAACATCACTGATCATTACAGAAATGCATATCAACACCATAATGAGATACTATCTCAAACTAGTCAGAGAGACTATCATTAAAAAGCCAAAAATTAACAGATACTGGCAAAGTTACCAAGAAAAGGGGGTGCTTATACAATGCTGGTGGGAACATAAATTAGTTCAGCCATTGTGGAAAGCAGTGTGACAATTTCTTAAGGAATTTAAACAGAATTACCATTCAACCCAGCAATCCCATTATTGGGTATATACCTGAAGGAATATAAATCATTTTATCATAAAGACACATGCACATCTATGTTCAGCACAGCACTATTCACAATAGCAAAGACATGGAATCAACCTAAATGCTAATCAATGGTAGACTAGATAAAGAAAATGTAATACATATACAACATGGAATACTATGCACTCATAAAAAAGATTGAGATCATGTCCTTTGCGGTAGTAATACGGTTGGAGATAGAGGCCATTATCCTAGAATTATCCTATCCTAATCATATCCTCCTGTGAATTAACACAGGAGCAGAAAACCATATATGCATGTTCTTACTAAAAAGTGAAAGATAAACATTGAGTACAATTGGACAAAAAGAAGACAACAATAGACAATATGCCTCAGGGCATACTTGAGAGTGGAGGGTGTGGATTGAAAAATTACCTATTGGGCACTATGCTTATTACTTGGGTGATGAAATAATCTGTACACTGAACCCCTGTGACATACAATTTATCTGTATAACAAATATGCACATGTACACCTGAATCTAAAATAAAAGTTAAAGAAAAGAAGTAGAATTATCTTATACGTATCCTAAATGTATGCTTGTTTGCAAATAATTTAATGTAATTTTTATCTATTTTAATTTTTAATGTTAATGTTTTATATTTAAACATCTAGTCCACACATAAAATTGCATTCATGTATAATATTTTTAATAATGTAAATGCAAAAGGTGTGTGATTTATTTTAAGAAAGACGTTGTATTATCATTACCGTGTGTGCATCAGAGAATGGATTAAGAATAATGCCATTTTCTATATAGATGTTTAATACATAACATACAGAAAAAAATAAAAGTTTTAAAATATAATCAAAAAACAAATCTGTTCTCTACTTTCTGTAAGAACAGCAGTTTGTTAATATGTTCAGTTTCTTCTACAGTTATTGGTCTTGTTTTCTATATTTTATACCAGATATTGCATTACAGATTTTTAAAGGAAATAATTCAATTTCATTAAGATTTCAAATTAAGTTTCTGTAAATGCATAGGATTTTCTCATTCGTCCTCAAATTTATTGTTTTACATACTTTATTTTATTCTTTGTACTGTTGTGTATCTCTATTAGTTTTCTACTGGTGTGCATCAAAATGCCACAAAATTAGCAGCATAAAACTACACCCATTTATTAACTTTTATTTGTTAGAAGTCTAGTACAGCATAATTGGCTGTCTGCTAAGATTATCACAAGGTTGATATTATGACATTAGTTGGGCTGAGGTCTTTGAAGACTAGGGAAAAATCCACTTTCAAGCTAATTTTTTTGATGGAATATTTAGTTCCTTATAGCTGCATGACTGAATTTATTTTTTTCTATCTGGCTGCTAGCCAGAAGCAACTCTCATGTCCTACAAGCTGCCTACCACCTTGTCACATAGCCTTCTCCATCTTTAAAACATTGAATACTTCTCATGCTTAGAATCTCAGACTTCCTCTTCTGTGACCAATCAGCAGAAGCTGTTTTGAAAGGGCTCATGTGATTAGGTCAGATCCACCTGAATAACCTCCCTATGTCAAAGTCAACTGTGCCAAATGACATAAACTAATTACAGAAATTAAATCCATCCTATTCACTCTGCCCTGTATTATGCAGGGCATGTACAATAGAGATGAGATTTCTTGGGAGCCATTTTAGAACTTTCTCTATCATAGTATCAAAATTGCTTCTCAGACACATTTTTATATAGTACAGATAAATGGAGTCCCAATTCATTCATATAACTAATGTGGATACTTGAGATTTGTTCAATCATTAAGCCACACCTACTCCTACATCTGAGCAAATTTTTATAAATAATTGAAATAAAATTATTTCTCACCAAATATTTTTAAAGAATAATCTTCACTTTTTATTCCCATTGACAGAATGTTTGCTCAGACTCTACCAGCTCTGAGCAGACTGCACTTGCCTCTCCCTGTTTATACCACCAGCTTCTTCTTATTTCAAACCATTTTTCAGATTGCCATTGATGCTAGTTTCTAGAAACAAGATTGAATAATTTCATCTCCATTATTAAAAATATATTTTATTTCCCTTCTTTCCATATGATAAATTTCAAACTCCTTGATTCATTGATATAAATGTGCAAAGGCAGCAGCCAGTGCAAAATAACTGTCTGGATTATAACAGGTATTTGATACATATTTGTTTGCTGAATTACTGAAAAAGTTAATTTATAGAATTTTCTCATTTTATTTTCTAAGCTGAAACTTCCCTTATTTTACCTCTGTCTGTGTTAAGAAGACATTAAATGTCTCACCTTTCACAGAATGCAGAGCCTTTTAACACATTTTTTTATCTTGACACATATTCTTAGCTATTCCTGTAAAGCCTTTTCTCACTTTCTCTGTCTCATTTTTTAAGATCCATCCCAAATGTTTCCTCCAGTGTGGACTCTTTTATGATACCCCCAAATATTTCAGAATTCTTCTATTTCTCTCATGTTAATGACCTTATGAAGTTATAAATTGTATAATCATGTTAGAAAAGAAGTCCTGTCATGTGACCGTGTGCTTGGTACTTTGTAAGGCTATAATGCATTTTTGAAAAGATTGTGGGCTGAGGCCAGGCACGGTGGTTCGCGCCTGTAATCCCAGCACTTTGGGAGGCCAAGGCGGGCGGACAGACTGAGGTCAGGAGTTCGACACCAGCCTAGCTAACATGGTGAAACCCCGTCTCTACTAAAAATACAGAAATTATCTGGGCATGGTTGTGGGTGCCTGTAATCCCAGCTACTCTGGAGGCTGAGGCAGGAGAATCCCTGGAACCCAGGAGACAGAGGTTGCAGTGAGCCGAGATCACGCCACTGTACTCCAGCCTGGGTGACAGAGCAAGACTCCGTCTCAAAAAAAAAAAAAAAAAAAAAAAACAGAAAAAGAAAAGATGGTGGACTAAAAATATTGCCTTTCCTGTAGCAAATTAAGAAAAATAACATGTTACAAAATACATTTAATCTTGACTCATGAACAAAGAGTTAAGTTCTGGACTCACTGAATGATAAAAAGGAGGTGATATCTACTTAAGGGAAGAAATTGCAGCCTAGGATATGCGTGGAATAATACTACTGCAGATGGGTAAGATCAGCACTAAGAATGATCCACGCCTCTAGGGAGTGGTGACCAGAGTGGGAGAGGACTAGATAGAATAAGTGAACTCTGCAGCAGCTGATGTGTTGTAACTTCACCCTGGGCCCCTAGTAGTAACAATGGAATCAACTTTCAAGCAAAATAGGGAAGTTGGGATATACTAGCAACTGATGACATCTGGGAAGATAAAGGGGCACAAATGTCAGAAAACAAGTTACCACTGAGATGCTTTATCAAATACCAACAAAGAGAATTCACTTCCTACCAGAGAGTCAAATTTCTCAATATGACTATTACTGATAACCCCTGATTTTATGTGAATGAAATAATACTATGGAGTCTGTCTTTCAAATTTTTTTTCTTTCCATGTCAAAAATATTAAAATTATAGAAAAATATTATTTTAAATGAACACAAAATGATAAACACAACAACTTATATAAGACAAAAAAATTAGAAATACATTGATGTGTTAGATACATTCTAGTGGATTAAAAAGTGGCTTCTCAGAAGATCCATATTCTAACACCTGAGCCCTGTGGATGTTACCTTATGTGGTAAATAATGGTCTTCACAGATGTGATTAAGGATGTTGAGATGAGGAGATTATTTTGGACTCCAAATGCAATCACATGTGTCTTTATGTAGAGGACATTAGGAGAGTTAACATACACAGAGAAGGTGATACGAAGATGCAGTCCAGAAAGACTTGAATATGCTCTTCTAGATAACTTGAGTGATGTGGCCAGAGTCAAGGAATGCTGCAACTATCAGCATTTGGAAGAAGAAACGTTGGATTCTCCCCTAGAGCCTCTGGAGAGAATGTGGCCCTGTTGAAATCTTGGTTTTGGCCCAGTAATACTGATTTTGGATGTCTGGCTTCTAGAATTGTGAATGAATACGCTTCTGTGGTTTAAGACATTGAATCTGTGATCATTACAGCAGCCACAGGAAATCAATACACATGGAATGAAGAAAGCAACAGATAAACGAGGTAAACAAGGAGAAAAATTGTTTTATACATTTTGACGTAGATATGAGATTGGTAGTGATTCTGGAGAAATTCTGGTTTTATGACAATCTCATGTTCTCACAGCTAAGACTTTCCAATTATGATTGTCTTAGCATGTTTTCTGTTGCTTATAACAGAATACCTGAAACTGGGTAATTTATAAAGAAAACAAATTTATTTCCTACAGTTATGGAGGCTGAGAAGTCTAAGGTTGAGGGACTGCGTCTGGTGAGGGTCTTCTTGCTAATGGAGACCTTCTGCAAATTCTCAAGGCAGCACAGGGCATCACATGATGAAGGGGCTAAAGCCACTAATGCTACTCACTCCCACAATAACTCATTAATAAATAAATCCATGAATGGATTAATCCAATTGTCCCAATCACCTCTTAACAGCCCTACCTCTCAATATCGCCACATTGGGGACTAAATTTCAACATGAGTTTGGGAGGGGACAAATATTTAAACCATAGAACTAATTATTTTTGATTCAGTAAATTCTTAAATAGAATAATTAAGTCAGAGAGAGAGAAGGAATGGACCGGCTAAAGTAGAGAGTTTTGAAGGGTAAGAACAGGTAATTTAAAATTACAGTGGAAAACAAAACCATATGAAGTAATTATGAAACTGCAATGTAAAATCTCTTTTAGTATTTAGGGACATACAAGCATTCTAATGGCATCATCCAAATATGTTAATATCAGTAAAATCTTTTCGTATTCAAGAAGTACTTGAAGAAATACGGCCAAAAGATTACAACCCCCACATAGTAGCTCAGGAACCCATTTAAAAACGAATCATGTGGCCAGGTGCAGTGGCTCACGCCTGTAATCCCAACACTTTGGGAAGCTGAGGCAGGCGGATCACGAGGTCAGGAGATCGAGACCATCCTGGCTAACACGGTGAAACTCTGTCTCTACTAAAAATACAAAAAATTAGCCAGGCGCGGTGGTGGGTGCCTGTAGTCCCAGCTACTCGGGAGGCTGAGGCAGGAGAATGGCGTGAACCCAGGAGGCGGAGCTTGCAGTGAGCCGAGATCGTGCCACTGCACTCCAGCCTGGGCGACAGAGCAAGACTCCGTCTCAAAACAAAAAACAAACAAAAAAACGAATCATGTAACTTGCCTGCTTAAAATCTTCAAATGGCACTTGACATAAACCAAACCTTCTTCCCATGACTGACAAAGCCCTCTATAGTCCAGATCTTTAATCTCATCTCCATTACTCGCTTGTCCCCTTTGCTCCCAACCCTGTCAGCTTCCACTTGTTCTTGTGCACACTTAAGTCTTTTTCCTCCTAATGCCTTTGTATATCTTGTTCCCTGCCTGTCAAGCATTCCTCCAGATAAATTCCTGGTGTTTACTCTAGCATTTGGTTAGGGAAGTGAGGTCTTTCCTAATCATCCTATCAGAATCTAGTATATATCCTCTTTTATTTTCTTCATATCGCCATCTAAAATTATTTTCTTTATTTTTTTTAAACTAATTCATTTGTTTCAACAAAAACTTCAAGCAAGAATTTTGGCCTATTCAAAACTCCATGACACTTAAAATTGTGCTTCACATGTGGCAGGCACTCAAATATTAGTTGAATGAATAAATATCTCTAGAGAAGATTGTAAAGAGTCCCCTTTGTCTTTTTTTTTTTTTTTTTTTTTTTTTTTTTTTTTTTTTTTTTGAGACGGAGTCTCGCTCTGTCGCCCAGGCTGGAGTGCAGTGGCGCGATCTCGGCTCACTGCAAGCTCCGCCTCCCGGGTTCACGCCATTCTCCTGCCTCAGCCTCCCGAGTAGCTGGGACTACAGGCGCCCGCCACCACGCCCGGCTAATTTTTTGTATTTTTAGTAGAGACGGGGTTTCACCGTGTTAGCCAGGATGGTCCCGATCTCCTGACCTCGTGATCCGCCCCCCTCGGCCTCCCAAAGTGCTGGGATTACAGGCGTGAGCCACCGCGCCCGGCCCCCTTTGTCTTCTTAATCTTGCATTGGAGCCAGTCATTTTCTCTCAATACAAAATTCTTTATTTTTTCTTTAAAGATACTATAAGATACCATCATTGTTGGTTTTCTGACACCAAAGTTCCGGACAATCTAGATCAAATTACTGTCAGTTGAGGATTTAAAGGCATGCATTCTTAATACCAATTTATTCACATAAACTTCTCTTTACTGAGAGTGCCTGCTGTGGCTCTGCAAAGTAAGTTATTTTAAAAATTAACTTCAAAATTGAAAGATTTTAGGGAAAAACTTTTGAACCTAGATTCTTAGATATTTGCCACAAAGCTTAAGACTTTGATCTCCAAGTCCTCTCCTGCAGAATAAACTTTCTATATTTAAATATCATCTTTCAACTTAGTCACATTTCATTTGTTTATTCAGAGTACCAGCTATATGCTAAGCCCCATTCAAAGATCTTAGGCTATAGATGCAAATAAAACAAAAACCCTGCCCTTAGAAAGATTACATTGTAGTGAATTAAGACAATCAATCATCAAATAAACAAGTAAGTATGTATTACATAAAATGGATGTGAGTGTAATAGAATAAAAAAATCTAAGTGACAAGCAATAAAATAAATTCAGGGGTCATGATAATGCTATTTAATACCAGGTGTTCAGAGAAATACTTATCTTCATGATGGGTAGACTCCTGGAGGAAGTAAGGATATAATTCATTCACATATGTCAAGAAATAACATTCTAGGTGGAGGGAATAGCCAGTGTAAAGTCTCTGAGTGTACCACACAGGGTCTGGCATGTAAGTAGCAAGAAGGTCAGTGTGAGTAGAGCAATGAAAGTAAAAAAGAGAGTGGTAGCAGATGAAATCAGAAAGGTAACAAGTAGAACAGACAGGCCATGAAGAGGTTCATAGACTATTTTAAGGGCATCAGCTTTAAGTCTGAGTAAATGGCTAGCCCAGTCACAGGGAGGATTTGAATAGAGGAGTAACATGATCTGATATATTTCAAATGAGTCATCCCTGCCTGTCATGTTGAGAATATACTTCCTGTTTCAGTTCAGAAAAATTATAAAGATTAAGGATTTCCTAACCAGCCAAAAAATAGTTTCTAATATATAGATAAATATTTGATTGACAAAAAGAATTGTCTCTTGATGAAAATTCATACAATTTGATACCTAATTTTCTCTTGATAAAAATATATACAATTTGCTACACAATTCTTAAGCTGAAACACTTGAAGTTTCCAATATTCAACAATTTTTTATTTGCAGAAAGAAGCAATTTCATATGTTCCAATTAGTAGTTATTAAATTATCTAAAGATAATTTTATGCATATAGATTTTGCTGATCTTAATAATTTTTTTTCATAAATGCCCTGCCCTTTACATCTTTGCCTGCATGTCTCTGTTGACAGTTGACTCTGTTAATATTTTTTCTCTATGGCTGGGCATGGTGGCTCACGCCTGTAATCCCAGCACTTTGGGAGGCCAAGGTGGGTGGATCATGAGGTCCAGAGTTCAAGACCAACCTGGCCAAGATGATGAAACCCCGTCTCTACTAAAAATAAAAAAAATTAGCCGGGTGTGGTGGTGGGTGCCTGTAATCCCAGCTACTCAGGAGAATCGCTTGAACCCAGGCGGCAGAGGTTGCAGTGAGCCAAGATTGCGCCACTGCACTGCGGTCTGGGTGACAGAGTGAGACTCCGTCTCAAAAAAAAAAGAAATTATTTCTACTTTGCCTCCTCTTTGGACCTATAATACTGAAGTTTCTAAATGTTGGTGAGAAATATAAGGGTTTAAGTATAGAATGCAATTTATAATAGAATTTAGAACTTCATACAAAAATAGTATTTTCCCCACCAATTAGAGGAAATGACCAAAACCTCTATTTTTAGGGTCTGCTTAGTTTGCCCTAACTTTTAGATTTCTGACCTTCTTAACATATCCAAAATGCAATAAATGCACCTTTCTCTCATGTTTAAATGGTTAGTCAGAAATAAATGAATAATGTTTTAATTAAATTTTAATTATGGAATAAAAATTGCTGAAATAACTTACGAGATATTAAAATTGTGATCATGCAATTGAACCCTTTTGAAATAAAATAGCATGTGGGGAACTTTTTCATAAAAATTCAAAGTTGTATTTATATTTTTTTCTTTTTAAACAATTTTTATTTTACCAAGATTAAAATCTATTGTAGAATAAATTATGACCAACAGTGACACATTAGCACAAAATCGGTAGTATGAACAGAATCAGAGAATAGAATTGTAGCTTAGCTTTGAGTTAGTGAAAAAAAAAAGTCTTCTAGAATTATATATTCTCTCAAGAGAGCTTGGTTAAAGTATAGTTCATGTTCTTAAATGATCAACTATATTTGAAAGAGTAATATCTAAAGGAGAATTTTACTTTCATTGAGTTGAGTTTGCAAAGCATGAAGCAAGATTGCTACACACAAAGGACCAAGGGGTTCTGTAACATTAACCATGGGTTAGCAATATGTAATCTGAAATATAATATCCTCTGTCATACATGTCAACAAAATGAGTATTAGTGGCCAAATGTCACAGGGATTTTTTATTGCCTCTAATCTAAGCTTCATTTTGTTGTTGTTTTTTAATAAAATTAATTAAGTTCCCTGACAAGTAGTTTCATGAGACATGCACACAAACTAATTAAGCTTGTTTTCTTAGGGATTTATGACTTATGGTTGATCGACTATGTAACTGAATTACATACTAATCTTCTAGGGTTGTAACTCCTGACATTTTTGGCTTTACAATATTCCTTTTATCACAAAATATCTTTAGGAATGTATTCACAGAAACTATTACTACTGCCAAAGCACAGATTTAAAATAGCCTTGGTGTTACAACAATGCTCGGCATTATAACAGTAGAAATGCTTCCTGTGTGAGGGAAGCCCTGTTAGGGCAATACTACCATACATACGGGCCACAAGCATCATTAGTCACCCAGCTATTCAAAGGCAGGTACTATGGCTACATACAATTAATAAATGCATTGCAGTGCCTGTGTATATTGCAATATAAAGCCTTCTGGACCTGATATCATGGTGTAAAAGTAGCTTGATAATCAAGAGAGGCAAGCTACCTAATGTTTCCAATTATTTAAAAGATAGGCCTGGTGTGGTGGCTCACATCTGTAATCCCAGCACTTTTGGAGGCTGAGGCAGGAAGATTGCTTGAGACCAGGAGTCTAAAACCAGCTTGGGCAACATAGGAAGATCCCATCTCTAAAAATAATAATAATAATAATAATAAAATTAAAATTAGCTGGGCATGGTGGTGCACACCTACAGTCCCTCTATTTGGGAAGCTAAGGCAGGAGGATCGCTTGAGCCCAGGAGGTTGAGGCTGCAGTGAGCTATGATCATGCCACTGCATGCTAGCCTGGGTGAGACAGCGAGATCTTGCCTCTTTAAAAAAAAAGAAAAAAAGAGTCTGGGCGCAATGGCTCACGCCTGTAATCTCAGCACTTTGGGAGTCTCAGGCAGGCAGATCACGAGGTCAGGAGTTCAAGACCAGCTTGGCCAACATGGCGAAACCCCGTCTCTACTAAAACTGCAAAAATTAGTCAGCCATGGTGGCGGGCGCCTGTAATCCCAGCTACTCCAGAGGCTGAGGCAGGAGAATCGCTTGAACACAGGAGGCAGAGGTTGCACTGAGCTGAGATCGTGCCATTGCACTCTAGCCTGGGCGGCAAGAGCAAGACTCCGTCTCAAAAAATAAATAAATAAATAAATAAATAAATAAATAAATAAATAAATAAATAAATGTTTTACACAATATCATCTTAAACTTCTACATGCAGAAGCTATAGAAAGCTATTATCCTATACCAACAATTTTGTAATAAAACTGCCATGATTTAAAAAGCATTTGATCAAGTTTTTCCTTTCCATTTATATTGTAAAAGTGAACTAAACTTCAGATCATCTGAAAGATTACATTTTAAATTACATTCTGCATATGATTTCCCTCTAGTAGTCTTCTGTTTATTAAAATCTAATTTTGTGCTCGCCTGTGGAATATCAACATTTTCTCATTTGGACCACCAATTATAAACTCCATAGAGATTAGACAGGTTATAGCTATGTAGTTCTCATAAGTATATTATTTATTTGGTTTAGCTCATTAATTAAGCTCTTAATTCAAAGCTAGCTCTATGTTTTCTGGACCTGTTTGTTTATTTTTAGCACTAAAGGGTCCTTATGCTCTTGTTTCCACATTTTACCATCATTCCTACTCCCGGTTCTCATCTAAGATATTACCATCAGTTCGTCCTCAGTGAAGAAAAAATAAGACATGTTCCATCTAGCTCGACATATTAGGTCCAAGAAAAAGTTCTCTGCTCCCAGTTACAAAAACCCTGACCTGGTAATCAATCTTCTGGATTAAGCTTAAAGATCTATAGCTAAATTTATGCTTTTTAGTCCTAGACTTCGTGGGACAAAGAAGAAAATACATTAAGTGTCTGGAGGTATGTGTCTCTCCAATATTTTTAAGGTACTTTCAGCTAAGCAAGAGACAACTCTAAAAATAAATTATAAAATAAAAATTTGATTTCACTTTTTTATATTGCAGGTTAAAATTTTGATACACATTTTTGTACCACTAATAAACAGAAAAGGAAAGCTGGGGAGGAAGGATCACTCTAGGCCAGGAGTTCAAGACCAGCCTGGGCAACATAGCAAGGCTCTGTCTTTAATTATTATTATTACTTTTTCAATTCGCCAAGTCCAGTGGCTGCTACCTGTAGTCCTAGCTCCTCGGGGGGCTAAGGCAGGATTGTTTGAGTGCAGAATTTCAAGACTGCATTGAGCTTAATGTACCACTGCATTCCAGCCTAGGTGACAAAGCAAGATCCTGTCTCTAAAAGCAAAAATAAAGAAACAGAAAACAGGAGTATGTAAGCTTACTTCTAGTGAAGTGTTAAAAGATTAAATGCTCCTGCTGTTTCAGCTTCTAGATCAATAAAGAAGAAAGTGTTCAACAGAAAGCCTAGCTGAGCCACCACCACCAGTCATGTAGTGTGGAGTAATACATGCAAGGAGAGGTCACATGAGTGTGCCCTCCCCCTGCTATACACACATGGCCAGTCAGAACCACCTGCTGTGCCACTAACCATTTGCTTTTCATAAAAATTGTGGTAAGATATACATAACATAAACTTTACCATTTTAACTATTTTCAAATTTGCTTCAATAGGCTTTTATTTCCATGATACAGATTATGGGGGCTTACAGTTTTTGATTCATAAGAAGCATCTCTCTGAACTGAATTAAATCCCTGCTTCCCTTTCTATCTAATGCTAAGAAGCTGTATGCAGAATCACAAAGCACTGAATAGTCACTGCACACTCACATAAGTCATAACTTTAACCAACATAAAAATCTGCTAATGATTAGAGGAGGATACAAGCCAACAGTAGGCCTGTGTGCCTACGAATGCAGCATCAAAGCACTGGGCTCTCAAAGGGATCTAAGCCACCAGATCTAGCTTCAAAAGAGAGTTATTCTTTCTGCCCTAAGACGTCTTTGGTTTCAGAGTAACAGATGAGATCTAATGATGTGTGTAGTACAACTTAAAGAAAAGAAAGGTGTTCTGATTTGAGCTTCTTGGTGTCTATACTTCATTATTTACTCAGGTTGAAACATGACTACTTTTGTTCTTCAACCAGCTGTATCCCATAAGGTCATAATTCCAGTTTTATTTATAATAAGTAACCTAGCTATGCCAAATATATCCTGCTTAAAATATTGTTAGATTTCAAGTTCCCTGAATATCTCCATGCTAAGAATTGACATTACAGTGTTTACAAGGAGGCCTAGTCAAAGTCAAGAGTGCCGCTTACATCCCTGAGGAGTGGAGAGCAAGTTACAGAGCTGTTGCCCACACTTCCCTTCCCATAGTATCACATGGAACTCACATCTCCATTCTCTGTCATCAGAGTCTCTGCATTCAAATCAAGCTCTACCACTTACTATAAGCTGTGCAACTTTGGGCAAGTTGCATAATTTCTGAAATCCTTAGTGTTTTATTTGTGAAGGGAGTTTAATATTTAGTTTATAAAGTTATTCATGATTTAAATAAGTCAATCTTGCAACACCAATTATCCTCTAAATTTCACCAGGTACCTACACATACAGTAATCTTCTAGATGCAACAGTGTCTTAATCTGTTTTCTGTTGCTGTAACAAAATAGCTGATACTGGGTAATTAATAAAGGGAATAGGTTTATTTAGCACATTATGCTGGAGATTTGCAGATCCACAATTGGGTAGCCACATCTAGTTGGCTCCTGGTGGGGGCCTCATGCTGTACTGTAATACAGCCGAGAAGCAGAAGAAGCAACTGAGTTCAAAGAGAGTAAACACCAGAAGCAGCCTCACTTTATAACAAGCAGTCTTCCAGTAACTAATCTAGTCCCATGAGAGTGAGAATTCACTCCCAGGATAAAGGCATTAACTTCTCCTGATGACCTCACCTCGAAAAGGCACCACCTCCCAACACTGCCGCGTAGGGGATCACACCTCAACATGAGTTTGGGTGGGGACTGACCATATTTAAACCACAGGACTCTGCCTCTGGTTTCCCAAAACTAATTTCCTTCTCACAATAAGAAACACCATCATTCCATCCCTATAATCTCAAAAGTCTTAGCTCATTCTAGCACCAACTAAAAAAATCCAAAGTCCAGTTTTGAGCCTGTGAAATCAAAACAAGTTATTTATTTTCGAAGGGAGCCAGTCATATCCCAAACAGTTCCAAACATCATAATCCCAAATATTGAAATCTTAAAAGATGAAAATCCTTGAAGTCTAACATCCTAAAATCACAATGCTGAAAGATCAAAATCCTGAAAATATGATTATGGAAAAAATAATTTTTAACATTATTGGAAAAATATTTATTTGCCTTTTTAAAAGGGAATTTATTTGAGAAACATATAAAAACCTGACAACAATTTATAGGCCACTTTATGCAATAAAACAGGCAATAATAACAAATATTTTTCCAAGCATAAACACTCAGGTATACTAACAGTCACACGGGTATAACAGTTACAAGCAGATAGCCTGTGTTCATAAAGAAATAGGTCAAAAAGCTGAATGTATAAATACAGATTGTGATGATTGGTAATTTTGTGCACTCAGTTTTATAACCACAGCATCTGAAATATTGTGACAAACAACATAAGTATTTTAACAAGATCAATCAAAAATTGGGATGGGTCACCACTGCATCACCACCACACTAGCTGCCCGAAGTACCAAGATCTTGAGAAATGTTATCTTTCACAAATGCAAATGTAGAAAAAGGACATCTCTTCTTTTACTGAAAATGTTTAAGCATTTCTACATATATGCACAATGCTTATACACACAGTCAACTTGCAATAATGCACTTTCATGGAGTCGCATTTGCAGAAAAATACACAAAATACATTAGAACTCCCTACAAGTCTTCACACAACTATACCTCCAGTATTGAAAGTAATGCAAAGATGAAATACATAGCATAATGAATTGTTTAAAAAAAAAGAAAATACTGACAATTTAAAAGTTTTTTAAAAAAACTAACATTAAAATGTGGTGTATATATGCACCATGAAATACACTGCAGCCATTAAAAAGAATGAGATCCTGTCTATTGCAGGAACATGGATGGAGCTAAAAGCCATTATCCTTAGCAAACTAACACAGGAACAGAAAACCAAACATTCCATATTCTCACTTGTAAGTGAGAGCTAAGTTATGAAAACACATGGGCAGAAAGAGGGGAACAATAGACACTGGGGCCTACCTGAGGGTGGATAGTGGGAGGAAGGGGAGGAGCAGAAAAACTATTTATACTAGGCTTAGCACCTGGGTAACAAAATTATCTGTACAACAAACCCCCATGACACAAGTTTACTTATATAACAAACCTGCACATGTACCCTTGAACCTAAAAGTTTTTAAAAAAGAAAAACTAAAAAAAGAAAAGAAGAAAAAAATTGGCATATGAAAAAATGTGTTACAGTTATAGATTATGGGGGATTACGTGGAGATAGTCCATAAAAGCTGGCCAACTTTCATGATCATTAACCATATTTTGAAGGCTTGAATTAAAATAAATATCTCCTTATTTTTTTCTTTTAGGATATGGCTCTCCTCAGAGAATAGTTTCATATTCATTTTCTATGTGGTACTGTTCTTTCTGAAATTCTTCTATGGGTCAACATACACTGACATGAACAATCCCTGTTAAATTTTCCAATCTTCTGTGCCATGCTTCTATGTTGTTTTTGGTACACTAAAATTCATTTTACGTGCATTCATATACAGATCACAAATTTGGCAAAAACAATGCTGATAACGAAACTGCAACACCATTGCATAAGTGTCTTCTTGTCCTACCATGCACATAATTATTTTGGAACCAGTCAGTAACTTCACTGGCTTCTTTAGGCAAATGTGGTTTTAATTCATTAAAAACTCCTGGAATGTTATCAGCTATCAGAAAACAAAGTTTTCATTATTGTTGTATTGCTTAGCCAATTTACACATCTGGATTTTCTACCAAATGCATTGGGCTTAATGGAAAAAACAAACTTTATGGATAATACCTTGAAATTCACTTTTAGAAGACTTGATCTCAATTATCAATCTGTTATTATGTTTTGAGGATGCAATTAAAATCCATTTTCTTTTGCATAAAGACAGTAACAAGAGAAGAGTTCTGCTTGACATGATGCAACTACCCTGTGATTGTAATTTTAGAGATTTTAGATATTAGGAATTTTAGATTTTAGAGATTTTAGACTTTAGCAATTTTGATCTTCCATGATTTTGACATTTGGAATTATGGTGTTCTGGATTGTGCCCTTGGGGATTATGATCCAAACCCATTTTCAAGATACAATGGTGGAACAGGCATAGGGTTAACATTCCCTTTCCAAAAGAAAGAGACAGGCAAAAAGAAATGAATAACTAGCCCAAAGCAACTCCAAAACCTAACAGGACAGGCATTAAATCTTCAGGTTCTAGAAAAATATTTCACTGCATATGTTGCCTTCAGGACACATTGGGATAGGGGTTGGGACCCCAGTGTCTTGGGATGTCCCACCCCCATGGCATTGCTGAGCTTAGCTCACATGGCTGCTTTCAAAGGTTGAAGTTGCACACGAGAACTTGCAGCTTTCCCAGGCAGGTATTGCACACTGTCAGTGGCTCTACAGGTATAGGGTTCACGGGAAAAAAAGATACATTAGGAATTCTAGTGGAGGCTATCTGTGGCAGTTCCACTCTTGTGGCAGGTTTCTGCCCGGACTCCCAGGAAGTTTGATACATCCTTTGAAATCTAGGTGAAGGACATCATGCCTGCACTGCTCCTGCATTGTTCATCCCTGCAGAATTAGCATCACATAGGCATAGATGTTACTAAGGCTTACTGCATGTACCCTCTGGAGAAGTGGCATGAGCTGCATCTGAGCCCATTCAAACCATGGCATGGGACTGCCAAGGTTAACAACTTCCTTTTTGGAGCACTGGGTTGAGCCCCAGCTAGGGCCATTTGGGCCACAGCTGGAGTTGCTGAGGAACACTCTGCTGAGATGCAGGAAGCAAAGTCTCAAGGTGGCCCTGGTCAGTGAGCCTGTGCAGGGCACCTTGGGCTTGTCACATGAGACTAGTCGGCCCTCCTAGGCTTCTGGGCCTGTGATAGAAGGTGCAGTTTTGGAGATCTCTGAAATGCATTAGGGGTTTTTCCCCCAGTGTCCTGCTGACTAGCATCTGGCTCCCTTCTGTTTATGCTCATCTGTTTAGTAACTGGTTGCTTGGCCATACCCTTCTTTTGTTCTCCTGAACACACTTTTTATTCTTTACATAGCCAGGCTGTGAATTTTCCAAAGTTTTATGCTCTGCTTTCCTTTTAATTATAAATTCTGTGTTTAAATCATCCCTTTGATCCCATAACTCACCGTAAGCAGCCAAAAGTAACCACACCTCATCTTGAGCAATTTCCTGCTTAGCTGTTTCTTCCACCAGAAATTCTCATTTATCACACTTAAATTCCACCTTTCATAAAGCCCTAGGGCATGAACACAACATGCCTAGTTTTTTTCTTGCTACTTTATAACATGGATGGCCTTTATTTTAGTTTCTAATAGAGTATTCCTTATTTCCACCTAAGACCTCATCAGAATGATGTTTACTATTAGAATTTTTTATCAACATTCTTGTCACGACCACTTAAGTAACCTGAGAAGTTTCAGAGTTTTCCTAGTTTTCTTGTCTTTTGACCCCTCACCAGAACCACCGTAAATGCTTCCTTCACTGCAATACAGGCTTTTTAACCTGGTCTTCCAGGCTCTACCAGGCACTACCCATTACCTAATTTCAAAGCTGCTTCTACATCGATATAACACCAACTCCCCCCGATACCAATTTTCTGTCTTAGTTCATTTTCTGTTGCTATAGCAAAATATCCAGTACCAGTAGTGTGAAAAGAAAACATGTTTATGTAGCTCACAATTCTGGAGGTTGGGAAGTCCAAAATCAGGTCGCTACAGATGGCTGGCTTCTGGTGAGGCCTTATACTGTGTTATAACAAGATGGAAAAGTGTAAAGGGAAGTTGGTGTGTGCCAATAGAGCAAGTTTGAAAAGTAGCCTTGCTTTATAAAAGCCTGCTCTCCCAATAACTAATCCAATTCCCTAAGAGAGCTCACTGCTACTAGAAAGATATCAATCCCTCCTAATGACCTAATCACTTCTTAAAGGCAACACCTCCCAACACTGTCACATTAAGGACCAAGCCTCAACATGAGTTTTGGTAGAGACAAACCATAGCAAACAGATTAGAATTTTCTTGCCTGTATTATTGAATAAATGAGAGAATGAATGAATGAATCAATATAGCTTAAGGACCATACTTCATTCCTTTTTCTGGGTTGCTCAGCAAGAATATCTATCTTGAAGCTGAAACTATTTCATGTTCATGCTACATAAATATATATCAAAAATTTACATGATGGTATATAATTTCACAACTTTTAATCAGTGTTGTGTTTTTGAAATTTATCTTTCTTGATATATGACTTATATGTATCATATATATCAATATGTGTATAGATATGTATTTCATCAAATAGAGAAAATATATTTTGTGCATTCCATTGCAGATTAATATGACATTATATCTAAATCATTCCATTATAAGGAATACTATTATGAACATTCTTATGTATCCTTGTGCACATGTGCAAATGCTTCAAGATGTGGAATTATAGGATACTAAAAGATATTTGTTCTCAGTTTTACTGTGTATTGCCAAAGAAGCCTAAATTGTTATAAAACTCACTTCCATAAGCAATGTGTGTAAGTTTCCTCATATTGTCAAATAATTGACACCACTTAGTATCATAAGACTTTTTAAATATTTGACAATCTGATAGGAGAAAATTTTTTTTTACATTCTATTATTTTGCCTCTTCTTATTAGTAAAATCAAGTGCCTCTGTCATTCTTACTGGCCACCTTTTTCTACGTATTATGAGTTCATATCATTTGCCAGACTTTTTATTGGATCTTGTAATTATTCCTTATCAATTTGTATGTGCATTACTAAATTCTGAACACCACCCTTTTTTATTATTGTATGTTCTTGATATATTATTTTAGAGCTCTCTATTTTTAACTTTGTTTAATTTGCCTTTATTTTATAGACTTCTTAAATTTAGAGTAATGAAATTAATAAGCTGTACATTATAATTTATGTTTCAATGCAATCTTAGAGAAAATTGGCATTATTCTTAGGTCATAAAGATATGATTCTATAAAGCTACAGATGTAATGGGTTTTCACTACTATTTTAATTTTTAGCAATCTGAAAAGTATAAGTAATATTTTTGTTACTTTAATTTGCATTTACCCAACTAATGTTCGAGTTGGTATCTATTTATAAAATTGTTAACCTTTTGGATTTGCTACAAAATGTTAATTTATATTTGTTCCTTTACTATAGATTGTATTTTTGGTTAATTTTAAGGGCACTTTGTACATTGTGTACATTAACCTTTTGTCTATTAACCATATTGCTAATATTTTATCCATAGTTTCATTTACTTTTAAGGACTTTGTGTATTGTGTCTTTTAGCATGTCAGATGTTAAAATTTTAATGTGGTCAATATGTCTACTTTTCCTCTTATGCCATCTGAATTTCCAATCTTGGGTACAAAGGTTTCTACTACTCCTATATTTTATATATTATTACCTGTATTTCTTAGAGTATTTAATTATTTTATATTTAATATTTAATTATTTGATCCATCTACACACTAACATTTGATGTAGTGAATGAGTCCACTTTTATTTTTTCCAGACAGAAATCAGTTGTGTTAGCATATCTTATTAAGCAATCCATCTTTTTTTTACTGAGTTAAACTATTACTTTGTCAAATATTTACTGTTACACTGAATCGCAAGGATAAAGTGCTTACAGAAAGAACCCTTATGCTAAACCAGTGGCTCTCAAACAGGGGTAATTTACTCTACCCTCCTTCCCATCCCCCATAAGGACATTTGAAAATATCTGTAGACATTTATGGCTGTCACAAACTAGGGGGTACTATTAGCATCTAGTGGATAGAGGCTATGGATTATGCTAAACATCCTACAACGCACAGGAAAATCCCCCAACTTCTAACGAAGAATTTTGCAGCCTTATAGGTAAATAGTTCTAAGATTGATAAACACTGTCCTAGACCCAGTGCTGCCTGGGTGTATGATACTGAGTTTTCTTTCTTGCAAAATTTCTCTATGACATGTGCCAAATTAAGATACATGACAAATATTCAGACTGTACCTGGTCATTATAATTGTTAATAGTGAAATACCTCATTAATAAGCTATAGCAGCAATTGGAGGGAATCAGGCTAGAAAATATTCCCAGAGAAGCTATGTGACAAGTATGAATAAGAGGTCAATCAGTAAACATAAAATTGGTACCTTCCCTGAATTGAAATGGTCCATGCAAGAAGCTTCAATTTCATTTCCTGCAATGAAGTGTACCCTTCTGAGTGAAAGGATCTACAAGTTGAGCTTGACAATCTGTGATACCTCCTGCTACAGCTGCTGATTCACTGAGATATCTATTGCCTGCTATATCCTAGATATGGCTAAGTAAATTGGGAACACAGTGTGCCTCTTCATTAATTCCAAATAAAAGAGCAGTTAATTGAGTCAGCAGTCACGTCAAATGCATAATTACTTCTAATTCTGGATTGTCTTTTCTGTTTGACCCACTTTCAAATTGACCTATTTTCTTATTCTGACACTAAAAACCTATTAACCTCGTTGCCTTTATTTTAGAATGTTCTGATCATGTGCTAAGAGTCCTGCCCACTATTCTCATTTTCATTGTTTTTCTAGATATTTTCTTGAATTTATTTTATTTCAACATGAATTTTATTCTACCTAATTGCAAAAGAAGAAAAACCAAAAAAATAAGAGAGTGTTAGAATTCTAGCTGGAATTTATATAATTTGGTTGTGGGGGAGGGTTGTTTGTTTTTTGTTGCTGAATGACATTTTTGACATTCAGTCTTCCCATCACAGAATGGAATTTATTTCCATTTGTTCAGGTCTATTTATCTTCAATTAAGATTTTAGAGTATTCGTCATATAATTCTTGGGCCTTCCTCATTGCATTTATTCCAAAGTATTCTACAGAATATTGAATGCTGTTCTAAAGTTAAAGTATCCAAGTGTTTATGGAGTTAAACCTAAATAATATGCATGCACTTGTGTGCGTGTGTGTGTGTGCATGTGTGTGTATGTATGTGTTTTAATGTACTACTGGGTTTAGTTTGTTAATATTTTATTTAGAAATATTCATCTTTATTAGTGATTTTGACCCATGATGTTTCTTTCTCCTTCAGTATTTGTCTTCTTAGTTTCTGCAAATTCTGTTGGAAAACTTATTAGTAATTTTATATCAAATTGTTATTCTTAAATTTACAAATTTGAGGAAAAGATACTTTCAGCATTTTTGGCTAAACATCTGAATTTTCATGACACAGGAATATTAACACATGTATACTGAACATGTTTTCAGGACAATATATTGTTAAGATTATAGACTTATGGCTGTAAATAAGTCCTTCTTCCTCATGTGAAGTTTGATTGACCTGCATACTAAGTAAATCTGCCACCTTAGCCTCACTAGTATCATGTTGGAATTAATCAAACTGTCCACTAATAAGCTCACCTCAATTACATGGATTATATCATCAGCAGAGACAAAGCAAGTTATCCCCCCACAAAATTTGCAATTCTATGTAACTCCAAAAAGTTGAATTTTAATAAATTAGAGAATTGTTATCTCCATTTCAGTTTACTCAGAATTATAGTTTTAATTATACCTGTCTTTAAGAGGTACATTTGTAAAACACTTATATTTCTTCTTCCGTAGAGTATAAATCATTATGCTCATCTTTAAACCATTTAATTTCTTAAGCACCAAACAAAATAAGTAGATAAAACCAGAGTGAGCACAACTGCAGCCAAGGTATTTCATATGCTAAAAAATTAGCCTGATATCTCCCCCACCTAAATCGTAGACTATAATATAAAAGTGCTGGACCAACTAAGAAAGCTAAATAGCATATCTTAAAACTATCATTTAGTTATTGGTTTCACATAGCTCTATGTGGATAAGAATAAAGAGTCTTCTGATTGAAAATGTCACAATTACGCAAAAATTGAAATGAAGAATTAAAAAGAGACCTTGAAGCAACTATGATTCATATGAACCTCCGATGTAAACTCATTCAATTTCAGTGGGATTCTAAGCCCAAAAATCACCTAGGGAGTTGGTAAAAGATTCAGTCTTTGGTAGGTCCTGGACATTATTTTTTAAAAGTCATCTTAAATAACTGCAATGTAGATGATAACAGAGCACATTTTGAAAACACTACATTAAATGGTACAGACACATTGGTTCACAAAATTGATAGCCACATATTAATATAACCTCTTTGCTATATAAATTACATTATGGTTTCCTATAATTTTAATCATGACATTCAAAGGATGTGGGAAAATCATAATGATGGACATGGTGGTTTCAGCAAACATTATGTTTATTTTTAATGTTTTGTATGAATTGTACAGTGACTTCCCTTCTTAAAAATTGACAGGATAACCATGATGTTCTCTTTAAACACCATACTTAATTAAGCATAATGTCTTAATCTTCAAATGCTTTGAAAGAACAGAAGGTAATTTTGTATATATAAAAAATGGTTAACTATTTTAACTGTGTTTGTGTGCAGTTGTGTAGTAACTATCCTTGCTCTATTGAAAAGTCCTCAAATTACATCTATTGGTACTATTAAGCAGTGTATTTGTATATGTGTGTTTACAATGTGTGGAGATAAAAACATGGGAATTCCCATCAGTCTAAGAAAGAGATAATTATGCTATACCACCCTGAAACTTTTTATCCTTGTTTGAAGACATGGGATCTATGCCAGCTAGGTAGGTAACTGTATTATCTCAATGGGCACCATAGCCATGGAAGATGGGAAGCTATTTATTCTTATATTTTGCATTGTCATTTCTTCACATCAGTGGTTCCACACAGAGGATGGATTGTTTGGAGGATTATATATTTTCTTGAGCAATCCTTGTTCAAAGATATTTTACAACTGTAGTCTACCATTCATAGGTTAATTATCTATAGAGTTAGAAATTATGTAGCACAGGAGAGGATCCCCCTTTGTTCGTTGAGTGCTATGCTAGCTGATGGCTTGCTGCACATAAGAAAAGAGAAGGCTTTCTTCAGCAATCTGCTCTCCAGTTTTAGATTTACAGCAAGACTCTGTCATCCACCGAAGGAAAAGGAAGGAGAAAAAAGTTTTCCAGACACCCTATCTGCTGGCCAGATAAAGATGAAAAAACAACTTTCCATTTAAAATCATGTGTGGCTAATAATCTATAAATCATCCTCATTTACGTTTCCATTAAAATATAAATAAAGACCCTAAAATAAAAATGAAACATAACGAATATAAGACTGACAGACACCCAGACAATTGTCAGATCTAAGGGTAAGTTCCATTACTGCAACATCCATGAAACTGAAATTAGAATATTAGTTATGTCACATTTCTTGTCACATAAAAGAGAAATACAGAGCTCCTAATAGATTTCTTTCTCTTTTTCAATATTTTGCCCCTGGCCAGAGTTCTAGGGTCTGTGCCAAAGAAAAAAATTGGGTAGTTGTCCTTCTGTTGCATGGATATTGCTTTTCATATGTTCAAAATATGCAGCCTATTCAAGAGTACAGTTTATTCTATTTTTTTTCTAATAGGACTTTGATTCCTGGAAAACAACATACTAGCAAGCAGATGGAACTGGTGAGAGCACATTGCCACACTGATAGTGACAAGTAAATGCATTTATTTCAATAGGCCACTCAATCCCAACTCTGACCTACCCTCAGCCACCAGAAAAAGATGCTCCAATAAAGACAGAGAGAAGGAACATGCAGCCATGAGAAGAAAGTGACGTAATATTCCCCAAAGCAGAAAATATGAAGCAAATATTGTTAAAATCAACTGAACAATAATACAAACACCAGTACATGAAAGTTACACCATTGCAACAAAGTTAAAAGATCAACAGCAAACTGGAGATAAACATATGCTATACTAGTGGCAGGAAAATGCGAGTGTTCTCATCATGTAGAGAATCATTACAATAGCACAAAAAAATAAAAAGGATGAAAACTCCAGAAGCAAAACAAAGAATCTATACTTCAAGTTCAAAAATCTGAAATAAATGTGGCTAAGAGAACAAAATAATGCAATTTTATCAGTTTTAACAAATATCTTCAAGCAAAATAAGATAGATACCAAAAACTAATAAATTAGTAAAAACAAGATAAGGGCATAAATTTATATAACTTACCTGGGTAACAATTTAGAAATCAACAGTTCTATAAAAATATTCATAGTCATTGACTCAGTAATTCTACTTCTTAAAATCTATACCAGTAAATCAAACAAATTTATTTATTGAAACACACTAATATTTAAGGATAAGAGAGTCATTCAGTAGATTATAATTAATATTATGAATTAGGCTGCAGCCATTTTTAAATAAAATAAAATGCATAGATTTTATAATACATATAGACATATATCTCATATAATATATACTAATACAGTCATTAAGTAGGCAAAAAAGAATATTGAGGAAAACAAAATGAGAACAAAATACACCATAATGCTAACAGTGGTCATCTCTATATCTCCATGACCTACCACAGAGGTTCTAGCCTGTGGTTGTATAATAGAGACTAGACATCTGCTTCCCAAGTAATTTTGATGCAGGCAGTGCACACTTTAGAGAACCCTGGCTGAAAGAATAAATTCTGTATTTTAATTAAAAAAAAAAAAAACTTGTGAAATAGACCATGCCCTTCATGACCTGGTCCTCCCCACTTCTAGTTTCATCTCACACCCTTGCCACATACTCTCAAGCCATTGATAATGTCATTCCTTCAATCAATGTTTCCTTCAGTGTAGACAAAAGTGAACACAAGATCAGACTCTCTGGGCGTGTGGCCTAAAACTGTACATGTTTTTAATATGCCTAGTGACTCTGATGCACCAAGATGGTCAAGGAGAAACTCAGCTTGACTAAACTTTAGACAGGTTTCTTCAAAGTAAGCTCCTGCCTGACCTCCCTTTTCTTAGAGCATTTACATCAGAAAGTTTGTCATTGTAAATACTTTTTCTGCCTATCTGAAATATAAGTAAACCTCCCAGCCACTGGCCAGTTTTACAACCCAGGAAATATCTTTCTCATAAACCCAGGAACCATCATTTTCAAATGTAAATATAAAAGGAGATAGTGCCCCTATCTCTCAATCTCTGTGGGAGGATAGGAGCCTAACTTTGGATAAGGAATCTTGTTCTAGATTCTAAAACTACCTCCAATCACGAGGGTAGAAGAAAGTTTAATTTTCCTTTGGGTAAGGCTAATAAGCAAGCACAGATGGCCTGAGCACAGAGAAAAACATCGGCAACCTCAGGAATAATTGCATGTGCTAGACACATCCCATTGATGAACCTGCCCATTAACATCTTCCAGTACTTTTCCACAAGTTTACTCCACTGCTTAAAAACTCTTCTGCCTTTTAGGATATGAACAGACACTTCTCAAAAGAGGACATTTATGTGGCCAACAAACATATGAAAAAAAGCTTATCATCACTGGTCATTAAAGAAATGCAAATCAACACCACAATGAAATATCATCTCACGCCAGTTAGAATGGCAATCATTAAAAAGTCAGGAAACAACAGATGCTGGAGAGGATGTGGCGAAATAGGAATGCTTTTACATTGTTGCTGGGAGTGTAAATTAGTTAAACCATTGTGGAAGACAGTATGGCGATTCCTCGAGGATCCAGAACCAGAAATGCCATTTGACCCAGCAATCCCATTACTGGGTATATAGCCAAAGGATTACATATCATGCTGCTATAAAGACACATGCACACGTATGTTTATTTTGGCACTATTCACAATAGCAAAGACTTGGAACCAACCCAAATGTCCATCAATGATAGACTGTATAAAGAAAATGTGGCACATATAAACCATGGAATACTATGCAGCCATAAAAAGGGATGAAGATGGAAACCATCATTCTCAGTAAACTAACACGAGAACAGAAAACCAAACAATGCATGTTCTCACTCATAAGTGGGAGTTGAACAATGAGAACACATGGACACAGGGAGGGGAACATCACACACCAGGGCCTGTTGGGGGGTAGGGGGCTAGGGGAGGGATAGCATTAGGACAAATACCTAATGTAGATGACGGTTTGATCGGTGCAGCAAACCACCATGGCACTTATATACCTATGTAACAAACCTGCACGTTCTGCACGTGTATCCCAGAACTTAAACTATAATAATAATAATAATAATAATAATAATAATAATAATAATAATAATAAAACAAAACCTTCTGCCTTTTGTTTCAGTGGAGTTAAGTTCACTTTTGCTCACCTGTTAGCCTGAATGAAGTCTTCCTTGACGGGTTAATTTTGGCCGGTGCAATTTTTGCTTTGACAATGTGAACACTGGAAGCTTCCACGACTACCACATGCTGTTCCCTCTGTCCAGGGTTGGGATGCGGGGAGTGGGGGATTCTTCTCCAGCCACATGGTTCAGCTTGACAACCTGGCTAATATCTAAAAACTTAGCTTAATTCTCAGTTCTGTAGAAAGTTTTCTCTAACCTTCCCCGCCTCTCTCCACCCTTCCCTCCTCAAATCTGTGCCAAATGATGGTGTCTTCAGTATATCGTATTATAATATACAGAGCACAGGTTTTGGAGTACCAAATATACACATCCATCCACTGCATGTTGGCTTTGTGAACTTAACAGAGCCTGGATTCTCTCAGGCTTCACATAGAAATGAAGGATAATTGCATTAAAATATATTTTTAAGTACCTAGAATGTAAACTCATGTTTTGTTTTATGTTGGGTTGACTGAATTTTTGTTTATTGAGTATATGTCTGGTTTATGTGGGAAGTGCTGCCTGCCCTGAGGAGTTTTCCTTCTTCTAAATACAGAATCTTCCACTTCCTCGGAGTTTGCTCCAGAATATAAATCAACATCAAGAAATTCCTGCTTTAAAATAAAAATTTGGCTGAACTAACAAGTATGCTAAGTGACGTAGGTAATATTTTTCTTGGTACAAGCTCTGTACAAGCTTGCAGAGTAGTAACAATGGTGGGTGAATTTCAACTGGTTCATGGACACTTTTTGAATAGCTCTGACCTTCCTGATCCAGCAACTGGTGGGTGTATGACTCAAGTTGGTCCAAAGTACTTCACAGATACTTCCATACAGTATTTCAGAGACACGACCACATAATAATATGGAAGATGGTTTAGAGACGGCTTCTTTCTTCTTTTGAGACATCTCAAAGTAAAAATAATGAGTCTGAAGCTGCAAAGAGGATATTAAAGTGAAGACAGGTCATTGACAATAATAAAACACCAGATAAAATAGATTCTTCAAATAATGGAAAGAAAAATATACCAAATAAAAAGATTTGAAATTAATATTATTAAAATTCATATCAGATACTCTCATTTTCCACATCTCTCACATCAAATAACAGACAACCTAAATCATATTTTAGAAATAGATTTCTTCTTTAAAAAACACTCCTACAAGACAGGATTTAGAAAATCACATTAAAGAAATAAACACATATAAGTAGAGTTATCCTGATTAACGTGACAGTGGTAGTTCCCAAGCCTTAATTACTATGTGCCCTTTCGGGTCACCCTCACTCACCCATACACTCCTACAATGGATGCCATCCTGGAATAATTTTAACATTACTGACAGGCTGATTTAAAAGTCTGTTCAAGCTTCAAAAATCTATAATTTGTTGCATTTGCTCTTAAGGGCTGTTAACCTCACTAATTTGCCAGAAAACTCTCACAGAAGCAAATAACTACAGTAGACAAACAGATTTATTAGGAACATAATTTCAGAATGCATTTTTGCTTTTATCTAATAATGAATAGGAAATATAAACTGTGGAAAATATGTGTGTTTCCAGAGGAATAAAATCTAGATAAAAATATGGAATGAAATATATCCAGGTATAAAGATAGAATAAAAAATACTTATCCCCAGATTCCATCTGCTTAGTACCAATGGAATGTCAATAAATTTATCCCATTCAATCCAGGCATGAAATTTAGCCTTAGTAGACCACATTTAGGCAGTTCACTATTCTTCCTTTGCCCATTCCCCTCATGAAAACAGATTTCAACACTTCAAATGACTTTCAGACCACTAATCCTACTGCCAGCTGCTGCAATACAACTTGAGTTTTGGCTATGAAAGGCACTATTGTCTGCTCAAATATTTATACTTTGGCACATCTTTTTAACAGGTGCTATCTAGAAAAAGAGGCTAAGTATCAAGAGGCATTACAGGTGCTAGAGAAAAGTTTCCCGAAATGAAACTAACTCATTTTATTGGGACAGACTTTCTTCATGGCACCTGTGACTTTTTAGGTATAGTTTAGTCAATCTATGCTGAAATCGTTAGTTGCTGTAGCAGTTGGTTTTGAGAGCTCCCAAATTTAGTTCCCATACAAATATGTAACTGCTTGAATGGAGAATAGAGGCTATTCCCAAGTTATTTATGTATAACAGCAATGGTTCTACCATTGTTAATTTGAAAGCTACCTAAAAAAATAAAAATAAAAAACATATTAAAAATGTGTAGGTTATTTGTCCTAGATATAATAGTTAAAAGAATTCATATCAGAGGCCAGGTGAGGTAGCTCACACCTGTAATCCCAGCACTTTGGGAGGCCAAGGCAGGCGGATCACGAGGTCAGGAGATCGAGACCACCCTGGCTAACACAGTGAAACCCCATCTCTACTAAAAAATACAAAAAATTAGCCAGGCATGGTGGTGGGGACCTGTAGTCCCAACTACTCGGGAGGCTGAGGCAGGAGAACGGCGTGAACCCAGGAGGCAGAGCTTGCAGTGAGCAGAGATCACACCACTGCACTCTAGCCTAGGCGACAGAGTGAGACTCCGTCACACACACAAAAAAAAGAATTCATATCAGAGTGCTGGCAATAATAAATTGGGTGAATTAAACATTTTTGTGCAATGAGAACAAAATTGAAAGCCCCTAGAATGGGTTGGGGCAGAAAACTACAGCTTAGATGTTTTTTACTGCCTCTTATGCGAATGTGCACTTTGTAGATATGTCTGAAGTTTTGAGTTTTCATAGTTCTAGGTCGCTTTTCATTTAATAATTCATTCTAGTATGAGTTAAAGGAAGTCTCACAAAAGACACCTATTTTTGTCAGAGGCCTGAGTTATTTCAAAGTGGACTCTAAATGAAATCACTGTATTCATATATAAGGAGCCGTCACATTTGGCCATAAAAAGCTATGTTATATAGGAAAAAAATGTACATCTCAAACTAATATTTTTAACAGATGTTTTCAGGCATAGTTGAATATATATATATATATATATATAGAGAGAGAGAGAGAGAGAGAGAGAGATCTATATGTAGTTCTATCTATCATCTATCTATGTATCTATCTATCTAGAGAGTCATATAGTTTTTTCTTAAAATTCATTAAGTTCTAATAAAGGTAAATATTTTATCGGGAAAAAAGCCACCAAATAATTCCCTTGTTTCAAAATTATCAATAAATTTTTATTTCTTGATTTTTGGGGTTCCAAGATGGCCAAATAGGAATAGCTCCAGTCTACAGCTCCCACCATGAGCGACTCAGAAGACAGGTGATTTCTGCATTTCCAACTGAGGTACCGGGTTTATCTCACTGAGGCTTGTTGGACAGTGGGTGCAGCCCAGGGAGCATGAGCCAAAGCAGGGTGGGGCATCACCTCACCTGGGAAGCACAAGGGGTGAGGGAATTCCCTTTCCTAGTCAAGGGAAGCTGTGACAGACGGTACCTGGAAAATCAGAACACACCCAGCTTAATACTGTGCTTTTCCAATGGTCTTGGCAAATGGCACACCAGGAGACTATATCCCACACCTGGCTTGGAGGGTCCTATGCCCACGGAGCCTCGCTCACTGCTAGCACAGCAGTGATCAAACTGCAAGGTGGCAGCGAGGCTGGGGGAGGGGCCATTGCTGAGGATTGTGTAGGTAAACAAAGCAGCCAGGAAGCTGGACCTGGGTGGAGCCCACCACAGCTCAGGGAGGCAGGCTTGCCTCCGTAGACTCCACCTCTGGGGGCAGGGCATAGCTGAACAAAAGGCAGCAGAAACTTCTGCAGACTTAAACATACCTGTCTGACAGCTTTGAATAGGGTAGTGGTTCTCCCAGCACTTAGTTTGAGATATGAGAACTGACAGACTGCCTCCTCAAGTGGGTCCCTGACCCTGAGTAGCCTAACTGGGAGACACCTCCCAGTGGGGGCTGACTGACAGCCGGGTGACCCTCTGAGATGAAGCTTCCAGAGGAATGATCAGGCAGCAACATTTGCTGTTCTGCAATATTTGCTCTTCTGCAGCCTCTGCTGGTGATACCCAGGCAAACAGGGTCTGGAGTGGACCTCCGGCAAACTCCAACGGACCTGCAGCTGAGGGTCCTGACTGCTGGAAGAAAACTAACAAACAGAAAGGACATCTACACTAAAACCCCATCATCAAAGACCAAAGGTAGATAAAACCACAAAGATGGGGAGAAACCAGAGCAGAAACGCTAGAAATTCTAAAAATCAGAGTGCCTCTTCTTTTCCAAAGGAACGCAGCTCCTCACCAGCAATGAAACAAAGCTAGGCAGAGAATGATGATTTTGACAAGCTGTCAGAAGTAGGCTTCAAAAGATCAGTAATAACAAACTTCTCTGAGCTAAAGGAGGATGTTCGAAACCATCACAAAGAAGCTAAAAACCTTGGAAAAAGATTAGATGAATGGCTAACTAGAATAAACAGCGTAGAGAAGACCTAAATGATGTCATGTAGCTGAAAAACATGGCATGAGAACTACGTGATGAACGCACAAGCTTCAGTAGCCGATTCGATCAACTGGAAGAAAGGGTATCAGTGATTAAAGATCAAATGAATGAAATGAATCCAGAAGAGAAGTTTAGAGAAAAAAGAGTAAAAAGAAATCAACAAAGCTTCCAAGAAATATGGGACTTCGTGAAAAGACCAAATCAATGTCTGAATGGTGTACCTGAAAGTGATGGGGAGAATGGAATCAAGTTGGAAAACACTCTGCAGGACATTATCCAGAAGAACTTCCCCAACTTAGCAAGGCAGGCCAACATTCAAATTCAGGAAATACAGAGAACACCACAAAGATATTCCTTGAGATGAGCAACTCCAAGATACATAATTGCCAGATTCACCAAAGTTGAAATGAAGGAAAAAATGTTAAGGGCAGTAAGAGAGAAAGGTCGGGTTACCCACAAAGGGAAGCCCATCAGACTAACAGCTGATCTCTCAGCAGAAACTCTACAAGTCAGAAGAGAGTGCGGTTAATATTCAACATTCTTAAAGAAAAGAATTTTCAATACAGAATTACATATCCAGCCAAACTAAGCTTCATAAGTGAAGGAGAAATAAAATCCTTTACATACAAGTAAATGCTGAGAGATTTTGTCAACACCAGCCCTGCCTTACAAGAGCTCCTGAAGGAAGCACTAAACATGGAAAGGAACAACCTGTATCAGCCACTGCAAAAACATGCCAAATTGTAAAGACCATCGATGCTAGGAAGAAACTGCATCAGCTAACAAGCAAAATAACCAGCTAACATCATAATGACAGGATCAAACTCACACAAAACAATATTAACCTTAAATGTAAATGGGCTAAATGCTCCAATTAAAAGATACAGACTGGCAAATTGGATAGAGTCAAGACCCATCAGTGCTGTATTCAGGAAACCCATCTCACGTGCAGAGACACACATAGGCTCAAAATAAAGGGATGGAGAAAGATCTACCAAGCAAATGGAAAACAGAAAAAAGTAGAGGTTGCAATCCTAGTCTCTGTTAAAACAGACTTTAAAACAACAAAGATCAAAAGAGACAAAGAAGGCCATTACATAATGGTAAAGGGATCAATTCAACAAGAGCTAACTATCCTAAAATATATGCACCCAATACAAGAGCACCCAGATTCATAAAGCAAGTCCTTAGAGACCTACAAAGAGACTTGGACTCCCACACAATAATAATGGGAGACTTCAACACCCCACTGTTAAGATTAGACAGATCAACGAGACAGAAAGATAACAAGGATATCCAGGACTTGAACTCAGCTCTGCACCAAGTGGACCTAACAGACATTTACAGAACTCTCCACCCCAAATCAACAGAATATACATTCTTCTCAGCACCACACCGCACTTAACTCCAAAATTGACCACATACTTGGAAGTAAAGCACTCCTCAGCAAATGTAAAAGAACAGAAATTATAACAAACTGTATCTCAGACCACAGTGCAATCAAATTAGGATTCAGGATTAAGAAACTCACTCAAAACCGCTCAACTACATGGAAACTGAACAACCTGCTCCTGAATGACTACTGGATACATAACGAAATGAAGGCAGAAATAAAGATATTCCTTGAAACCAATGAGAAAAAAAGACACAACATACCAGAATCTCTGGGACACATTTAAAGCAGTGTGTAGGGGGAAATTTATAGCACTAACTGCACACAAGAGAAAGCAGGAAAGATCTAAAATTGACACCCTAACATCACAATTAAAAAAAACTAGAGAAGCAAGAGCGAACACATTCGAAAGCTAGCAGAAGGCAAGAAATAACTAAGATCGGAGCAGAACTGAAGGAGACAGAGACATAAAAAACCCTTCAAAAAAATCAATGAATCCAGGAGCTGGTTTCTTGAAAAGATCAACAAAATTGATAGACCACTAGCAAGACTAATAAAGAAGAAAAGAGAGAAGAATCAAATAGATGCAATAAAAAATGATAAAGGGGATATCACCACCGATCCCACAGGTATACAAACTACCTTCAGAGAATACTATAAACACCTCTATGCAAATAAACTAGAAAATCTAGAGGAAAGGGATAAATTCCTAGACACATACACCCTCCCAAGACTAAACCAGGAAGAAGTTGAATCTCTGAATAGGCCAATAACAGGCTCTGAAATTAAGGCAATAATTAATCGCCTACTAACCAAAAAAAGTCCAGGGCTAGACAGATTCACAGCCGAACTCTACCAGAGGTACAAAGAGGAGCTGGTACCATTCCTTCTGAAACTATCCCAATCAATAGAAAAAGAGAGAATCCTCCCTAACTCATTTTATGAGGCCAGCATCATCCTGATACCAAAGCCTGGCAGAGACACAACCAAAAAAGAGAATTTTAGACCAATATCCTTGATGAACATTGATGCAAAAATCCTCAATAAAATGTTGGCAAGCCGAATCCAGCAGCACATCAAAAAGCTTATCCACCATGATCAAGTGTGCTTCATCCCTGGGATGCAACGCTAGTTCAACATATGCAAATCAATAAATGTAATGCATCACATAAACAGAACCAAAGACAAAAACCACATGATTATCTCAATAGATGCAGAAAAGGCCTTCGACAAAATTCAACGGCCTTTCATGCTAAAAACTCTCAATAAACTAGGTATTGTTGGGACGTATCTCAAAATAATAAGAGCTATTTATGACAAACCCACAGCCAATATCATACTGAATGGGCAAAAACTGGAAGCATTCCCTTTGAAAACTGGCACAAGACAGGGATGCCCTCTCTCACCACTCCTATTCAACATAGTGTTGGAAGTTCTGACCAGGACAATCAGGCAGGAGAAAGAAATAAAGGGTATTCAATTAGGAAAAGAGGAAGTCAAATTGTCCCTGTTTGCAGATGACATGATTGTATATTTAGAAAACCCCATCATTTCAGCCCAAAATCTCCTTAATCTAATAAGAAACTTCAGCAAAGTCTCAGGACACAAAATCAATGTGCAAAAATCACAAGCATTCTTATACACCAATAACAGACAAACAGAGAGCCAAATCATGAGAGAACTCCCATTCACAATTGCTTCAAAGAGAATAAAATACCTAGGAAACCAACTTACAAGGGATGTGAAGGACCTCTTCAAGGAAAACTACAAACCACTGCTCAACGAAATAAAAGAGGACACAAACAAATGGAAGAACATTCCATGCTCATGGGTAGGAAGAATCAATATCATGAAAATGGCCATACTGCCCAAGGTAATTTATAGATTCAATGCCATCCCCATCAAGCTACCAATAACGACTTTCTTCACAGAATTGGAAAAAACTATTTTAAAATTCATATGGAACCAAATAAGAGCTCACATTGCCAAGTCAATCCTAAGCCAAAAGAACAAAGCTGGAGGCATCATGCTATGTGACTTCAAACTATACTACAAGGCTACAGTAACCAAAACAGCATAGTACTTATACCAAAACAGAGATATAGACCAATGGAACAGAATAGGGGCCTCAGAAATAACATCACAAATCTACAACCATCTGATCTTCGACAAACCTGACAAAAACAAGCAATGGGGAAAGGATTTCCTATTTAATAAATGGTGCTGGGAAAACTGGCCAGCCATATGTAGAAAGCTAAAACTGGATCCCTTCCTTACACCTATACAAAAATTAATTCAAGATGTATTAAAGATGTAAATGTTAGACCTAAAACCATAAAAACCCTAGAAGAAAACCTAGGCAATACCATTCAGGACACAGGCATGGGCAAGGACTTCATGACTAAAACACAAATGGCCACAAAAGCCAAAATAGACAAATGGGATCTGATTAAACTAAAGAGCTTCTGCACAGCAAAAGAAACTACCATCAGTGTGAACAGGTAATCTAAAGAATGGGAGAAAATTTTTACAATCTACCCATCTGACAAAAGGCTAATATCCAGCATCTACAAAGAACTTAAACAAATTTACAAGAAAAACTCAAACAACCCCATCAAAAAGTGGGCAAAGTACATGAACAGGCACTTCTCAAAAGAAGACATTTATGCAGCCAACAGACATATGAAAAATTTCTCATCATCACTAGCCATCAGAGAAATGCAAATCAATACCACAATGAGATACCATCTCACACCAGTTAGAATGGTGATCATTAAAAAGTCAGGAAACAACAGGTGCTGGAGAGGATGTGGAGAAATGGGAACACTTTTCCACTGTTGGTGGGGCTGTAAACTAGTTCAACCATTGTGGAAGACAGTGTGGCAATTCCTCAAGGATGTAGAACTAGAAATACCATTTGGCCCAGCCTTCTCTTTACTGGGTATATACCCAAAGGATTATCAATCATGCTGCTATAAAGACACATGCACACATATGTTTATTACAGCACTACTCACAATAGCAAAGACTTGGAACCAACGCAAATGTCCATCAGTGATAGACTGGATTAAGAAAATGTGCCACATATATATCATGAAATACTATACAGCCATAAAAAAGTATGAGTTCATGTCCTTTGTAGGGACATGGATGAAGCTAGAAACCACCATTCTCAGCAAACTATCGCAAGGACAAAAAAATCAAACACTGCATGTTCTCACTCTTAGGTGGGAATTGAACAATGAGAACACTTGGACACATGGTGGGGAACATCACACACCGGGGCCTGTTGTGGGGTCGGGGGAGGGGGCAGGGATAGCATTAGGAGATATACCTAATGTAAATGACGAGTTAATGAGTGTAGCACACCAACATGGCACATGTATACATATGTAACAAACCTGCACGTTGTGCACATGTACCCTAGAACTTAAAGTATAATAAAAATAAAAAAATTATTTCTTGTACTATAAAATTAAATTGCTGCTAATGATAAACACAGTTTTTTTATGATCATTCTTTACCTATCCCTCATCCTCTTTTCTACCACTCCTTCCTTTTTATCTTATACTCAAGTATTTCCTCCTCAATGAGTTTAATATTGCTTTCTATGCCTAAAACCTCCTAAATACCTGTCATTCACCTTAATGATTCCAGCTCATTCTTTATGTATCATCTGTATGTACTTTTTTTTCAGGGAAGTCAATCTGAGCATACCTTCACCCTACTCTATCCTCATCTCACTACAGCCTGTGTCTGTGCATTCTGCCCAACATCCCTATCCACTCTTGTGTTTCCCTTCCTGCTGTGTGTTGTTAAGTCTATCTCACTCACATACCATGGTAATTGTAACGAATCCTTTACTCTCTGTTTTCTCATAAGAATCCCTGAGCTCCTCAGATACAGAACCGATGTCTTGTTCATCTTTGTATTCCTAGTACTTCTCTTTGTGACTGCACAAGGAGTAACTCATTAATTATTATTAAATAAATATATAAATAGACATTTATTCACTGCACCTCCTCCATAGCAATGTTTTCTGTGTAGGGAACAACACATCTTTCTATTATCCATGTTCTGCTAGATAAACTGATCTTGAAAGAAAAACTTTGGAAGCTTCTTCTGACTCTATAAGGTTATCAGTGAATGTATGGATGGCTTCTGAAGTTAGGTCTTAGGTTTAAAAATAAATGAATTACTCTGCATAAAATACATTTTTGTGCCTATACCTATGCCTGTGTATAAAAGTGTCTCATAATTTCTGCTGTTGGTTTAAACAAATGCTTAAATATGGAAATGTCTGCTTTTAATTGTAAATTGCTGGCATTGCTGTGAAGTAGACCCTTTTCTTAAGCTAAGACCATTACAAAATACAAATGTCTCCTGAAAGCTTTTGTTTTATGTCGCTTCTGGATACACAAGAAAAGAGGGCTGAGGTTCAAGTTACAGCAGAGAAAAGAGACAGGAACAGCCTCAGGTGATGAGACACAAGAGATTTTCAGCAGCATCAGAAACTTAGAAGCCAAATGTGCCATGAAATTATAAGCTTCTGGGAATTCACTCTAATCTGGGGAAGGTCACTGGATAGGGATGTGGTTTAGGATGCTGTAATTTGTTTGCATGTGTTTGTATATCTGTGTCAGTGACTGTACTGATGCAGAAGAATAGTGACTTCAGCAGATTTCTAAGATACATATGACTTAACTTGATGCAACTATATTTGAACACTAAATTAACATCAAGAACTATATATGGTTTTGCATATATTCTCAAAAATTTCAAAATATTAGTAGTATTAGTACCAAAACTTACATTACTATAACATAACAAATACCTCAAAAGCATGTTAGATACAATAAAGAGGAAATTTCAGCTTTAAGAAATAATGAGAAGAAATATGGGAATAATAAATAATGATATAATTTTATTTTTAAGAAAAAAAATTTACCTACATAAAATTTAAAAGAGTAAAAAAGAATATTAACTTGTAATTTTACTGTGCCATTATTTTCACAATAATTTGTACCATCATATTTCTTTATTTCAATATAATTTCACAACCATTAACATATGTTAGCGGAGTATTAATATATGTTATACTATATTTTATTTATAAATAATTTAATATAAACAGCTATGCCTTTTTGTGGAAGACTTCTTTAAAACATTTTACTTTATTAAGTTAAACTATGAAATAAACATGATCCATTTTTTCATACCATTGTTTAACAGATTTGTAAACCTCTGTACAAAAAGAATGAGTATTTTGCAATCAATTTAATAAAGGATGGAATCCAAAGGAAAGACAACCACAGTATTTTTCACATAGGAAAAGACCCTCTTCATACGAAATGATAGGGCAGATTCCCACTACAATATGGACTATGTTGTACATCGCTTTTGTTGTAATTATATTTGTTTAGTGCATTTGATTTTACCAGTTCCTCATGTGTCAAGATGAATCTTGTTATATATAAAGGTGGTCTTGGGAGAATGTGTAAGTTCTAGGGTTTTTATGTCATTTAGCGTCAGTACTAAGCTTAAGAATTTTCATATTACATTTTATGGGACCTAGATTTTCTCCAAATATCTTGAACGCTCTCATTGTAATTAGATCACATTTTGCCAAGTAAATTGAGTCATTTACAACCATAAGCAAGTAAGAAAACTGAATATATATATATAGCTATCATATGTATATATATAACTGCTATCATTTCTGCCAAACACCTGTGAGCAGTTCACCAAGCTGTGTATTTTAATTCCAATATTTGAATAAAGGTAAAAACTTATAGCCAATGGAACTTTCTTTTCCATTCTTTTTAATCAACTTAAGCTATTTGAAGCACAAAGTGTTCACCTCCAAATAACTTATGCACCAGTCTTTTTTGTAGTAGCCTATCCCATTTCTTTACTTTAATCAATGGCACTGCAGTGAAGTTAATAGTTCACTGACATCCTAATCACTGTGAGGTCATGCAGCTATTGTTAATATACAAATTATGTTATTAGCTTTAAAAATCTTTGTATCATTCTCAGAAAGAAAAACATTTCAATTTTTATTCAGAGAAAGTAGACTTACAATAATATCTGTCCCTGACATAGTGAAAATTTCCAGTAAAATACAGATATACTACACTATTTCAATCAAACATTCCATTAATAAGGAATTTAATTATTTTCCTTCCCACCCCTCTTATCTTCTGTTCCACTTGCTCAGACTATGTGACAAATTACCTTAAATCTAGTGACATAAAACAGCCTTCATAGACAGATTATTTGGGTTGACTGTACACTATCTGATTAATGTAGTCAAGATTCTTGCAGCCAGAGTGGGTAAAAAATGTTACCTAGCAGAAAATTACATTCACCTAACAGCATGTGCTACTCCACCACTGTGGGCTGGATACGGTGCTAAGAGCTGCAGGAGGCTCTCGATAGGAATTGACATGGATGCTGGTTTGGGAGCTGTTTGGTAATGGAGAGATGAGATGATCCACAGTGCTACCTATTACAAGAAGAATCTAGAGGTGGGCTGGGGAGAGCCACTGCAGTTCATTGATGATAAGAGACAGCATAAACCTGGCAAGACTTGATAAGGAGAGCTTGAATAACCCTGATTTATCAAATGCTGTCTCACATGGAAGGGTTTTAAGCTTCAAAGATGAAAATCCTTGCCAGTTTCTTCTTACAATTACAATCATGTGGGTACTTGCAAGTTTTCCAGTACCATAATAGCAAAGGTCTCCCTTTGCTATTATATGCATATGCTACTATTTTCATCATTTGTGTATTTTCATCTTTAGTGTAATTTGCTTTAAAGTTTTATTTGCTAGAAATTTTATTTTTAAAATTACAGAGTTAAATGTTAAAAGACTTCTGGAAAATAATGGTTTTGTAAACCTTTGTGGCTGTTTGGATATTTTCATCATGTTGAAATGCTCTGGAATCTGAGGAAATATGCCAGGTTGTGCTGTCCCTGTTTTTGTTCTTTTTACCTCATTCTGATAAGCAAACTGCTATCATTTCTGCCAAACACCTGTGAGCAGTTCACCAAGCTGTATATTTTAATTCTATTATTTGTATAAAGGTAAAAACTTATACCCAATGGAACTTTCTTTTCTATTCTTTTTAATCAATTTAAGCCATAATATATTTTTTATGGCAAAAATAGGTAAAACTATGCATCACTACGGTTTTCTCTATTTGCATATAACCTGCTAGAAATTTGAAACAATAGCTCAGACAATTAGGTATAAGGAAATCTTGTCAAATGTAAAAGAAAGGTTTTGTAAACTGTTTTGTTTTAGGTTTCAACTGCAATTATACAAAATGAGTCTCTAGTTTGTATCTAATGTAAATACAAGGCCCTAGATTGTAATTATTTTCTGTAATTCAACTAAAACTTAATATCATGTTTTAATTAGAATTTGTTTTGTTTTGAAAAAAAAAACTTCTTAGTTGAGAAAACACTAGTAAAGGGGAGAATTATTGTACAAATTTAAGTAAGGTAATGATGAGATAGGACTCTCATGGAAATGCAGGGGGTCAGGCGTCATAGATAATTGAGTTGGATGTAATTTTAGTTTCAAGGTGTCTTAGTCAGCTTGGGCTTCCATAACAGAAATACCATAGACTGACTGGCTGAAACAAAAGAAATTTATTTCTTATAGTTCTAGAGGTTGAGAAGTTCAAAATTAAAGCGCCAGCTGATTTAGTTCCTAGTGAGGGATGTATTCCTGGCTGGTGAAAAACACCTTCTCACAATGACCTTGCATGGTGGAGAGAGAAAAGATTCCATCTTATCGTCTTATGAGGACATTAACAGCATCATAGGGATCCCATTCTCAAGACTTCATGTAAATCTAAGGACCCACCTTTACCTCCAGATACCCTCACTTTTGGTTTTGGGTTTCAACACGGGGGGATACAAATATTCACTCATCTGAATCAAATACAGTCATCTGGTACAAATATTCAGTCAGACATCTCTAGGGACAATAGGAACAGGAGTTTAAGATACTGATTACAGTACTTGGCCATTACCATGACTCAAGAACGTTTTACATCTGTTTCCTTTTTTCTCAGTACCATATGCTCATTACAGATATTAATCAATGTCTTAGATTTCCTTTAGTTTTTCAGAAACTCTACTCAAAAATGTATCAGGTGATCCTCTGTTAATATTACTCAGAGCAGATATTAAGCCAGGTTTATTCTCTCATCACAACTGTATCTTGACTCTGAAAGTGTTTAGATCTCTACTAGAAAAATATTATTCATGTCTTAGAAAAAAATTTATTCATATAGTTTGGATATTTGTCCCCACCAAAATCTCATCTTAAAATGTAGTGCTCAGTGTTGGAGGTGAGGCCTGGTGGGAGGTGACTGAATCATGGCGGTGGATTTCTCATAAATGGCTTGGCACCATTCCCTTGGTCATGTCCTCAAGACAGTGAGTGAGTTCTCATGAGAACCGGTCATTTAAAAGTGTGTGGCACCTCCAATCAGCCCCTCCTTCTGCTTTTGCCATGTGACATGTGTGGTCCCTGAGGCTTCCCTGAGAAGATGCCGGTGGCATGCTTTTGGTACAGCCTGCAGAACCATGAGCCAATTAAAGCTCTTTTCTTTATAAATTACCCAGTCTCAGGTATTTTTTTATGGCAGTGAAAGAACAGCCTTACACAAGTATAAATGTGAAACTTAAAAATAACACACAGATGTCCACAGATGAAGGTGGAAATATGACATGGAGGAAAACATGTTCACCTTTAACTTCATGGATAAAGGTAAAATTGAAATTGTCTAATTTGATTATAAATCTATAACTCATGGACCTACATGCTAAAGGTAAAATGTTATACGTTAGAAAGTACTTGAAAAAAATACTTAATCAAAATCAAAAATAGATGAGAGGAGGTGGACTAAGATGGCCAAACAGAAGCCTCCAGCAATTGTCACCCCCATAAGAACACCAAAATGAACAACTATCCACACAAGAAACCACCTTCATAAGAACCAAAAATTGGATGAATGATCATGGCACATGATTTTAACATCATAACAAGAAAAGAGGCACTGAAGAGGATAGGAAAGAAAATCTTGAATTGTTAACACCATCCCTCCCTTATCTCCCAGCAGCATCCATGTTGTACAGGAGGGAATCAGTGCACTTGGGGAAGGCAGAGCACAGCGACTGTAGGACTTTGCAATGAAACTCAGTGCTGCCTGCCGTAGCAGAAAGCAACACTTGGCAGAATTCAGCTGGCACCCATGGAGGGAACATTTAGACCAGCTCTAGCCAGAAGGGAATCATCCAACCCAACAGTCAGAACTTGAGCTCTGGCTAGCTCTACCACTGCAGGCTAAAGTGCCCTTGGGTTCTAAATAAACTTGAATGGCCATCTAGGACATAAGGACTAAAAGTCCTGGGTATGTCTGGGTACTGTTCTGGGCTTAGAGCCAGTGGACATGGAATGCATGTGACCTGGTAAGACACCAGGGAGTGATTGGGTCACCGCTCCCCCAACCCCGGGCAGTGCAACTGCAAGTGCCAGGAGAGATTCCTTTCTTCTTAAAGAGAGAAGAGGAGACAGTAATGAGAACTTTGTCTTGCAACTTGGATACCAGTTTAGCCACAGTAGAATAAGGCACCAGGCAGAGAACAGAGGCCCTCATTCCAGGCCCTAGCTCCCAGATAACATTTCTAGACATAAAGTGGACCAGAAGGGAGCACACTGCCTTGAAGGGAAGGACTCAGCTTTGGAAGGATCCATCACCAGGTGACTAAAGAGCCCTTGGTCCTTGAATAAACATCAGTGGTAGCCAGGTAGTACTCACTACGAGCCTGGAGTAATACTCAGGGCCATACTGGCTTCAGGTCAGAACCATCTAATATCGAGATTAGGAAGAAACAGCATCAACTAACGAGCAAAATAACCAGCTAACATCACAATGACAGGATCAAATTCACACAAAACAATATTAACTTTAAATGAAAATGGACTAAATGCTCCAATTAAAAGACACAGACTGGCAAATTGGATAAAGAGTCAAGACCCATCAGTGTGCTGTATTCAGGAAACACATCTCACGTGCAGAGACACACATAGGCTCAAAATAAAAGGATGGAGGAAGATCTACCAAGGAAATGGAAAACAAAAAAAGGCAGGGGTTGCAATCCTAGTCTTTGATAAAACAGACTTTAAACCAACAAAGATTGAAAGAGACAAAGAAGGCCATTACATAATGGTAAAGGGATCAATTCAACAAGAAGAGCTAACTATCCTAAATATATATGCACCCAATACAGGAGCACCCAGATGCATAAAGCAAGTCCTGAGTGACCTGCAAAGAGACTTAAACTCCCACACAATAATAATGGGAGATTTTAACACCCCACTGTCAACATTAGACAGATCAATGAGACAGAAAGTTAACAAGGATACCCAGGAATTGAACTCAGCTCTGCACCAAGCAGACCTAATAGACATCTACAGAACTCTCCACCCCAAATCAACAGATTATACTTTTTTTCAGCACCACACCATACCTATTCCAAAATTGACCACATAGTTGGAAGTAAAGCTCTCCTCAGCAAATGTAAAAGAACAGAAATTATAACAAACTGTCTCTCAGACCACAGTGCAATCAAACTAGAACTCAGGATTAAGAAACTCACTCAAAACCGCCCAACTACATGGAAACTGAACAACCTGCTCCTGAATGACTACTGGGTACATAACGAAATGAAGGCAGAAATAAAAAGATGTTCTTTGAAACCAATGAGAACAAAGACACAACATACCAGAATCTCTGGGAAACATTCAAAGCAATGTGTAGAGGGAAATTTATAGCACTAAATGCCCACAAGAGAAAGCAGGAAAGATCCAAAATTGACACCCTAACATCACAATTGAAAGAACTAGAAAAGCAAGAGCAAACACATTCAAAAGCTAGTAGAAGGCAAGAAATAACTAAAATCAGAGCAGAACTGAAGGAAATAGAGACCAAAAAAACCCATCAAAAAATTAATGAATCCAGGAGCTGGTTTTTTGAAAGGATCTACAAAATTGATAGACCGCTAGCAAGACTAATACAGGAAAGAAGAGAGAAGAATCAAATAGATGCAATAAAAAATGATAAAGGGGATATCACCACCATTCCCACAGAAATACAAACTACCATCAGAGAGTACTAGAAACACCTCTACGCAAATAAACTAGAAAATCTAGAAGAAATGGATAAATTCCACGACACATAAACTCTCCCAAGACTAAACCAGGAAGAAGTTGAATCTCTGAATAGACCAAAAACAGGCTCTGAAATTATGGCAATAATCAATAGCTTACCAACCAAAAAGAGTCCAGGACCAGACGGATTCACAGCCGAATTCTACCAGAGGTACAAGGAGGAACTGGTACCATTCCTTCTGAAACTATTCCAATCCATAGAAAAAGAGGTAATCCTCCCTAACTCATTTTATAAGGCCAGCATCATCCTGATACCAAAGATGGGCAGAGATACAACCAAAAAAGAGAATTTTAGACCAATATCCTTGATGAACATTGATGCAAAAATCATCAATAAAATACTGGCAAACCGAATCCAGCAGCACATCAAAAAGCTTATCCACCATGATCAAGTGGGCTTCATCCCTGGGATGCAAGGCTGGTTCAATATATGCAAATCAATAAATGTAATCCAGCATATAAACGGAACCAAAGACAAAAACCACATGATTATCTCAATAGATGCAGAAAAGGCCTTTGACAAAATTCAACAATGCTTATTGCTAAAAACTCTCAATAAATTAGGTATTGATGAGATGTATCTCAAAATAATAAGAGCCATCTATGACAAACCCATAGCCAATATCATACTGAATGGGCAAAAACTGGAAGCATTCCCTTTGAAAACCGGCACAAGACAGGGATGCCCTCTCTCACCACTCCTATTCAACATAGTATTGGAAGTTCTGGCCAGGGCAATTAGGCAGGAGAAGGAAATAAAGGGTATTCAATTAGGAAAGGAGTAAGTCAAATTGTCCCTGTTGGCAGACGACATGATTGTATATACAGAAAACCCCATTGTCTCAGCCCAAAATCTCCTTAGGCTGATAAGCAACTTCAGCAAAGTCTCAGGATACAAAATCAATGTACAAAAATCACAAGCATTCTTATACACCAACAACAGACAAACAGAGAGCCAAATCATGAGGGAACTCCCATTCACAATTGCTTCAAAGAGAATAAAATACCTAGGAATCCAACTTACAAGGGATTTGAAGGACCTCTTCAAGGAGAACTACAAACCACTGCTCAAGGAAATAAAAGAGGATACAAACAAATGGAAGAACATTCCATTTCAATATCGTGAAAATGGCCATACTGCCCAAGGTAATTTATAGATTCAATGCCATCCCCATCAAGCTACCAATGACTTTCTTCACAGATTTGGAAAAAACGACTTTAAAGTTTATATGGAACCAAAAAAGAGCCCGCATCGCCAAGTCAATCCTAAGCCAAAATAACAAAGCTGGAGGCATCATGCTACCTGACTTCAAACTATACTACAAGGCTACAGTAACCAAAACAGCATGGTACTGGTACCAAAACAGGGATATAGATCAATGGAACAGAACAGAGCCCTCAGAAATAATGCCACATATCTACAACTATCTGATCTTTGACAAACCTGAGAAAAACAAGCAATGGGGAAAGGATTCCCTATTTAATAAATGGTGCTGGGAAAACTGGCTAGCCATATGTAGAAAGCTGAAACTGGATCCCTTCCTTACACCTTATACAAAAATTAATTCAAGATGGATTAAGGACTTAAATGTTAGACCTAAAACCATAAAAACCCTAGAAGAAAACCTAGGCATTACCATTCAGGACATAGGCATGGGCAAGGACTTCATATCTAAAACACCAAAAGCAATGGCAACAAAAGCCAAAATTGACAAATGGGATCTAATTAAACTAAAGAGCTTCTGCACAGCAAAAGAAACTACCATCAGAGTGAACAGGCAACCTACAAAATGGGAGAACATTTTCACAACCTACTCATTGGACAAAGGGCTAATATCCAGAATCTACAATGAACTCCAACAAATTTACAAGAAAAAAACAAACAACCCCATCAAAAAGTGGGCAAAGGATATGAACAGACACTTCTCAAAAGAAGACATTTATGCAGCCAAAAAACACATGAAAAAATGCTCATCATCACTGGCCATCAGAGAAATGCAAATCAAAACCACAATGAGATACTATCTCACACCAGTTAGAATGGCAATCATTAAAAAGTCAGGAAACAACAGGTGCTGGAGAGGATGTGGAGAAATAGGAACACTTTTCCACTGTTGGTGGGACTGTAAACTAGTTCAACCATTGTGGAAGTCAGTGTGGCAACTCCTCAGGGATCTAGAACTAGAAATACCATTTGACCCAGGTATCCAATTACTGGGTATATAACCAAAGGACTATAAATCATGCTGCTATAAAGACACATGCACAAGTATGTTTACTGCGGCACTATTCACTATAGCAAAGACCTGGAACCAACCCAAATGTCCATCAATGATAGACTGGATTAAGAAAATGTGGCACATATATACCATGGAATACTATGCAGCCATAAAAAAGATGAGTTCATGTTCTTTGTAGGGACATGGATGAAATTGGAAATCATCATTCTCAGTAAACTATCGCAAGGACAAAAAACCAAACACCGCATATTCTCACTCATAGATGGGAATTGAACAATGAGAACACATGGACACAGGAAGGGGAACATCACACTCTGGGGACTGTTGTGGCGTGGGGGGATGGGGGAGGGATAGCATTAGGAGATATATGTAATGCTAAATGATGAGTTAATGGGTGCAGCACACCAGCATGGCACATGTATACATATGTAACTAACTGGCACATTGTGCACATGTACCCTAAAACTTAAAGTATAATAATAATAATTTAAAAAAAAGAAAAATAAATAAATAAATAAAAAGACCATCTAGGAAAACATGACCTCACCAAACTAAATAAGGCACCACTAACTCATCCTAGATGTATGTGACCTTTCAGACAGAGAATTATAAAAGTTGTTTTAAGGAAGCTCAAAAACATTCAAGATAACACAGAGAAGGAATTCAGAATTTTACCTGATGAATTTAACATTGAAATTAAAATGATATTTAAAAATCAAGCAGAAATTCTAGAGCTGAAAAATTCAACTGCTATACTGAAGAATGCATCAGAGTCTCTGCAGCAGAGCTGATCAAGCAGAAGAAAAATCAGTGTAATTGAAGACAAGCTATTTGAAAATGCACAGTTGGGGAGACAAAGAATAAAAAAGAAAGAAGCATACCTACAAGATCTAGAAAATAGCCTCAAAAGGGTAAATCTAAGAGTTATTGGCCTTAAAGAGGAGGTAGACAGAAATATCAGGGTGGAAAGCTTATTGAAAGGGATAATCACAAAGAACATTACAAATCTAGAGAAAAATATTCATATTCAAATAAAAGAAGGTTGCAGAACACCTAAGGAAGATTAAACTCAGATAAGACTACCTCTTCTCAGCAAACTATCGCAAGGACAAAAAACCAAACACCGCATGTTCTCACTCATAGGTGGGAATTGAACAATGAGAACACATGGACACAGGAAGGGGAACATAACACACCGGGTCCTGTTGTGGGCTGGGGGGAGCGGGGAGGGATAGCATTAGGAGATATACCTAATGTTAAATGCCGAGTTAATGGGTGCAGCACACCAACATGGCACATGTATACATATGTAAGAAACCTGCACGTTGTGCACATGTACCCTAAAACTTAAAGTATAATTAAAAAAACAGAAAATTACAAGGAAATAAAAAAGACTACCTCAAGACATTTAATAATCAAACTCCCAGAGGTCAAGGATAAGGAAAGGATCTTAAAAGCATCAAGAGTAAAGAAACAAACAATATAAAAAGCAGCTCTAATATCTCTGGCAGCAGACTTCTCAGTGGAAACCTTACAAGCCAGGACAGAGTGGCATGACATATTTAATGTGCTGAAGGAAAAATACACATATTCTAGAATAGTATATCCAGTAAAAATACACTTCAAACAAGAAGGAGAAATAAAGACTTACCCAGACAAACAAAAGCTGAGGGTTTTTATCAACACCAGAATTGTCCTACAAGAAATGCTAAAGGGAGTTCTTCAATCTGAAAGAAAAGGTCATTAACAAGCAATAAAAAATCATCTGAAGGTACAAAACTTACTGGTAATTGTAAATACACAGAGAAACACAGAATATTATAACACTGTAATTGTGGTATGTAAATTACTAATATCTTGAGTAGAAAGACAAAAATATGAACCTACAAAAAATTTCAGAAACCATTTAAGACATACACAGTATAATAAGATATAAGTAGAAATAATAAAGTTAAAAAGCAATGGGGAGGGGGATGAAGTTAAAGTGTAGAGTTTTTATTACTTTTTTTGCTTCTTTGTTAATCTGTTTGTTCTTGCAATCAATGTTAACTTATCAGTTGAAAATAATGGATTAAATGATGTTATTTGCAAGACTCATGGTAAACTGAAGTAAAAAACCTACAATGGATACACAAAAATAAAAAGAATAAATTAAAACATACGAGCAGAGAAAATTACCTTTACTAAATGGGAGACAGGAAAGAAGAAAGGATGAAAAAAGCAAGGAAGAAAAGAAGAAAGGGAGGGACGGAGGGAGGGAGGGAGGGAGGGAGGGAGGGAGGAAGGAAGGAAGGAAGGAAGGAAGGAAGGAAGGAAGGAAGGAAGGAAAATATCACAAAACAACCAAAAAACAAATAATGAAATGGTAGGAGTAAATTCTGACTTAATAATAATAACATTGAATGTAACTGGACTAAATTCTCTAATCAAAAGACATGGAGTAGTTGAATGAGAAAAAGAAGACCCAATGATTTCTTGCCTACAGGAAACATACTTCACCTATAAAGACACACACTGACAGAAAATAAAGATACGAAAAACAGTATTTCATGCAAAAGAGTGGGAGTAGCTATACTTAGACAAAATAGATTTCAAGACAACAACTATAAAAAGAGACAAAGAAGGTCATTATATAATGATAAAGGGGTCAATTCAGCAAGAGTATACAATAACCAAATATATATAAACTCAACACTGGAGCACCCAGATATATAAAGCAAATATTACTAGCTAAAGAGAGAGAGAGGCCTCAATATAATAATAGCTGGAGACTTCAACACTCCCCTTTCAGCATTGGACAGATCATCCAGACAGGAAATTAACAAAGAAACATTGGGCTTAATCTGCACTATAGGCCAAATGGATCTAGCAAATATTTACAGAACATTCCATCCAATGGCTGTAGAATACACATTATTCTCCTGAGCACATGAATTATTCTCAAGGGTAGACCATATGTTAGGTAACAAAACAAGTCTTAAAACATTTAAAAATATTTAATCATGTAAAGTATCTTCTCTGGACACATGAGATAAAACTAGAAGTCAATAACAGGAGGAAATTTGGAAGCTGTACAAACATGGAAATTAAACAATATGCTCCTGAATGACCAATGTGTCAATGGAGATTAAGAAGAAAATTTAAAAATTTCTTGAAACAAATGAAAAGGAAAACCTAACATACCAAAGCTTATGGGATACAGCAAAAGCAGTACTAAGAGAAAATTGTATAGCAATAAATGCCTACATCAAAAAGTAGAAAAATTTCAAATAAACAACCTAAACTAGAAAAAAAGCAAGAGCAAACTAAACCCAAAATTGGCAGAATAAAATAAATAATAAAGATCAAAGCATAAATAAATAAAATTTAAATTAAAAATACACATGATCGACAAAACTAGTTGTTTTTTGAAAAGTAAACAAAATTGACAAACCTTCAGCTATACTAACAAAGAAAAAAGAAGAAAACCCACATAAATAAAATCAGAGATAAAAGAGGAGACATTACAACTCACACCACAGAAATTCAAAGGATTAGTAGAGACTATTATGAGCAACGATATGTCAAAAAATTGGAAAACCTAGAAGAAATGGATACGTTCCCAGACATATACAACATAAGAAGATTGAACTATGAAGAAATCCACACCTGAATTGATCAATAACAAATAATGAGACCAAAGCTGTAATAAAAAGTCTCCCACCAATGAAAATCCTAGGACCCAATGGCTACACTGCTGAATTCTACCAAACATTTAAAGAAGAACTAATATCAATCCTGCTCAAACTATTCCAAAAAATAGAGGAGGAAGAAATACTTACAAACTCATTCTACAAGGCCAGTAGTACCCTGATACCAAAAGCAGACAAAGACATATCAAAAAAGGAAAACTACAGGCCAATATCTCCAATGAATATTGATGCAAAAATTCTGAATAAAATCCTAGCAAACCCAGATCAACAATATATTTTAAAAAATCATGCATCATGATCATATAGTATTTATCCCAGAGATGTAAGGATAGTTCAATATGCACAAATCAATCAATGTGATACATCATAACAACAGAATGAAAGACTAATGCCATATAATAATTCCAATTGATGATGAAAAAGCATTTGATAAAATTCAATATCCCTTCATGATAAAAATGTTCAAACAACTGAGTATAGAAGGAACTTACCTGAACATAATAAAAGCCATATATGACAGACACACAACTACTATGCTGAATGGGGGAAATCTGAAAGGCTTTCCTCTAAGATCTGAATAAAGTAAGGATGTCCACTTTCACCACTGTTATTAAACGTAGTACTGGAAGTCCCAGCTAGAGCAATCAGTTAACAGAAGTAAGTAAAAGGCATCCAAACTGGAAAGGAAGAATTCAAATTATCCTTGTTTGCAGATGATATAATCTTACATTTAGAAAAACCTAAATACTTCACCAAAAAACTATTAGAACTGATAAACAAATTCAGTAAAGTTTCAGGCTACAAAATCAACACACAAAAATCACTAGCATTTCTATATGCCAACAGCAAACAATATGAAAAAGAAATCAAGAATGTAGTCCCACTTATAATAACTATAAATAAATTTAAATACCTAGGAAATAACCAAGGAAATGAAAGACCTCTATGATGAAAACAATAAAATATTTACGAAAGAAATTGAAGAAAGCACACAAAAATGGAAAGATATTTCATGTTATTTCAGCACTATTCACAATAGCCAAGGTTTGGAAGCAACCTAACTAGCCAGCAACAGATGAATGGAGAAATAAAATGGGTACATAAACACAATGGAGTACTATTCAGCCATAAAGAGAAAGATCCTGTCACTGGCAACAACGTGGATGGAAATGGAGGACATTAGGTTAGGTGAAATATGCCAAGCACAGAAACACAAACTTTGCATATTCTTACCATTTGTCAGAGCTAAAAATTAAAACAATTGAACTCATGGAGAAAGAGAGCAGAATGATGGTTAACCAGGGGCTGGAAAAGGGTACTAAGTGGGGTACTGATGGGATGGGGGTAAGGGAAAGTGGGAATGGTTAATGCGTACAAAATATAGTTAGATAGAATGAATAAGATTTAGTATTTGATAGCACAACAGGGTCTGTACAGTCAACAATTTATTGTACATTTTTAAATAATTAAAAGTGTATAATTAAAATGTTTGCAACACAAAGAAATGTTAAATATTTGAGGTGATGGATATCCCATTTATTCAGATATAATCACACATTGTATGCCTGTATCAAAATATCTCATGTACAACATAAATATATATACACCTACTACGTACCCATAAACATTTTTAAAAAGAGAATATTTTGAATATTGAACTAAAACTTCTTGCTCTTTATTTAATCAAATAACTATTGGTTTTCAAAGAAATCAACTCAGAAGTTCATTTGTTTTTTTTCCCAATGATTCAATCTTTGCTCAAATAAATTTTGGGAAAAAATTAACTGATTTCTGAATTAGATCAGTTTTTACCACAAAATCCACCTTGTTTCTTTATAGATTCATCTGGTTATTTACGATTCAGAGCCAGTAGCTCTAAATTCTACAAACTCTTTCATGTTATAGCAGAATTGGTATAACAAAGTAATAATTGAGGGAGAGTTCAGATTTACCCAGAAAATTGCTCATTTGCCTGTAAAAATTCAGATTTTAAAGCAATTATCAGTACATTCATAAGTAAAGTAGCTCCTTAATCCTACGATGATGCTAACTACCCATAGGAAGAAAAAACGTCCCTATAAAATGATTGAACCTGAACATTTGATTGAGCAATGTAACTATTTTCAAATGCATATTAGCACAAGTTTTAAATATCCTTTTTGACCCTACTTAATTCAAGGTCCATTTCACCTTCCCTGAAGAGTATCACAAGATGTCTCCTCCTTTCCCCAAGCACCACAGTGCCTTGTCTATTGGTCACAGGGTGATGCTTGGGAGAGTCCTCAGGTTGTAGTCAAGTATACAAATGTAAAACCCTGAAATCTTGAGTTAAAGAAATAGGGTGTAGTGATGGCTACTGAATACTTATATCTTTCCCAAAGAGTTATTTTTAATCATAATACAATGTTCTTGTTTTTCAATTCTTCATCTGTGGCCTTTATTCCCCCCATAAAACCTAAGTTCTAATAGTCACATTATCAATATATAATATATTCTAAAGTATATGTGAGATCCCACTGTCTGCAGCATCTCAAGAATCGTTATCAATTCTCAATCATCAGCTTTATGTGCAGCAACCAAGCATGCCCACAAATGTTGTCTTTTCCCTCTAACAGACTTTTTAAAATCAGATCACAAATCAGTGTGAGTTTAGTCAAGGGACTCATTTTCCTCCGGCAGTGATTGCATTAGCTGTCACAACTGGAGTTTAAAGTCATGCACTTGGGGTCACATTTTCCTTGATCCAGTGCCATTCCTGCCTTTGGCAATATCAGCAACTGTGATTATTATAACTACCCCCAGGTGACAGACTTAGCATTTCATTTTGGGGGTGAAAGTAGTGAAAAGGGATGGAAAGTTTAGTATCTATATAAAGTTTATGACATTTCCAAGTACCATAGAGCTAAAAGAACAAACAGTATCTAATCTTGCCTGCCCATGATGAGATCAGAGGGCACCACACATGGGTTAGCACTCAGAAAATACTACACTAACAATTCCTTTTTTCCCAAAGTAATTTAAAGTCACATTTAAAAAAATGTTGCAGTTATATCAAATCTTTTTCCAACCTCCATCCTGCGGAATGTTATGTTCGTGTCCTTTTTATGTTCTTTATTTCTTATTTCTTTTCAGATCAAAGAGAAAGCAATGCTTAAAAATAATATTTTCAAGGTTGGCATTTGTTTTGTAATCCAAAACAAGAAAAAATCATTTAAAAATCTGAAATATCATCTCAGAAGAGAAACACTACTTGCTCTGAAAACTTAGGCTATTCGTTTGTTTTTTTAGTTATTGGACAACCTGATGTAAGCTCACATGCATGCATTCTCTGAGATGCTGGCACTAAGAGCATAAACACATCAGCCACTACATTTTGTGTGCTGAGTTTTAACGCTGCTCTCCTGGGGGACAAGGGCTCAATTGTGAAGACTGGCTTTACGTTTTCCTATTATTTTTTCTAGATCCTTCTCTCCCTTATACAAAATCTTACAGGGTCTTTTTTTAGATAGTATTTTTGAGATAAGCTGACCTCTGAAAAGCTTTAAACAATAGAAAGATCTTGTTAGATCTATCAGGAAGAGGAGTTTTTGTGAAGCAGGTAAATAAACATCACCTGTGCAGAGGTGTGCTGCCGTCCTTAAATCCTAAGCACACACTGAAAACTCTAGTTTATAATCCTAAACCAATCTAATGTGGAGGCTCTTGATCTGCAATGACAGAAATGATTTTATAAAACGTTCACTTTCGGTTGAATGAAATCCACGCTCCTACCTCACAAGCATCTCTCATGCTATGCCCCTTTCCCATTTACTTGTGTGTGCACACATTCACAATTCGACTCTCTACAAATAACCTGTTAAATGTCCCCAAGCTCTGTCTGCCACACTGTAGATGGCTTAGTGAAAATAGTGCTTGACATCTGAATCAGAGGTAAATTTAAGGGCAAGAGCCAAGGGCTAAAAAGGTTGAGTCCTGCTTTTATCTTTTGATACTTCTCTTTGGTTTGATGCTGAGTACCCTAGAGGTCAAAGGTAAGCTGGGCTGCAGTAGCCTTGCCACCACTACTATGCTAACACTTAGGGATGCAATAGGAACCCTGCAGTGGGGACTGCGGGGGATTCCTCCTGCCACTAAACTACTTAGGGGCTTCATACAAATATGGAATCCGAGAGTCTACCACTTTTTCTCAAGGTCTTAATTTAGCAGTAGATTTGGCTCTATTTAGTCAGGGTTATAATTGCTATAAACACTCCAGTGGCTTTTTAGATGAAAGTTTTCTCCTTTTAATGACTTGTTTTACCTTGTGACTATAAGCAACAGTGATGTCTAGTATAAAGAGTTAAAGTCTATTAGATAATTGTTGTTCCATCTCACCAACAGAAATAAATTGAAAATATTTGGAAGCTAAAATGTTTTAAATTGCTACATAAATGCTGGCTTGCTCTTTGCCTGAAATGTGTGTGTGAACAGTTTACATAATAACCTGAATCACTGGGGCAGAGAGAAGTCTGTACAACAATTAAACCTGTAATGTTTCCCAGTCATAGCCTTCAACTATACTGTGCTGATGCCATTACTCTACTCAAAAACCTGTAATAAATTAAATGTCAGTATCCTTACAATGGCCTTAAGTTGGGAATGGATATCCTATTTAATAAATGGTGCTGGGAAAACTGGCAATTGACCTGTAGAAGAATGAAACTGGGCCCTTATTTGTCACTATATACAAAAATCAACTCAAGACAGATCAAAGACTTAAATATAAGGCCTAAAATCATACAAATTCTAGAAGGCAATGTTAGAAAAAAAACTCTTCTAGACATTTGCCTAGGCAAAGAACTCATGACTAAGACCCTAAAAGCAAATGTAACACAAACAAAAATAAATAAATGGGACCTAATTAAACTAAAAAGGTTCTGCACAACAAAAGAAATAATCAACAGAGTAAACAGACAACCCACAGAATGGGAGAAAAATATTTGCAAACTATTCATCTGACAAAGGACTAGTATCCAGAATCTATAAGAAACTCTAACACCTCACCAAATAACCCCCAAATAACCCCATCAAAAAGTGGGCAAAGGACATGAATAGACATTTCTCAAAAGAAGATATACAAATGGCCAACAAACATAGGAAAAAAAAATGCTCAATATAACTAATCATCAAGGAAATAAAAATTAAAACCCAATGAGATTGAACCTTACTCCTGCAAGAATGACTATTACTAAAGTCAAAAAACAATAGATTTTGGCATGGATGTGATAAGAAGGGAACACTTATACACTGTTTGTGGAAATGAAAATCAGTAAAACCTCTATTAAAAACAGCAACGAAAACCAGTAAAACCTCTATTAAAAACAGCATAGAGTTTCCTTAAAGAGCTAAAAGTAGATCTACGGTTAGATCCAGCAATCCCACTACTGGGTATCTCCCCAAAGGAATATAAGTCATTATATAAGAAAAAGACTTGCACATGTATGTTTATAGAAGCACAATTCACAATTGCAAAGATGTGTAACCAACCTAAGTGCTCATTGACCAATGAGTAGATAAAGAAAATGTAGTTTGTGTATATATATATATATAATATATAAATATATATTATAAATAATATAAATATATATATTATATATATATATGGAATACTACTCAGCCCTTAAAAGAAAGGAAATAATGTATTTTGCAGCAACTTGGATGGAACTGGAGGCCATTATTCTAAGTGAAGTCGCACAGAACTGGAAAGCCAAAAACCACATATTCTCACTTGTAAGTGGTAGCTAAGCTTTGAGTATGCAAAGGCATACAGAATGATATGATGAACTTTAGAGAGTCAGTATGGGGAAGGTGGGAGGGGGGCCAGGGATACAAAAACTACACATTAGGTACAATGTACACGACGTGGGTGACAAATGCACTAAAATCTCAGAATTCACCACTATATAATTCATTCATGTAACCAAAACCACTTGTACCCCAAAAAGCTATTGAAATAAAAAAAATTCTTTCAATGGCCTAAATTGATGACATTATCATTATTACATCATATGAATCCTCCCCTGGCTATTTCTTTATTCTCAGCTCACACTGCTATCTCCCCAACCTGCTTGTTCTTGCTTAAACATGACAGTCATGCTTCCTTCCTAGGCCTTTACATAGGCTGTTCCCCATTCCTGGAACATTCTTCCTAAGTCTCTTCAAGTCTTTATTTAATACTCATTGCTGGAGTGGACCTCCAGCAAACTGCAGCAGACCTGCAGAAAAGGGGCCTGTTAGAAGAAAAGCTAACAAACAGAAAGCAACGACAACGAATCAACAAAAAAGACTCCCACACAAAAACCTCATCCAAAGGTCATCGGCCTCAAAGATCAAAAGTAGATAAATCCATGAGGATGAGGAAATACCAGTGCAAAACGCTGAAAACTCCAAAAGCCAGAATGCCTCTCTCCTCCAAATAATTGCAACTCCTCTCCAGCAAGGCCACAAAACGGAACAGACAATGAGATTGACACATTGACAGAAGTCAGCTTCAGAAGGTGGGTAATAACAAACTCCTCTGAGCTAAAGGAGCATGTTCCAACCCAATGCAAGGAAGCTAAGAACCTTGATAAAAAGTTGCAAGAACTGCTAACTAGAATAACCAGTTTAGAGAGGAACATAAATGACCTAATGGAGCTGAAAAACACAGCATGAGAACTTCATGAAGCATATACAACTATCAATAGCTGAATCAATCAAATTGAAGAAAGAATATCAGAGATTGCAGATCCCCTTGCTGAAATAAGGCATGAAGACAAGATTAGAGAAAAAAGAATAAAACGTAACTAACAAAGCCTACAAGAAATATGGGACTAGGTGAAAAGACCAAACCTACAATTGATTGGTGTACCTGAAAGTGACAGGGAGAATGGAACCAAGTTGGAAAACACTCTTTATTAAATTATCCAGGAGAACTTCCCCAACCTAGCAAGACAGGCCAACATGCAAATTCAGGAAATACAGAGAACATCACTAAGATACTCCTCGAGAAGATCAACCCAAAGACATATAATCATCAGATTCTCCAAGGTTGAAATGAAGCAAAAATGTTAAGGGCATCCAGAGAGAAAGGTCAGGTTACCTACAAGGGGAAGCCCATTAGACTAACAACAGATCTCTCTGCAGACACCCTACAAGCCTGAAGAGAGTGGAGGCCAATATTCGACATTCTTAAAGAAAAGAATTTTCAACCCAGAAGATCATATCCAGTCAAACTCAGCTTCATAAGCGAAGGAGAAATAAAATCTTTACAGACAAGCAAATGCTGAGGGATTTTGTCACTACCAGGCCTAGCTTACAGGAGCTTCTGAAGGAAGCACTAAATATGGAAAGGAAAAACCAGCACCAGCCACTGGAAAAATGCAACAAAATACAAAGACCAATGACACTCTGAAGAAATGGCATCAACTAATGTGCAAAATAACCAGCTAGCATCATGATGACAAGATCAAATTCATACATAACAATATTAACCTTAAATGTAAATGGACTAAATGCCACAATTAAAAGACACAGGCTAGCAAATTGGATAGACTCAAAACCCATTGGTGTGCTGTATTCAGGAGACCCATCTCACATGCAAAGACACACATAGGCTCAAAATAAAGGGATGGAGGAAGGTTTACCAAGCAAACGGAAAAAAAAAAAAAAAGGCAGGGATTGCAATCCTAGTCTCTGATAAAACAGACTTTAAGCTAAGAAAGATCAAAAAAGACAAATAAGAGCATTACATAATGGTAAAGGGATCAATGAAACAGGAAGAGCTAACTATCCTAAATATATATGCACCCATTACAGGAGCACCCAGATTCCTAAAACAAGTTCTGAGAGACCTACAAAGAGACTTAGAGTCCCATACAAGAATAGAGGAAGACTTTAACATCCCACTGACAATAATAGATCAATGAGACAGAAAATTAACAAGGATATTCAGAAATCGAACTCAGCACTGGATCAAGTGGACCTAATAGACATCGACAGAACTTTCCACGCCAAATCAACAGAATATATATTCTTCTCAGTGTCACATAGCACTTATTCTAAAATCAATCACATAATTGCACTCCTCAGCAAATGCAAAAGAATGGAAATCATAACAAACAGTCTCTCAGACCACAGTGCAATCAAATTAGAACTCAGGATTAAGAAACTCACTCAAAACTGCACAACTACATGGAAATGGAACAACCTGCTTCTGAACGATTCCTGTGTAAATAATGAAATTAAGATGGAAATGAAGAAGTTATTTGAAACCAATAAGAACAAAGAAAAAATATACCAGAATCTCTGGGACATAGCTAAAGCAGTGTTAAGAGGGACATTTATAGTGCTAAATGCCCACATCAGAAAGATGGAAAGATCTGAAATCAACATCCTAACATCACAATTAAAAGAACTAGAGAAGCAAGAGCAAACAAATTCAAAAGCTAGCAGAAGGCAAGAAAAGACTAAGATCAGACCAGAAATGAAGAAGATAGAGACATGAAAAACCCTTCAAAAAATCAATGAATCCAGGCATTGGGTTTTGGAAAAAATTAACAAAATAGATAGACCACTGGCTAGACTATAAAGAATAAAGGAGAGAAGAATCAAATAGACACAATGAAAACTGATAAAGGGGATATCACCCTGATCACATAGAAATACAAACTACCATCAGAGAATACTTTAAACACCTCTATGCAAATAAACTAGAAAATCTAGAAGAAATGGATAAATTCCTGGACACATACACCCTCCCAAGACTATACCAGGAAGAAATCAAATCCTTAATAGACCAATAACAAGTTCTGAAATTGAGGCAGTAATTAAAAACCTACCAAGCAAAAAAAAAAAAAAAAGCCCAGGACCAGATGGATTCATAGCTGAATTCTACCAGCAGTACAAAGAGGAGCTGGTACCATTTCTTCTGCAAGTATTCCAAACAAGAGAAAAAGAGGGACTCCTCCCTTACTCATTTTATGAGGCCAGCATCATCCTGATACCAAAACCTGGCAGAGACACAACAACAAAAAAAAGGAATTTCAGGCCAATAACCCTAATTAACATTGATGTGAAAATCCTCAATAAAATACTGGCAAACTGAATCCAGCAGCACACCAAAAAGCTTATCCACCACAATCAAGTCGGCTTCATCCCTGGGATGCAAGGCTGGTTCAGCATACACAAATCAATAAACATAATCCATCACACAAACAGAACCAAAGACAAAAACCACATGATTATCTCAATAGATTCAGAAAAGGCCTTTGATAAAATTCAATATCCCTTCATGTTAAAAACTCTAAATAAACTAGGTATTGATGGAACACACCTCAAAATAATAAGAGCTATTTATGACAAACCCATAGCCAATATCATACTGAATGGGCAAAACTGGAAGCATTCCTTTTGAAAACTGGCACGAGACAAGGATGCCCTCTCTCTCACCACTCCTATTCAACATAGTCTTGAAAGTTCTGGTCAGGGCAATCAGGAAAGAAAAGGTAATAAAGAATATTCAAATAGGAAGAGAGGAAGTCAAATTTTCTCTGTTTGCAGAAGACATGATGGTATATTTAGAAAACCCCATTGTCTCAGCTGAAAATATCCTTAAGCTGATAAGCAACTTCAGCAAAGTCTCAGGATACAAAATCAATGCACAAAAATCATAAGCATCCCTATATAGCAACAATAAATAAGCAGAGAGACAAATCATGAGTGAACTCCTATTCACAATTGCTACAAATAGAATAAAATACCTAGGAATACAACTTACAAAGGACATGAAGGACCTCTTCAAGGAGAAATACAAACCACTGCTCAGGGAAATAAGAGGACACAAACAAATGGGAAAAGCATTCCATGTTCATAGATAGGAAGAATCAATATCATGAAAATGGCCATACTGCCCAAAGTAATTTATATATTGAATGCTATTCCCACCAAGCTACCATTGACTTTCTTTGCAGAATTAGAAAAAACTACTTTAAATTTCATATGGAACCAAAAAAGAGCCCGTATAGCCAAGACAATCCTAAGCAAAAAGAACAAAGATGAAGGCATCATGCCACCTGACTTCAAACTAAACTACAAGGCTACAGTAACTAAAACAGCATTGGACTGGTACCAAAACAGATATATAGACCAATGGAACAGAACAGAGGCCTCAGAAGTAACACCACTCATCTACAACCATCTGATCTTTGACAATCCTGACAAAAACAAGCAATGGGGAAAGGATTCCCTATTTAATAAATGGTGCTGGGAAAACTGGCCAGCCATATGCAGAAAACAGAAACTGGACCCCTTCTTAAACCTTATACAAAAACTAACTCAAGATGGATTACAGACTTAAATGTAAAACCCAAAACCATAAAAACCCTGGAAGAAAATACCATTAGAAGGTAATGGTATTTTGGTATTTTAAAACCCTAGAAGGCAATACCATTCAGGACTTAGGCATGGGCAAATAATTCATGACTAAAGCACCAAAAGCGATTGTAACAAAAGTAAAAATTGACAAATGGGATCCAATTAAACTAAAGAGCTTCTGCACAGAAAAAGAAACTATCATCAGACTGAATAGGCAACCTATAGAATGAGAAAAAATTTTTGCAATCTACCCATCTGACAAAGGTTTAACATCCAGAATCTACAAGGAACTTAAACAAATTTATAAGAAAAAAACAACCCCATCAAAAAGTGGGCAAAGGATATGAACAGACACTTCTCAAAACAAGATATTTATGCAGCCAACAAACATGAGAAAAAGCTCATCCTAATTCCTCATTAGAGAAATGCAAATCAAAATCACAATGAGATACCACCTAATACCAGTTAGAATGATGATTATTAAAAAGTCAGCAAACAACAGATGCTGGCGAGGCTGTATAGAAATAGGGATGCTATTACACTGTTGGTGGGAGTGTAAATTAGTTCAACCGTTGTGGAAGACAGTATGGCAATTCCTGAAGGATCTAGAGCCAGAAATACCATTTGACCCAGCAATCCCATTACTGGGTATATACCCAAAGGAATGTAAATCATTCTCCCATAAAGACACATGCGTATGTATGTTTATTGTAGCACTATTCGCAATAGCAAATACTTGGAACCAACCCAAATGCCCATCAATGATAGACTGGATAAAGAAAATGTGGCACATATACACCATGGAATACTATGCATCCATAAAAAAGAATGAGTTCATGTCATTTGCAGGGACATGGATGAACTTGGAAACCATCATTCTCAGAAAACTAACACAGGATCAGAAAACCAAACACCGCATGGTCTCACTCATAAGTGGGAGTTGAATAATGAGAACACATGGACACAGGCAGGGGAACGTCACACAGTGGGGCCTGTCAGGGAGTGGGGGGCAAGGGGAGGGAGAGCATTAGGACAAATACCTAATGCATGTGGGGCTTATAATCTACATGATGGGTTAATAGGTGCAGCAAACCACCATGGCACATGTATACCTATGTAACCAACCTGCATATTCTGCACATGTATCCCAGAACTTAAAGTAAAATAAAAAAGTTTAAAATGTAATAAATTAAATTTTTTTAAGATTCTTTAATATAATTTTTAATCAGTAAAGTCTTGGTTACTGAGTTCGTACTTAATAAGAATGCACAACTTCCACCAAAGCTGTTCAATTAGGTAGTGGTTATTCTAAATCACTGGACAACCTCCTGACTTCTCAAGTCATCTGCCCAAAGGGCAACTGATTTTTGTCCCCTGTTTTAATCTTCTGAGCCTAAAACTAAGCTTTTTGAGGTCAATCCTGTCAGTGATAGTATTGTTTTATTAACATTAGCAAATAAGTTACAAACACACACTGTTGTCTAAGTCTAATACATAAAATGTTGATGGAATATACTTAACTCTGAGACAACTAGAAACAAAGACACCCTTCACTTTCCCATCAAAAGAGGAAGATATTTATTGGATTTGCCTTTATTCTAGGAATATGAATGAATTCACGAGAGAATCCTCTATTTGTATGCATTATGCCATGATCCCTGAGATGAGCAATTTTTTAAATATATATATATATATATATATATATATTTTATTATACTTTAAGTTCTAGGGTACATGTGCACAATGTGCAGGTTTGTTACATATGTATACATGTGCCATGTTGGTGTGCTGCACCCATTAACTCATCATTTACATTAGATATATCTCCTAATGTTATCCCTCTCCACTCCCCCCACCCCACAACAGGCCCCAGTGTGTGATGTTCCCCTTCCTGGGTCCAAGTGTTCTCATTGTTCAATTCCCACCTATGAGTGAGAACATACAGATTTTTGTCCTTGTGATAGTTTGCTGAGAATGATGGTTTCTAGCTTCATCCATGTCCCTACAAAGGACATGAACTCATCATTTTTTATGGCTGCATAGTATTCCATGGTGTATATGTGCCACATTTTCTTAATCTAGTCTATCATTGTTGGACATTTGGGTTGGTTCCAAGTCTTTGCTATTGTGAATAGTGCTGCAATAAACATATGTGTACATGTGTCTTTATAGCAGCATGATTTATATTCCTTAGGGTATATACCCAGTAATGGGATGGCTGGGTCAAATGGTATTTCTAGTTCTAGATCCCTGAGGAATTGGCACACTGTCTTCCATAATGGTTGAACTAGTTTACAGTCCCACCAACAGTGTAAAAGTGTTCCTATTTCTCCACATCCTCTCCGGGATCTAATTAAACTAAAGAGCTTCTGCACAGCAAAAGAAACTACCATCAGAGTGAACAGGCAACGTACAGAATGGGAGAAAATTTTTGCAATCTACTCATCTGACAAAGGCCTAATATCCAGAATCTACAAAGAACTCAAACAAATTTTACAAGAAAAAAAAACCCCATCAAAAAGTGGGCGAAGGATATGAACAGACACTTCTCAAAAGGAGACATTTTTGCAGCAAACAGAAGCATGAAGAGATGAGAAATTTTTATATTAAGACTATAAAAGTCGATACGTGTCATAATATTTGGCACAAAGCAGATGCTGAACAAATATTGAATAAATAAATGTCTGGATGAGTAGATGGCTAGATGAATGCTTGGTTGGTTGGCTGCCTGGCTGGATAGACATTGAAGAAATAAAACTTTTAAAACTCAGAATATTGAAACAAAATGATAAATAATGATAGAGAAACACTGTATCTAATATGTCTCTGGACCATTGATCTAGAACCATTTATGAGTATATATGTTATCAATAAATATTGGAGCATGCTCCCTAATCCATATTGACCCATATATATAATTCTTAGTGCAATACTCTTCTAATATAATATATACACATTACATATTTTCATAAATATCTTTTTAAGTATGATATAAAATCTAAATAAGATAAGAATTAATTACAACATTTAATTCCCACACTGCATGTGTCATGTTGCAGAATGGCTGGGGTATTTGCATTCCATATTGGAAGCCACAGATATAGACAATGAATTTGGAAGTTAGGCCCTTTGCCCACTCAAAATAAGAAGATCTGGCAAGAATAGGATAAACACAGAAGAAACAACTGCTGTCCTAGGACACTAAACAATTCACACCAGGGGACTAACTAATTAAGCAGGAGTTCTTAACATTTCTATGTATCAGAAACACTTTTGACAGTCTGATGGAGCCTATGAACCTATATCTTCTCAGGATGATTATTTACATGTATTGAATACAAAAATAAAATTATAAAAGTAATTATATTGAAATAGTTATAAAATATTAAAATTGCTATCTAGTAAAATAATATATGTACTTCTTGATTAATGCATTAAAATTAATAGCTTGTGGTGGGTTGAATAATCACCATAATTTTAAAGTAGCAACATTTAAGGACTGTGATAATTGTAATAAGATATGAAAACACCTGTTTGATACTGCTAATATTACTGTAAGTTTTTGTCAAAATTTATGATTGAAGAAAAGCTAAATTTTAATTAGAGTTTGGCGAAGATAAAGATTTATGTTTTTCCATCCAGTTCAGAGATCCTCTAAATTCTATTTTGGAGATATTCAGCACCCGGGTTGAAAACCTCTGAAGTAAAACAATGTAGTGAGGTGTCTATTTCTTTAAGAGAAAGAAGTTGCCTTAACTCCAACCTTAATCAGTTTATTTATTGTATTGTGTATATTTATAATATTTGGTATGTCTGTAACATCAAAAAATGTTGGAGTTAAATATTTTAGGTACAGTCAATTGCTAAAATAGCAAATGCAATTAAGAATATTAATAATTAATATGCATATGTTATCTTAATATTTCTTCTACATATGGCAAAAAACTAATTTTATGGTATAATTCTTATATTCATTATAAAATAAGAAAAACTAAACTGACTTAGCCTTATTTCTAGGAAATTAAAAAGCAAGTTTCTTTTTAAAAATTTCAATTATTTTTTCTAATATCTTTCTTATTTGAATATAATTTCTCTCTACCTAATTTAGGTTTTATTATAATCATATTATTAATCAACTTATCCTTTGTTGCTTTTCTCCTCTAACAATCTAAAGAGCAGAACTTGATCTCCAGGGATAAGCAAAGGGCCGGAGGATAAAGTTGGAAATTGTTGTAAAATATTTTCTCAAATATAATTTTATTATTCATAACTTTGATAATTTCCTTACTAAAATTGAAAATTATTAAAATTATGTATAAGTCTCTTGGTATCAGAAAAAAATAGCCAGGCACAGTGGCTCACTCCTTATAAACCCAGCACTTCGGGAGGCTGAGGGGGGTGGATCACCTGAGGTCAAGAGTTCGAGACCAGCCTTGCCAACATGGTGAAACCCTGTCTACTAAAAATACAAAATTAGCCAGGCAGGGTGGCATGCACCTGTAATCCCAGCTACTTGGGAGGCTGAGGCAGGAGAATCACTTGAACCCGGGAGGCAGAGGTTGCAGTGAGCCAAGAATACGCCATTGCAATCCAACCTGGGTGACAAGAGTGAGACTCTGTCTCACAATAAATAAATAAATAAATAAATAAATAAATAAATAAATAAATAAATAAAATAGTACTAATGTATTGACCTCAAACAAGTTACTTAGGCTTCCTGACACGCAGTTTTCTCTTTTGCACAATGGCAATATTAAAACACCTCACAATGCAATTGTGAGGATCAACATCATTAGTGAAAGCTTTCTAGACTGTAAACCACTTTACTACTCTTGTTTTTTTTTTTTTTTTTTTCTTTTTCTTTTTTTTTTTTTTTGAGACAGTGTCTCACTCTGTTGCCCAGATTGGAATGCAGTGTCATGATTACAGCTCATTGCAGCCTTCATCTCCCAGGCTCAAATGATCCTTCAACTTCAGCCTCCCAAGTAGCTGGGACTACAGTTGCACAGCACCACACTTGACTAATTTTTTTTTGAAATTTTTTGTAGAGACAGGGTCTCACTATGTTGCCCAGGCTGGTTTCAAACTCTCAGCCACAAGTAATCCTCCCACCTCAGTCCCTAGAAGTGCTGAGATTACAGGTGCGAAACACATACCTGGCCTTACTCTTGTTCTTTTTGCCATTATTAGCTATTAGAATTAATTTACTCATTCAATGATTTTGTGTTCAAAGCTCTCTGTGTAACAAGCACTCTAGATTCTGAATGTGGAACAGTTAACTTCAAGATTTCACTATGTTGAGATTTGGAAGATAGATTTCACATTAATTAGATTAGAAGATTTTTAGGTGTATCCATATGGCATTCAGACAAATAACAGCATAGCATAGGAGAATGAATAAAAATTTAAATAAAACCTGTTAGATTTATATTCACAAAAAATATTTTTCTTGGAATCTAAAAATTACTATTAATTTGGTATATACCAGAGGAAAATAAGAACTATGCATTAAGCTCAATTGAAACCAATTTATTTTGAGAATATTTTCCTGTGAAAGGGATACCTCCAGATGTTGTGTTGTTAGGCACCCTCAGATGAAACATAAAATACTAAGAGCAAGAAAATAAAATAATGAACCAAAATATTATGAACTTAAAAACTCGGCCTGGCACAGTGGCTCATGCCTGTAATCCCAGCACTTTGAGAGGTGGATCACAAGGTCAAGCGATAGAGACCATCCTGGCCAACATGGTGAAACCCCATCTTTTCTAAAAATACAAGAATTACCCAGGCTTGGTGGAGCACGTCTGTAGTCCCAGCAACTCGGGAGGCTGAGGCAGGAGAATTGCTTGAACCTGGGAGGCGGAGGTTGCAGTGAGCCAAGATTGCACCACTGCATTCCAGCCTGGTGACAGAGCAAGATTCCATCCCAAAACAAACAAACAAACAAAAAAACTCTTTAGCAAGGAATGTAAGAAAATACAATACCAAAGAGAAGTCCAAATGCCTACACAAGTTAGGAATGACAAAAAATAAACATAACTTTTATTAAAGACTTTAAAAAACATATTGAATTATAAAAAGTAATATTAAAAATAATATTCCCAAGACCTAGATTAGTAGTGATTAATATTTTGCTACATTTGTTACATATTTAAGTTGGAACTCAAATATAATTCTGATATGCTACCTCCAACACTCCCTGCAAATCCTCTCTTATTTTATTTCATGTTGTCATTTTGTAATTAACCGATGGAGTCTTCCCACCTGCTGCACAGATAAAACCAATTCACTGAGATTATGGCATTGCGGTAAAGAAAAAGTCTAATTAATGCTAAGCTAGACACATAGTTAGACAGAATTATTACTTAGTCTCCCAGAAGGCTTGGAGGTTAGGGATTTGCAAGGATATTTTGATGGGCAGGGGATAGGGAATGGGTACTGCTGATTGGTTGGAGATGCAGTCATAGGTGGGTAAAAAATGGTCCTTGTGTTCTGAGTCCACCATCTCTGGCTTGGGGTGGGGCACAGGATAGGTTGAGTCATGAGTCACAAGTCTTCATGGAGTCAGTTATTTGTCAGAAGGCAAACCTACAAAAAGCATCTCAAAAGACCAATCCTATGTTCTACCATAGTGGTGTTATCTATAGGAGCAATTGGGGAAGTCACAAATCTTATGACCTCTGACCACATGACTCCTGAGCAATGAGGGATTACAGAAACTACATTTTAGCAGAATTCAGCTCTCTCCCATAATCTTAATCTTGTGGCCTTCCATTTGTCTTACAAAGGTGGTTTCAGCCCCTGAACAAGGAGGAGATAAGTTTTAGGAAGAAACTATTCTCATCTTTGCTTCAAAGTTAAACTATGCACTAAATTCTGCCCACGATTACCCTACACCCAGGAATGAGCAAAGACAGACAGCCTGTGAGGCTAGAAGCAAGGTGGGGTCAGCCATGCTAGATTCTCTCACTGTCCTAATCTTCACAAGGACAGTTTCAATTTCCTACCTCCATCCCCATCAACAAACTCCTACAAGCATTACTATAATATATTCTTAATTATATGTCAGAAACATATTTGATATGCATTTTGCTGTAAATATAATTTCATACTTTTAATGCAAAAGTACATCTTAAGAACTATCCTGTTTGCTGTTTAAAATCAAGATTATTATTTACTATTCTTACACTGTATTCAAATCAATGCATACCCCTCAACTACTTTATCTATTGTATTAGTCAATGTCCTGGTTTGTTTAGATTACTACAACAAAATTCCATAGACTGGGAGGTTTCATTTCTTTCTCACAATTCTGGAGGCTGGAAAGACAAAAATAAATATGGCAGCTGATTTAGTTCCTGGCAATGACTCTTCCTATCTTGCAGATGGCCTTCTTCTTGCTGTGTCCTTGCTTGGCTGAGAGAAAGAGAAGAAACTTCCATGTCTCTGCCTATAAAAACACTAATCTCCTTGGGAGGACCCCACCCCCTCATGACCTTCTCCAAACGTAATTACCTCCCTAAAACCCCACCTATGAATACCATCACATTAGGAGTGAGGGCTTTAAAAAATATATTTTGTGTGAACACCAACATTCAGTCCATAACCATCAGGTTGTTCTGCAATAGTGGCATGGAATAAATAACCCTGAATTCTCAATGTTTTACACATCCTTATTAACTGCCCATGGATATGCAGGGCAATTGTGTCTCTGCTGAGCTCAGCTAAAGTAAGTGGTGCAGGGAAGTAGACTCTACCCCCAGGGAAGCCACCTTGAGGTTAGGGAGAGAAGGAAGAATTGTGAGCAGATAGTATTATCATGTCTTCTTTCACAGTTTCCTTTATTCCAGGGGTCCTGGGCAAGGACCAGTACTGGTCAGTGGCATGTTGAGAACCAGGCCACACAGCAGGTGGTGAGCAGTGGGTGAGCCATCATTACCACCTGAGCTCTGCCTCCTGTCAGGTCAGCTGTGGCATTAGATTCTCACAGGAGTGGAAACCTTATGGTGAACTGTGCATGCAAGGGATCTAGGTTGTGTGCTCCTTTTGAAAATCTAACTAATGCCTGATGATCTGATGTGGAACAGTTTTATCCCCAAACCATTCCCCCACCATCCCATCCATGGAAAAACTGTCTTCTACAAAACAGGTCCCTGGTGCCACAAGAAGGTTGGGAACTGCTGCTTTAGTTCTTTGTACATATCTATAATAGCTGTTTTTGAGTCTTTGCTAATCCAACACCTGTGTCCCCTTAAAGGCCATCTCTTTTGCTTCATTTTATTCCTGTGTAAGGTTCTTACTTTCATGTTTCTTTGACTGTCTCATAAGTTTTGGTTGAAAATCGGACACTTTTGATAATGCACTATAGCAACTCTGGCTACTGATCCCTCTCCTCCTGGGCCATGTTGTTATTTTTATCTGTTTGCTTGCTTATCTGTTTAGTAACTTGACTATACTGATTTATTAAGGTTCCCTTGCATTGGCCAGCCTTTACTGTCATTCTTCAGAAGGCACAACATGTACACAGTTATCTTGACCCCCTAGCCCCAGGGATGACAGTGGTTTTGATTCTTTTTCCCTGAATTCCTTATTAAGCTTCCAGAAAGTCTGACTTTATTGAAATTGTATCTAGCTTTTAGCTGCCACTAATTGTTAACTCTTTGTTCTATTGTTTTCAACAATGCCCTGGTGTATAAATTGTTCTAGAGTCTTATCCAATTAAAGTCAGGCATCTTTAGAGCTTTCTCCAATTCCATAGGGCTCTTCATTGCTGGTTTCCCCCCTCGTCCTTCCTGTGAAACTTCTAATTTTTCTGCCGTTTTACTTGTTGCTGTCATAAAACTAGTAGCCTCCTCTTAGTTGCTGTTTTTACAGTCAAATTAATATTAATTTACTATTTGTTCATTAATTTTCTTACCTGGTAGAATTCGCTAGAAGGTAAGAGGTATCTGGGGCTAAGTGATTAAGAAAAAATTTATGATAGAAAACTTATGCCAAATTTTGACTTTCCTTTCCCTCTCCCCTCCTATGCCCTGTAAACTGAAAAAGATCCTGTATCATTTGAATTTAGCAACAGATCAAATTTGTTCATGCCATGGGCTAATGATGCTTCATAGGCATAGATTATTAATATAAGAAGTAATTTCCTTTAACCTCTAACCTCTGCTTTACAAATAAGTCAGCAAGGCCAATATTTTAAAAAATGAGTTAATGGCAAAGTGATATATTGAATGTAGATCTCCTAAATCCAGTCTTATTTGTAATTGGCTGGCCAGGATGCACAAGAAATGACATTTTTCTATTTATGAAACTCATCAATGTTGACCACTGTTTAACGGGTGTTTTAAACAGTGGAACTAGCACAGGGACTATTTAATTGATATTATCCTTTTTACCAGAAGAGAATTTGTAAAGCTCTTTCTTTTGTAGAACAGGAGCAAGGTACATACAGCTCTGCATAAGAAGCACTTTGACAAAGGAATAATATAATAATTCATATTCAAAATACTGAAATTCTGTCTTCAAACAGACTTACCTTTAAGTTTGCAATACATATATGTATATATATGTGTGTATATATGTATATGTATATGTATATACATATATAGTGTATGTATATATGTATATACATATATAGTGTATGTATATATGTATATACATATATAGTGTATATATGTATATATGTATATATATGTGTATATATGTATATATATGTATATATGTATACATGTATATATGTATATATGTATATATGTATACATGTATATATGTATATATATGTATATATGTATACATGTATATATGTATATATATGTATATATGTATACATGTATATATGTGTGTGTGTATATATATGTATATAGCCAACAGTTACCTTTTTTCTCCCATAAGATATCAGCAGGTAGATACAAGATATATTCTTTTCGTAGTGACATTCTTATACCTCAAAAAGCCTTGACAGAATTTTCCCAGATTTCAAGAAACTTCTTTCTATATAATTTGTAAACTTTTACATTCATAAAATGTGGCTGATTTCTACGTTTGTTTAAAACTCAGTAACAGGGATACCATATTGTGATCAAAACATGCAGAATCCATACAATTCAGTTCACTTATTCCCAATACCAAGGAAGAACCTGCTATGGGCAAGTAAAAAAAAAAGTACATTGAGTTCTCACTGTGTGAACCTGGACAAGCTATTTAACTTTTCTGGACCCAGATATTATCATACTTGTCTTGCAATGAAGAAACTAAAGGAAATAATTAAGTCTTCAAATGAAATAATGTAAATGAAGACATTCTGTAAATTTCAAATCAACAATGCAAAATGTAGGCTTATTAGATGGTGACTATCAAGGACAATTGTATTTGTTGACCTCATCTAGTTCAATCAGTGCAGTCAGCATGAACTTATTTTACATTTGTTACAGGGATCAAAATTTATGCAACCAAATAGAATAGTCACAGTTCTGTTTCTTTCTTTTTTTTTCTTCTTTGTCTTTTTCCAATTTCTCATTGGCTAGCAGGGCATTTCAAGAGAGAAGACAATGGAAAATGAAACAATTATATCTGTCACAAAGAATCAATGCTGCAGAAGTTGGGTTTAAAATAGGACCAGGATGGTACTCCCTGATGCATCCTCTTCCAAGTTCCACTAATAGACACATAAAAGTCAAAAATCTTTGAAAAATCCCAATACAGAAAAGTATGACTGACAGCCAATTGCCGGAATGTGGGAAGGATTTCTTCTAGCTAAAAGCCTAAGAGAACTGGATTGAAAAGTAACGAATAACTTGCTGGGCTAGGCAATACTTGCCAGATCTGGAAGTAGTTAAGGAGAGATTAATTATCTTCTCACTTGTCTGTCACTCTCATTAAAAACAAAACAAACTAAAGACCAAGTCTTGCAGAATTTGGGAAAGCTATCACTTTTGGTTATGAGTGCTACCTTTAGAAATCCAAAAGACTGACCCTCAATTTCCCTTTTAATGCAACACTTTCTTTATCCAGAGGAACAGAGCTATTCTCAAAAGTTCCACAGAGCTGGAGCACATGTGACCAAAGGTAAACCATTTCATTCTGGGAGACAAATTTTTACCAGTCCCTACAAAATCATCTGAGAAACCAGATTCCCCAGGAGAATTATCTGCAGGAATCTTGGAAATATAGATTCTCCATTTGCAGAGATTTTGAATTCAGTCTATTTGAAGAGGGGCCTGAGGACTTATATTTCATAATACCCTCCAAGTGATTAGAGAAACGGCACTGTGTGTAAGTCACTGATTTAAGGCTCAGGACAGACATATCCAGGATACTTTTCCTTCATTTCTATGAACTCTGAAATTATAGTATCACTTTCTATATGGTTTCCATCTATCATAAATCACTTATTTCTTGATGATGAAAATTAAATCCAATATAGCAATTCCCCTGGATGCTTTGTTCATTTTTTCCCCAGTGAAATTTTTAGCAGGATAAATGGAAATTTTATCAAAACTGTGTTATGCAAGATGGAATTTCTCATGTTTTTACATACTTTAAAGTTCACTACCATACATTATTTAATATTTTAACCTTACGGTGTCTCTTTTTGTAGTTACATTTACATCCTCTATTTAGTTTTAGTCCAAATTTCACCTTCAGATTTGTTATACTCTGTGGACATACATTGCCACCTCCCTTTAGTCTATTAAAATATACTTAAAAATAAAACAGGTCTTTTCATTGTATATTCCATATAGGTGTCATACTTCAGCAAGTATCAGTGATACATATGAGATTTTCTTTACATGCCGTGATAAAATTTCCTATTGATTTTGTTTGTTATCATACTCTACCTCTGATTAGATATATCTGTGGTTTCTCACAGATATACTCTGATATGCTTGCTTGGAGAGAATTGCAAACATGTATATGCCTTTGAATAAGAACAGAAGTGAGTGAAATCTGGAATTTAATATGTATTTAATAAGAGAGTAATTGTAATTATCATAAGTCAACCTGTCATAGAAAGATTGTGCTTTTTGACTTTTATCAAGGAAGTGATCTTTGCTATAAAATCAAATTAACCTTATGATAGAACTGTACGAGCTGTTTAATTTTTCAGATTACATCAGAACTTTAATTATATCCTTGCAGACATTTGAAGAAATTGACATAATACCAATCAACATATCAAGTATAATTTAATAAAAATAATTTTCACTAATATCAGCAAACTACTATCATGGTACCAGAAAGACCAAATAGATTGGCTGAATGTCATTCAGTAATATGCTGACTGTAATATGAGAGGACTTCAAAATCTAGACTGAACAGGTTTGCTAAGGTTTATGTTTAATATTTTATTAATTAAAAATATATCTTATGAAAATCAAGTACAATTTTTAACATATTCCAAGATATAATTTTATGGTAAAACAATCTCATAATAAATGTATTTCTTTTCTTTTTAAAATGTTTATTGATACATAATGATTGTACATATTTCTGGAGTACATGAGATATTTTGCTACATGCTTACATTGTATAGTGATCAAATCAGGGTGATTGTGATATAAATCACTTCAAACATTTATCATTTCTTTGTATTGGGATCATTCCAAATCTTTCTTCTGGCTATTTTGAAATGTACAATAAATTATTCTGAACTATAGTCACCCTACTGTGCTATTAAATAGTAGAACTTACTCCTTCTATGTAAGTGTATTTTTGTCAATTCAGGTAAAACATTTCAAAGAAATGTTACTTGAGTTGAAATATGACTGATGAATTTTAATAAATATACCAATACATGACCATTTATATGAGTGTTTTTCCTTTGGAAGTATGGAAGTATTTCTTTAAGGAAGCCTACTTATTTATTCTTACAGAGATGTTATTACTCAAAATATTTAGGTAACTTCTTGAAAATTGCTCTCTGTGCCTAAACACATGTACTTAAATATCAATAATGGTGAAAAATATCTGTCTCTTGAGAACCAGTTTAATTTTTAAAGCATCTCAGAATTATCTGGAGGCAAGCATTAGGAATCAATTTGATGATCAAGCCAAATGTTAGCATCTGGGTCAGAGATAAATCTAAAGTAATGAAAACTAATTTAGTTGCACAGTTTATAACCTACTTTTATGGTAAGACTCCTTCCCCCACAAAAAAAATTACAAAATAATTTTGGGAATGGGCAGCGTTTTTAAAATAAGTATATAGAATATAAAATACCTTATTAGATTTCTCAGAAGGGTGAGTATAATCAATCTTATTACCAAAGAGGCAATTCCATGACTTCTAACACGTGTCTGATACATAGCAGAAAAGAAAATGCTAGTGGAATTAATAAAAAACACAATCATTAATCAAATAATACTTATCACAGGAAAAAATAATTTAAACAAGCCAGAGTGCTTTTAAAGGTACTTATAAAAAGTATGAAAACTTTTGACATACAAAAAACTTTTTTATTGAGTTGCCCAAAAGAAGGTATAAACCATAATACATATACTTCATTTATATGACCAATACATACAGTATCTATACTTATATTTTTACTTTTATTCATAATACTTAAATTTTGCTAGTATGTACATTTTCTACTTAAAATAGAATTTCAAATAAGAAAAATAGAAATAGTTTAGCAGTGTTTATGGGCTGTGTGAATATCTGCCCTTTAGTAAACATGCAATACTGGTTTTAACTTATTAGATTCTCTAGCTAAATAAAGAAACCTATTTAAAAGTTATTTAATCTCAGCTTTAATATTTTAATATTTTTAAAATGCTATGGCTCCTGACCACTTGTGCAATTTAGCCTCTCTCTTGCCATTCATCCTGAGACATGGGCATTTTGAACTGCTCACCTTTCTCTGCCCTTTGAATATGAGTTTCCCTCCTGACAATTCCTACTCATCTTTCAAGTTCAACTTACTATCTCTGTGAAATTATAACAAAATCACACAGACACTTTCAGTATCCCTTTCTCTAAAATTATATAACTTCGCATTCATATCTGTATTATATTGATTGAATATTAATATTAATTATTGAATATTATAATTGAATATATACTATATATTCAATTCATATTATACTTGATATAGTATATATTGAATAATTGATATAATCAATATATTTAATCCACAGTGAAATCTTTCTAATATATACCTTGGGCCATAACTTAGCTTAATATTGTTATAAACACAATTCTTAAAATAATTCACAATTTGTAAAATAGTATACTGTCCATTAACTGATTCTTAATATAGACTTTCATTATTCATTGTTTCATTTAAAAAATTCATTGAATACGTAAGTATGTACTCATTTAGGCTTTAAGTTTTCTTTTTTAAAAATCTCATATCTCAAATGATTTAGTTTCTTTGTCCACTTTGTATTCTATTATACTCTACAATGAAACACACATAAGTAAAAAAAGTTAATCTGTAACTATGTTTAATTCCAGAGACTTTCCCCAAAGCAATTTTGGGAGGGAGATAAAATTGATTTTCCAGACTTTTAGTTGTGTATAAATAATCATTTTTTTCATATAATCCCCAGCTTAGTGTTTCTTTAATTTCTATATTTTCATTAAGAGTATAGGGCTGTCTTAGTTTATTAAAAAACTTAAAACCCTCTCTGCTTTAGTGGAACAGGTCTGCATTAGTTCATTCTCACACTGCTCATAAACACATACCCGAGACTGGGTAATTTATAAAGGAAAGAGGTTTAATTGACTCACAGTACAGCATGGCTGGGATGGCCTCAGGAAACTTACAACAATCAGGGCAGAAGGGGAAGCAAACATGTCCCTCTTTACATGGTGGCAGCAAGGAGAGATGTGGAGCAAAAGGAGGAAAAGCCCCTTATAATGCCATCAGATCTCCTGAGAACTCACTCTTTATCAGGAGGCGAACAGCAGGAGGGTAACCACCCCCATGGTTCAATTACCTCTCACTGGGTCCCTCCTACAACACCTGATACGTGGGGATTATGAGAACTACAATTCAAGATGAGATTTAGGTGGGACACAGCCAAACCATTTCAAGGACTATTCAGTTTCTAGTTAGTTTTGCTTAAAAGAACTATTTGTCAATAATTTTCTATTGCTGATAGCAATGTTTACAAAATCATTCCTTTCAAACATGGCCCTTTTTTGGACCTACATTACTTACCAAATTTATTTATTTATTTTACTTTATTCTTTTAAATAAACTGCAACTAAAAGAGAACTAAAGTTTTAAAGAGCTAAATATTAGTTTTCTTCTTATTGACTAATTGGCATCAATCATAATAGAATAAGTATATATGTTTTAAGAAAGTATATTACTTAAGTTTATAAACTAGCTACTGGAGGAAAATGATTCTTCATGTGAAAAAGTTGTTTTAAGGAGAATTTTCTTTGAGTGCACAATGTGATTTTTTTTCAGTCAATGTCATTTGGTTTCTATACAGATACTTAGTTAACTGAATTATCCAGAAATGAATACTACCTTCCACTTTTCAATTGCTTAGTCTTCATGGATCAGAATTGAGTTATACCAGAAAAAGGAAAGCAAGAAAAGAAAAAAGGAAGAAGGGAAAAAGGGAAGAAAGAAAGAAACAGAGAAGGATAAAATAAAAGAAAGGGGAGTGGGGAAGGAGAGAGAGAAAATATTTGCAGTTAAAATAAGCTGGGAATTTGGCCTTCTGCACTACCAGGAAAAGAAACAATGATTTCAGTTGAAAATAAAGTGTTGTGGTTGATTACTGACCAGAAAAGCAGAAACTCTCTGACTGTTTAGTCATGTCAACAAAAAGCCATCTTTGACATGCAGAAGAGAAATTAGAGGAGAAAATAAAAGGTCATGCTACAATAGTAAAACAGAGAGGATAAAAAGAAAGTTCCAGAGTTGAGAGGAAATAGCAAGCAACAAATAATTTATCAAATGAAAATAAAGAGAGCTACCAAGAAGTGGTCAAGAATACAATTTTTCTGTATTATGACAATTTTAGTAACTCTTAACATTTTTTGGAATAGAACTGCTGCTACTCTGCCTGTGGTGGAGAACAGAAAAAGAAGACTAAGCAAGGGAGTAGATTAATTTTAGCATTTTATGAAGCCTTTCAGGTGGGCTTGGGGAGCAAAAATTATTGAATACATATTGTATGTTAGACATTGCATAAAATGCTTCTTATACTTAGCTCTTCAAAAATCCCCCTGCCTCTGAATTACTGAAAAAATGAGAAGAGGATAAAATTTAAATATAAATATTATATGTAAATGTAAGCATTGAGTAGGTGTATGTGTGTATTTATACATGCAGAGAGAGAGAGAGTTTAAGTGTATAGACTCAGAAGTCAGACTGCTTGTGTTCATACATAGCTCCACTAATACCGTGAAATTTTGGGCAAATTCACTTATTAATTCAATCATTAATTCAACACTTATTGACCATTGTTACATGCCAGGCACTGTTCTAGATGATCTCTGCCCTCATGAAGCTGATCTTACAGCTGATGGGAGGCCAACAATAAATACTAAACATAAATAAGTAAATCATGTAGCATAATAAAGAATGTTAAATACAACAGAAAAAAACAATAAACTGGGTTAAGAGAGATGAGGAGTGGGATATAGTAAAGAAGACAGATATATGTAGGCTAGTCAGGATAAGCTTCATGGCAAGGGTGATTTGAGAAAAATAATGAGGGAGTGAGTGTTAACCAAGAGAGTAGTAGAGAAAGAACACTCCAGGCTCAGGCACCAGAGGGCAAAAGGCCTAAAATGTGAGAATGTGTGCAGTGCTTGAGAAGTGGGAAGGAGTTATCTGGGCAGCTAGAAGAAAGTTAGCAAGGGGAAAATAACTGGAAATGATCAGGGTGCCAAGGATGGAGCTGGGGTAAATAATAAGGATAAAAGCAGCAAGACCTGTTGGGAAGATAACTGCAGTATCCCTGAAGATGGGAAGTTGGGAAAATAACAGCAGTCCATACCAGGGCAGAAGCAGTGGAGGTGTTGAAAACTGGTCAGATTCTGGATTTATGAGCAACGTCTTCTTAATGTAAGTTACTCACTCCTGAAAGTTAGACTTTCCGCATAAAATGCAATCTCATGATTTTAAAGTATTAAAACCATAATGTATTACCAAACATAATAACTAAAACACAACAGAAAGCTGTATGCAAGTAATAAACGATTATGTCAGGGTGCAAAATGCTTTGTGACAACCAAACAATTAATACAAATGTTGACAAGGGTTTGTTTTGTCAGTAGTTTCACCTGTTGGCACCAGAAAAAAATCTGAGGGTACATTTTCTTTGTTGAGATTCTTTAAAATGCCTCCACATGATTCTGACATTTTCTAAATTGTAATTGGAATGCATTCAAGATTTTCCCACACATTGTTTTGTTAATGTTTGTTTAAAATGTTGTGTTAAAATATTTGTTAACATACTTTGCTAAAGTGTTAAAAAAGGTTTTATTGAATTGGGTTTTGTCAATGTAGATATAATTTTTCCTATGTAATGTTCATGTGAAAACCATTGTTTTGAGAGACATGTACATTCCTCAAGGTCTGGCTTAAAGTCAAGAGGTACTTTTTCTCCAGGAAAGTGTTAACTTATTGCGGGATCTGGCCAGCAGGCTGCAATGCAACAGGGCTCTCTCTTTGTTTGCAGGCGGATTGGCAGGTTGAGAAATAACAGACACACACAAGATAGTGAAAGTTGGGTCCAGGGGGGTAACCACCTTCTGGTCCCATGGTGCCACCAATGCACTGTATATACCAACATTTATTATTAAGTTTGGTGAGGGTGGGGGTAGGTTAGTGAGGGATTTAAAGTCATTTGATTATGAGGTGAGATGGTCATATGGGGATGAAGTAATTCTTTAACATAACATCTGTATGCAGAAGTACAGTATACAGAGATAAGAATTTACAATATAGTGTGTGCATCAGTAATTCCTAATAGAGCCTTAAAACAGAAACACAATCTTTCCATAACCTATGGTTAGCAAGGTATTAATCAGCAGTAACAGTTGCAGCAAAAGCTGGTTACAAACAGTCCATAGGAACAGGATGTGAAGCTAGACAACTGGTTAGACCAGAAATTCTCAGAAGGGAGTCTGCCTTAACACTAAAGAGGCCTAGAAGTGCCATGGCAAGATGAGGGCGTTTATAGCCCTATCTTATCCATATGAACAGGCGCCTCTCATGTGTCCGTTTATAGGCTCTCCACAAGGGTCGCATTCCATTCCCAGAGCTATGAACATCTGCTTTTCTGGGATAGGAATCTTGGTGATGTGAAACCTCCCTGACTGCATGTCCATTCATAGGCTCTCTGCAGGGGGAAGCACATCATGTGCTATTGGCTCATTCTGGCTATCCAGCCTGGCATTGTCTTTACACAATCCTGCATGCAATTTTGTATTTACAATAATCAGGAGCATTTCATCTTTTATTCCATAGCAATAGTTTCAGGGGGTCTCCCTACATTAACTAAGATGTTCTGCAGGTTATACCTGTATTTTGAGGATCCTGCCAACAGGATTTCCTGATGGATTGGGGTTGGAATGAGAGAGAAATACAAGAGTTAGGAATGACTCTAAGATATTTGGCCTAAGAAAACAGGACCAGTAGAATTGCCATCATATGAGATGGGGAAGGTTGTGGGATGAAGCATATTTGAGTGGGGGTACACTTCAAGATTTCTATTTTGGATTCATTGTGTTAGAAATACCTACTAATATCTAATAGAGATGCAAAGTACATGAATATTTTAGTATGGAACATAGAAAAAACATTTTGAGTTAGGGATATTAATTTGATACTCTGGTATATACTTAGCATTTAAAATTTTTGGTGATCAGAAAACCAAGAATGAAATATAGAAAAGAAAAGAACTAAACCCTGAGCATGCTAACATTCAACTGCCTGCACAAGAAAAGGAACCATGAAAGGAGGCTCTGGTAGGCAAAACAATGTCTCTGAGCCTTCATCTATTTTCTGCTGCTATAGCAGAATATCACAGACTGGGTATTTTATAAAGAAAAGAAGTGTATTTCTTATAGTTCTAGGGGCTGGGAAGTCTAAGATCAAGGGGACACATCTGGTAAGCTGCATCATAATGTGGCATGACTTGAGGCATGATAAGACAGAAGGAGAATACAAGCCAAATGTCTCTTCCTCTTTTTATAAAGCCTCTAATCTCATCATGGGGGCCTCACCCTTATGACCTCATCTAACTCTATTACCTCCCAAAGGCCCCATCTTCAAATACCATCAACATATGAATTTGAAGATTAAGTTTCCAACACATGAACTTTGGGGAGGCATTCAAAACATAGCACTCCTCCCAAATGTCTACATGCTAACCTCAAGAACCTGTGGCTGTGACATGACACAATATAAAGTGGAATTAATGTTACAGATGGATTTATGGTTATCAACCACTGACTTTAAAATCAGGAGGCTATACTGGACTAGCCAGGGAGTTCCAAAAAGTCTAAGCAGGAGGCAGAAGAGTCAGTGTGACAGTGATACACAGTGGGAGGGCTTGACCAGCCATTACTGGCTTCAAAGATGGAAGGGAGCCATAAGCCAAGCATTGTGGGTAGCCTGTAAAAATGAGATAACAATGCCTACCTCTATTGTGGGGTTTTTCAGTCTGGATTTTATATTGGAAGCATCTTGGAAATTTTAAAAGTAACTCATGCCACCATACCACCAAGCCCAGTGTTCTGAGATTGTTGTTTTTCTTACTTATTAAGAATCTCTTCATAATTCTAATGTGCAACTAGGATTTGGAGGAGATTGCTCTACAGGGGTGCTATGAGAATTACCTGAGCAAATCTACCTAAGGTACTTAGAAAACACTCACTAAGTGCTCAATTCATATTGGTCTATTTTAATCATCATTATGTTACAGTTGAGTAAATTAAACTTGGAGAGATAAAGAAACTTGGCTAAGACCATAACTGATAATTGGCAGCATCAGATCTAACTTCAAATGTATTTATTCCAATAACTGAATCAGCATACAGAAACAGAAGAAAGATAATAAAAAATATTTTCTTTTCAAATAAAAGTTTTATTAATAGTCTGTTATTAAACAGTAAAAATGTTATTTGCATACTTTCTAGTTTTCTTTTAAAATTTCAATATTTCACAATTAAGATTTAAAATAAGTTCAAATATACGGAGACAGCTTCTGCAAAGTCCATTTTACCCCATCTCCCTGAAAGTGTTGTGTTATCAGATTGTATGTTTCGAAAATTACTTTCCCAAAAGGGAATTATGGTGGAAGTGAACCAACTCAAATACCAGCACTGCCATTTACTAGCTGGTGGATGTACATCCTTAATAATGAACATAAAATAATAACAATAGCTAAAATGTATTGGAAACTTGCAGAGAACTTCATGTGTGATAACTTAATCTTCTCAACAGTCCTAAGAATTAGGTATTTTTATTGCTCCATTTTTTTCAGATGTGAACCACTCTGAACCAGTCACCTTGTCTGTAAAATGCAGAGAAACACATAATACCACAGAAACATTGCAGATTGAAAGATAATATGGTGTTTTTAATAAAACAAACCAGAGTCTGTGGCTATTTAGGGGACCAAAAGCTGCAAGAAAGATGCTTAAAATGACACTTGCTAGTGGTGAAGGAGAGTTAATTTAATCTGAACGTGTGGGGGAAAAAAAACTTCCAGCAAAAGGAAATATTTTCCTAGAAACAAGTTTACTTTGCCTTTCAGAACTCACTGTTTGTATCTGAACATCCAGAGGAAGTTTGCGCTTCAAGTAGAAAGTAGGCCAAGGCAGCAACAACTACTAGATGTGGCCATGTTTCCATGAATGCAGAAAAAAAGGGCACTGGAGTTGGAGCTAATGGCAGAGGGTGAAGGTGGCTCCATGGAGGAAAAGGATGATGGCAGTTGACGCTGACATGAACCTGAAGGGGGATTTCTGGTCACTTTTCAAAGTTAAGCATTAAAAAAAGTTTTTTTCTGGATTTGGTCCTTGAAAAGCATTAACTTCCTCTCACTAATGATGGGCCCAGCGTGGGTTGGGAGAATATTTTATTTTATTTTATTTTATTTTATTTTTTTATTTTTTATTTTTTATTATACTTTTAAGTTTTAGGGTACATGTGCACATTGTGCACGTTAGTTACATATGTATACATGTGACATGCTGGTGCGCTGCACCCACTAACTCGTCATCTAGCATTAGGTGTATCTCCCGATGCTATCCCTCCCCCCTCCCACCACCCCACAACAGTCCCCAGAGTGTGATATTCCCCTTCCTGTGTCCATGTGACCTCATTGTTCAATTCCCACGTATGAGTGAGAATATGTGGTGTTTGGTTTTTTGTTCTTGCAATAGTTTACTGAGAATGATGATTTCCAATTTCATCCATGTCCCTACAAAGGACATGAACTCATCATTTTTTATGGCTGCATAGTATTCCATGGTGTATATGTGCCACATTTTCTTAATCCAGTCTATCATTGTTGGACATTTGGGTTGGTTCCAAGTCTTTGCTATTGTGAATAATGCCGCAATAAACATACGTGTGCATGTGTCTTTATAGCAGCATGATTTATAGTCCTTTGGGTATATACCCAGTAATGGGATGGCTGGGTCAAATGGTATTTCCAGTTCTAGATCCCTGAGGAATCGCCACACTGACTTCCACAATGGTTGAACTAGTTTACAGTCCCACCAACAGTGTAAAACTGTTCCTATTTCTCCACATCCTCTCCAGCACCTGTTGTTTCCTGACTTTTTAATGATTGCCATTCTAACTGGTGTGAGATGGTAGCTCACTGTGGTTTTGATTTGCATTTCTCTGATGGCCAGTGATGATGAGCATTTTTTCATGTGTTTTTTGGCTGCATAAATGTCTTCTTTTGAGAAGTGTCTGTTCATATCCTTCGCCCACTTTTTGATGGGGTTGTTTGTTTTTTTCTTGTAAATTTGTTTGAGTTCATTGTAGATTCTGGATATTAGCCCTTTGTCAGATGAGTAGGTTGCGAAAATGTTCTCCCATTTTGTAGGTTGCCTGTTCACTCTGATGGTAGTTTCTTTTGCTGTGCAGAAGCTCTTTAGTTTAATTAGATCCCATTTGTCAATTTTGGCTTTTGTTGCCATTGCTTTTGGTGTTTTAGACATGAAGTCCTTGCCCATGCCTATGTCCTGAATGGTAATGCCTAGGTTTTCTTCTAGGGTTTTTATGGTTTTAGGTCTAACGTTTAAGTCTTTAATCCATCTTGAACTGATTTTTGTATAAGGTGTAAGGAAGGGATCCAGTTTCAGCTTTCTACATATGGCTAGCCAGTTTTCCCAGCACCATTTATTAAATAGGGAATCCTTTCCCCATTGCTTGTTTTTGTCAGGTTTGTCAAAGATCAGATAGTTGTAGATATGCGGCGTTATTTCTGAGGGCTCTGTTCTGTTCCATTGATCTATATCTCTGTTTTGGTACCAGTACCATGCTGTTTTGGTTACTGTAGCTTTGTAGTATAGTTTGAAGTCAGGTGTGTGATGCCTCCAGCTTTGTTCTTTTGGCTTAGGATTGACTTGGCGATGCGGGCTCTTTTTTTGCATATAAACAGAGCCAAAGACAAAAACCACATGATTATCTCAATAGATGCAGAAAAAGCCTTTGACAAAATTCAACAACGCTTCATGCTAAAAACTCTCAATCAATTAGGTATTGATGGGACGTATTTCAAAATAATAAGAGCTATCTATGACAAACCCACAGCCAATATCATACTGAATGGGCAAAAACTGGAAGCATTCCCTTTGAAAACTGGCACAAGACAGGGATGCCCTCTCTCACCACTCCTACTCAACATAGTGTTGGAAGCTCTGGCCAGGGCAATTAGGCAGGAGAAGGAAATAAAGGGTATTCAATTAGGAAAAGAGGAAGTCAAATTGTCCCTGTTTGCAGACGACGTGATTGTACATCTAGAAAACCCCATCTCAGCCCAAAATCTCCTTAAGCTGATAAGCAACTTCAGCAAAGTCTCAGGATACAAAATCAATGGACAAAAATCACAAGCATTCTTATACACCAACAACAAACAGAGAGCCAAATCATGAGTGAACTCCCATTCACAATTGCTTCAAAGAGAATAAAATACCTAGGAATCCAACTTACAAGGGATGTGAAGGACCTCTTCAAGGAGAACTACAAACCACTGCTCAAGGAAATAAAAGAGGATACAAACAAATGGAAGAACATTCCATGCTCATGGGTAGGAAGAATCAATATCGTGAAAATGGCCATACTGCCCAAGGTAATTTACAGATTCAACGCCATCCCCATCAAGCTACCAATGACTTTCTTCACAGAATTGGAAAAAACTACTTTAAAGTTCATATGGGAGAATATTTTAATAGTGCTTTGTAATCCTGGAAAACCTGCGACTGTTACAGTCTGAATATAGAAGCAAGTATTTCCCAAAGATTCATACACCAATATACAAACAAAGGGCAATGATAGTAGCTGATATGAAAAAGCTTTTACAGTCTGAGTTGTCCGAGAGTTCTCAGTTTCAATGTTCATCCTATATCCTTACTATTTATTTTGTGTGTTGTTACTTTTGATAAATTTAACCCACAAATACAACTTTTTATAAGAGTGCATGTATTAGTCCATTTTCACGCTGCTGATAAAGACATACCCAAGGCTGAGCAATTTACAAAAGAAAGAGGTTTAATTGGACTTGCAGTTCCACATGGCTGGGAAAGCCTCACAGTCGTGTCAGAAGGCAAGGAGGAGCAAGTCAGATCTTACATGGATGGTGGCAGGTAAAAAAAAACGAGAGAGAGCTTGTGCAGAGGAATGCCTCTTTTTAAAACCATCAGATCTTGTGAGACTTATTCACTATCACAAAAACAGCACAAGAAAGACTTGCCCCCGTTATTCAATTACCTCCCACCAGGTCCCTCCCAAAACATGTGGGAATTCAAGATGAGATTTGGGTGGGGACACAGCCAAACCATATCACTGCGTATACCTCATTTCAAATAAAAAATGTTGAAAGCAGAAATATGCTGTCTGACATTATGCCACAAAGTAATTATACAGAAAATATTTCTGTAAAATAATATGGAGATGGATGTTAAATAATATGCATATTAAGGAGCTTTTATTATGATTAGAGATGATGCAGACAAAGCATGTAACAGTCATTTACATTTTTATAGCACCTAAGGGATACAGTTGTTAATATTATTAGATGGAAAGTGTCATTTCAAGTACAGCAGAATTGATAATGGCCAAAATTTGTCTTGTAAGTATAATAAAACCATAAAGTCCAATTTCCCAAAAAAATAAACACAAATAACAAAAAAAAATCTTCCTTGAGAAAGATCATATCTGGAAATAAATTGAACAAGAAATTCTATGCCAAAACATCAAAGCAGTACTTGTCCTTATGTTAGGCACCTCTAACCTTCTAGGCACATCTTTAATGGGTCCTCCACACAGTCTCATGTGTTTATCAATGCCTTTTCCATTGAAATCTTACTTATAAAAACTGACACGATGCAAGTCTGTTTAGGCTCCATCAGAGTAAATCTAGTATGCAAAGTACCAACATCCTTACTTGAGTTATAAATTTATCCTCATTTGCCAAGTGCAAAACTATTGAAATATACATTCTCTATCATGCATGTAAATATTCTTCCAACATTTGTATAAAAACGTTTGACAGTTTAAAATTTTTATGTCCCTTTTTTACTTTAGACACCATATTCAGTGTTATTCAGTTCAGATATAAATTGTGAATAAAGTGTTAAAATTCACTCTATGCATTTACAAAGTCATAACACCCTTTCCCCATGCTATCATGTTTCCAGTCACAGCAGTTACTGTGATTGCTCATGCAAAAGCCTGCACCTGTGACTACTTACAAAAATCATACATTGGTATGTACTATGAATCAGAATATTCATGAGCTATGCATGATATTTTTTTTAAAACTAATGCAAAACTGAGAGGCTGTAGAAAAAGCCCACTACTTGCCTGTAATAGCCTGTCAAAGAAACACACAATTTGGCCTTTCCTTATCTCCTATAGGTATCATTTTTAGGATGTGATGCTTTTGTCAAAGATAAGATAGCAAGTTTATATTCACACTGTCATCTCTCATCAGTATTCTGCAGGATTTTTTTCACCTTAGAAGAATCACTGTCACTTTTCGCATTTTAGCACCCAGCCATCAACTTTTTCATATATGCAATCACATCAGGAACTTCTTCATCTGCATGTGTCAAAAGGAAAATGTAAAAGATGTATATTTCATGACATAATAACATTGTACAAATTTCATAATGGAATTCTGCAACCTTTGGAGAAATTTTTTATCAGACTGATCCAATAGCTGGGTCTTTCCCATATGCGAGTATGCTGCTTTATTGTTCATTTCCAACTTAATTTTTTGTCAAATTATCCCTTTCCATGGCATGTCTTTATCAGAAGTTACCTTATAAGGTGTCTTTATTTCTTTACCTCTGCATTTAGTTAAAACTGTAATTTTTATGTTGAATATTAAAAGATAAAAGGGAATTCAAAATTATTCAAAGTATAACCTATTTAACCTAATATAAAATTCCAGTTTGAACAAAAAGTGTATTATTTTTACATGAAGAACATGGCTTCAGAAAATCTTAGCTGATCTGATCTATCTTATCAGACCTAGAATCTGATCATCAAGACTGCTATGGACTGTTGCAGACGGTGTATACTTAATAACCACTAAAGGACAAGATAAACCTGGCATATAAACCAGATGCCTGGCCTCTAGAGCCAAGCATCATAGGATTTTTGTGAATGTTGAAATTATGCCCATCAAGTTCCCAACCCAAAGGTTGGCATATAAGACGTGTATTTTTATTCGTTTCCTATTGTTGCTGTAAAAAATTACCATAAAATCAGTGTTTTAAGACTACGTAAATTTATTCTTTTACAGTTCTAGAGGTTGGAAGTTCAAATCAGTTTCACTGGATAAAGTCAAGTTGTCAGTAGGGTAGTTCCTTCTGTAAAGGAATTTGTCTTTTTTTCTTGCCTTTTCTGGCCTTTAGAGCTACAGGCCTCACAGTCCACTGGTTCATGGTGCCCTCCTCCATCTTCAAAGCTAGCAGCAAGCTTCTTCAAATCTCTCTCTGCCTCCATAATTACATCATTTTATATCTCTCTGAGCTCCTGACTCCCTCTTATAAGATCCCTTTTGATCTCCTCAGACCCCCCTAAATAATCCAGGATAATCTTCCCACTTCAAGATTCTTAATCACATCTGCAAAGTCCTTTTTGCCATATGAAGTAATATATTCACACATTACGGGGATTAGAACATGGACATCTTAGGGGGCCACTTTTCAGCCTACATCAGTGGTCGATAAATAACATTTATTATTTCCAGCAATAGTAAATAAATTGAATGGTCAGGTGGTGGTGGTAGTAGTAGGAGGGGGAGGAGGAGGAGGATGAGGAATAGGAGGAGGAAAAAAGTTATAGCTGAAGACCCTGTATAATTTTTTTTTTAATGTTGCCTCTCTGCACAAATCTTTCAGATCAGCCTACGATGGGAAACAGATTTCTCAGCTTCATTTCAATCCTTTGATTTTAGTATGTCTTGGACAGCTAGTATATTAATCCATCAAGTTTCAACATGATTTAATAAAGAGATAATGTAAATAAGAGTGATAAATGCTTCCTCTTTATATCACTGGTGCCCAGTAAATCCTTGAAGTAATGATGCACGAAATGAGTGCATTTTTATGGGAAAGAGGAAGAAATGAAAATGGAAAGATACATATTATAATGTGTTATCTTAAGAGATAGGATACATAAGAACAAGTAGGAAGAGGAGGAGAAAAAGGAAGGAGGGAAAAGAGGCTATTTACTGGCTTACAATGTCTAGGCTCTCTTTTTAACACATTGATTCTCTTAATAATCACAGCTTTATAAAGTAGGTACTATTATTCCAATTTTACAAATAAAGGAACTGAAACAATGAGCCATATTGTTTTGGACCTGGTATATACTCCAGGTGCCTAATGAGCAGTAAGCCCCAATAGAAACCTGTGGCTTGTCAAGGGGCAGCATTTCTCTCTAAACTCTAAACTCCTGCAGCACACAAAGGGGAGTTGTCACTGCCTGTGGGGAGTAAGAGAGAGAAGATGCAATCAGTTTTTTAGTGTTGGGACCTCACTTACCTTTCTAAATTTGATGATTTCACTAAGTTCCTTTTATCTGAGATGGGATGGGAGAGAGGAAGGAACATAAAAACTGAAATATTCTAGTGAATATTTCAGTTGTTTATTTGATTAAAATTACTTCTTTTTTTAGGTCTGAAAGTTAATAAATGTGCTTTATAGGAAATTTGTAAAATGTGGAAATGTGCAAAATAAAAAAAATAATCTTCTTTTTAAATATAGAATTAAGAAGCTTGGTATCCTGATTATTTTCTGAAGATATAAGTTATCATTGGTGAAATTTAAATAGAAGTGGGTCTGAAGGCAGGCATTCAGTAGTCTTTATAATTTGAAATTTGGGAAGATCACGGTACTCTGAGAATTTGATGAAAACTAGAAGAATGCACTCTAATGCAATATAATAATTTCAGGGGTTTTTATTTACAACCTTTCTCATATTCATCTGAGGCTAAAAACCTTTACTCTAGATAATTAAAATCATCTCCACCAGACTCTGCAATGGAAACCTGGAACACTGCCATCACTTGGCGTTATTATTTTCACAACAGAACACCAAATGGTCTTATTTTAATAGAAAAAGATTTTCAATGTTCCCAATTATACTATTTTAGAAGAATATAGCTTTTTGTTAAATGTGGATTTTATATGCTCATCTCTATGAGAAAGTTATGAAAAATGAAGTAGAATGCTAAGAAAGAAGTAGTTAAATTTGAGGATTACATTAGATTGCTTTAGTAGTTTGTTTAAAAAGTGGTGTTTTCTTATTTTAATGTAATGTATTCTCATTATGGCAAATATGGAAAGTATAAAAAGTGCAAAGAAGGAAAAATTAAACACACTCTAACAAATTAATAATAAACTTTATTATAAATTATTTTGCCTTCTCTTTTTATATGTAAATAATTGAAATTATATTATACATAATTTTTGTTATGCATTTTAAATTAAATATATACCATCAGCATTTCTTCATGTCATTAAATATTCTCTGAAGTCATTTTTAATAATATTGTTTAATATAAAAGTATTATGATTTATTTAAACAATGTCAATTCATTTGTACCCTATATTACACATATGTGTACTGTGTTTCTATTTACAGATAAAGATTCACGTAGGTCTCTAGAAATGGAATTACACCAACACTCTATTAGAGAATCCACCTATTGTGTCCTCTTATAAAATGTTTAGTTTTCAATTTTGTTTTTACCTGTATGTCTAGATGAAATAAAAGTTAAAGAATCTTCCTTTGAACCAAGACACACAGTTCCCTTCCCCTGAATTATTTAGTAGAAACAAATTCTACTGATCTTTCTAGGAATTTCCATTTTGTATATACTTATTGGGATAGTATTTTCCCTTCTACCTGCCTTTCCTTTCTTCCTCCTTTGACTCCTCCTTTCTTTGTTCCAACTAGATAAAAAGAGATAATATTTAATCTTTCATGCCTTACCATTTGCAATTAATATATCATGAAGTTCTTTTCAACTCTGAACAAATAAATCAACTTCTTTTGTTTTCATGACTGCTGATTGCTAAATTTATAAGCTACCATGATTTATAGAATTAATTTCAATTTTAGGCCTTAAAGTTGTTTAAAATCTTGCTTTGTTACGTAACTATAAATTAACATCTTTGTATATGTGTCTTTGTACAAATATATAAATGTATCTGCAGGTTAAATTACAACTGTTCTAGCAAAAGGCAAGATTTTGATTCATGTTATACAGTATGCCTCCAAAAAATGTGCATCAATTTATATTTCTACTAACAGTATGTGAGAGTTCATACTTCTCCAGGTCAATACTGAATTAATTTATTGAAATTGTCTTTGAATAAGAACCTTGACTGGTCTTTTGTATTGCTATAGGTCACTCATTTTTTTCTGATTTTATTTTCATATTTTTATTGGCTAGTTTTTTCCTTACTGATTTATCAGAGCTCAATGTATAGCAAAAAAGTTATAAACTACAACAAAACATCCCTTTATAATGTGTATCACAAAGTATTTTAAGCTTTACTTGTTTGGGTGTTTTTTATGGCAATTTTTGTTTTTATTGTTGCTGCTTTTATTTCAGTTTCATGTTATCAGTTTTATCATTATTCTTGTCTATGGCTTACATCAGTTGATTCTTTCTTGAAAATAAAGAGATATGCTGGATTACATTTATTGATTTGCGTATATTGAACCAGCCTTGCATCTCAGGGATGAAGCCCACTTGATCATGGTGGATAAGCTTTTTGATGTGCTGCTGGATTCGGTTTGCCAGTATTTTATTGAGGATTTTTGCATCAATGTTCATCAAGGATATTGATCTAAAATTCTCTTTTTTGGTTGTGTCTCTGCCTGGCTTTGGTATCAGGATGATGCTGGCCTCATAAAATGAGTTAGGGAGGATTCCCTGTTTTTCTATTGATTGGAATAGTTTCAGAAGGAATGGTACCAGTTCCTCCTTGTACCTCTGGTAGAATTCGGCTGTGAATCCGTCTGGTCCTGGACTCTTTTTGGTTGGTAAGCTATTGATTATTGCCACAATTTCAGATCCTGTTATTGGTCTATTCAGAGATTCAACTTCTTCCTGGTTTAGTCTTGGGAGAGTGTATGTGTTGAGGAATTTATCGATTTCTTCTAGATTTTGTAGTTTATTTGCGTAGAGGTGTTTGTAGTATTCTCTGATGGTAGTTTGTATTTCTGTGGGAATGGTGGTGATATCCCCTTTATCATTTTTTATTGCGTCCATTTGATTCTTCTCTCTTTTTTTCTTTATTAGTCTTGCTAGCGGTCTATCAATTTTGTAGATCCTTTCAAAAAACCAGCTCCTGGATTCATTAATTTTTTGAAGGGTTTTTTGTGTCTCTATTTCCTTCAGTTCTGCTCTGATTTTAGTTATTTCTTGCCTTCTGCTAGCTTTTGAATGTGTTTGCTCTTGCTTTTCTAGTTATTTTAATTGTGATGTTAGGATGTCAATTTTGGATCTTTCCTGCTTTCTCTTGTGGGCATTTAGTGCTATAAATTTCCCTCTACACACTGCTTTGAATGTGTCCCAGAGATTCTGGTATGTTGTGTCTTTGTTCTCGTTGGTTTCACAGAACATCTTTATTTCTGCCTTCATTTCCTTATGTACCCAGTAGTCATTCAGGAGCAGGTTGTTCTGTTTCCATGTCGTTGAGCGGTTTTGAGTGAGTTTCTTAATCCTGAGTTCTAGTTTGATTGCACTGTGGTCTGAGAGATAGTCTGTTATAATTTCTGTTCTTTTACATTTGCTGAGGAGAGCTTTACTTCCAACTATGTGGTCAATTTTGGAATAGGTATGGTGTGGTGCTGAAAAAGATGTATATTCTGTTGATTTGGGGTGGAGAGTTCTGTAGATGTCTATTTGGTCTGCTTGGTGCAGAGCAGAGTTCAATTCCTGGGTATCCTTGTTAACTTTCTGTCTCATTGATCTGTCTAATGTTGACAGTGGGGTGTTAAAGTCTCCCATTATTAATGTGTGGGATCTACAAAGAGTCTAAGTCTCTTTGTAGGTCACTCAGGACTTGCTTTATGAATCTGGGTGCTCCGGTATTGGGTGCATATATATTTAGGATAGTTAGCTCTTCTTGTTGAATTGATCCCTTTACCATTATGTAATGGCCTTCCTTGTCTCTTTTGATCTTTGTTGGTTTAAAGTCTGTTTTATCAGAGACTAGGATTGCAATCCCTGCTTTTTTTTGTTTTCCATTTGCTTGGTAGATCTTCTTCCATCCTTTTATTTTGAGCCTATGTGTGTCTCTGCACAGGAGATGGGTTTCCTGAATACAGCACACTGATGGGTCTTGACTCTTTATCCAATTTTCCAGTCTGTGTCTTTTAATTGGAGCATTTAGTCCATTTACATTTAAAGTTAATATTGTTATGTGTGAATTTGATCCTGTCATTATGATGTTGGCTGGTTATTTTGCTCATTAGTTGATGCAGTTTCTTCCTAGTCTCAATGGTCTTTACATTTTGGCATGATTTTGCAGCGGCTGGTACCGGTTGTTCCTTTCCATGTTTAGTGCTTCCTTCAGGAGCTCTTTTAGGGCAGGCCTCGTGGTGACAAAATCTCTCAGCATTTGCTTGTCTGTAAAGTATTTTATTTCTCCTTCACTTATGAAGCTTAGTTTGGCTGGATATGAAATTCTGGGTTGAAAATTCTGGCTAGCCATATGTAGAAAGCTGAAACTGGATCCCTTCCTTACACTTTATACAAAAATCAATTCAAGATGGATTAAAGACTTAAACGTTAGACCTAAAACCATAAAAACCCTAGAAGATAACCTAGCCATTACCATTCAGGACATAGGCATGGGCAAGGACTTCATGTCTAAAACACCAAAAGCAATGGCAACAAAAGCCAAAATTGACAAATGGGATCTAATTAAACTAAAGAGCTTCTGCACAGCAAAAGAAACTACCATCAGAGTGAACAGGCAACCTACAAAATGGGAGAACATTTTTGCAACCTACTCATCTGACAAAGGGCTAATATCCAGAATCTACAATGAACTCAAACAAATTTACAAGAAAAAAACAAACAACCCCATCAAAAAGTGGGCGAAGGATATGAACAGACACTTCTCAAAAGAAGACATTTATGCAGCCAAAAAACACATGAAAAAATGCTCACCATCACTGGCCATCAGAGAAATGAAAATCAAAACCACAATAAGCTACCGCCTTACACCAGTTAGAATGGCAATCATTAAAAAGTCAGGAAACAACAGGTGCTGGAGAGGATGTGGAGAAATAGGAACAGTTTTACACAGTTGGTGGGACTGTAAACTAGTTCAACCCTTTTGGAAGTTGTTGTGGCGATTCCTCAGGGATCTAGAACTAGAAATGACATTTGACCCAGCCATCCCATTACTGGGTATATACCCAAAGGACTATAAATCATGCTGCTATAAAGACACATGCACATGTATGTTTATTGTGGCACTATTCACAATAGCAAAGACTTGGAACCAACCCAAATGTCCAACAATGATAGACTGGATTAAGAAAATGTGGCACATATACACCATGGAATACTATGCAGCCATAAAAAATGATGAGTTCATGTCCTTTGTAGGGACATGGATGAAATTGGAAATCATCATTCTCAGTAAACTATCGCAAGAACAAAAAACCAAACACTGCATATTCTCACTCATAGGTGGGAACTGAACAATGAGAACACATGGACACAGGAAGGGGAACATCACACTCTGGTGACTGTTGTGGGGGGGGAAGGGGGGAGGGATAGCATTGGGAGTTATACCTAATGCTAGAGGACGAGTTAGTGGGTGCAGCGCACCAGCATGGCACACATATACATATGTAACTAACCTGCACATTGTGCACACGTACCCTAAAACTTAAAGTATAATAATAATAAAAAATAAATAAATAAATAAATAAAAGAAAATAAAGAGATAAAGAATTATAATGAAGCACTGAACATATACTGCTGAGTTATGAAATAAAACAGAAGCCATTTCCTGGAACATTGCATAGTAGGAAATTCAATGTATCAATTTGAAGCTAGGCACATGTTTAATCAAAAACTAACAGCAAAGGCTAATTTTTTCTACCTCAGCTCCCTGGCCATAAGGTCTCTACACTGTTCAATAGATTCTTGGACTAATTGGCATCAGCTCCTTCTCAAAGTTTTAACTTAAGTTACTTCATTTTTGAAGCCTGTGGACCTTCCCTTTGTGTTTCAAGTTTGGCTACATTTTTAAGAGTTTTGTTTTAAGTTTCAGTATGTTTCATCTATGAGCATGTGTGATGGAGACGTATGAGGTAACTTGATAAATATATGTTAAATTTAGTTAACATATATACCAAAATATTCTGATTTTCAAAAATAGGCATATGAGAAGTAGAATAATTGGTTTGTTAATTTATAAAAACTCCAAGTATTTTTATGTAAATTTTGAAGTTGAAAGCCAAGTATTTTTAGTTAGGATTTGGTGAAGACAACAAAACTATAAGAAGAATAATTAAACAGACATAATGGAATTATAACTCCTTTAGTTAATAGTTACAATAGTTACAATATATGACTACATAAAAGCTCAATAAAGACAATTATCTGGGATAAATGATATTCCAAGCTTATGCCTAGGCTACATGACCCAATTTACCCACAATGTGTAAATATTTGAAGATGATCAATTAACTGAAAAACTATAATGAAACTTAATGCTCCTTCCCTAACCCCAGATACTCTTCTATCCTCAGCTGAAAAGACCCATTTGAAATCACCCCATAAATATGATTTTCCTAAGCTCACGGTTCATGGAAAACTCCCATTATAAGTCTCATTGAAGAGTAAATCAAAATAAAACAGAAAACATTTCAGGCCACACACAGAAATAAACTACCAAAATAGGGGAATTAGTAATGCAACAATGGAACCACATACACCAGAAAAATGTGATAAAGATTATAAAAGTAAATATGCTTAAAATGTCCAAAGTAATTGCAAAAATAAGAGGACAATATTTTTAAAGCAAGCAAAGTTCTAAAACAACAGTATAATAAATATTCAAATAAGAACAGAAGCCAATAAAACAGATACACAATGTGTCAATAATACACTAAATTTAGACAATGAGATAAAGACAAATGATTAATTAGAAGCTGAACAATCCTTTACCGTCCCTCTTCCCCTCTTCAATTATTATTATTATTATTTTTTGAGACAGGGTCTCTGTTACCCAGGCTGGAGTTCAGTGGTGTGACCATAGCTCACTGCAGCTTAGAACATCTGAGCCAAAGCCATCCTCCTGTATCAGCCTGATCAGCAGCTAGGACTACAGGTGCATGCCACTATGCCTGCATAATTTTTTTGTTTCAATTTTTTTAGAGATAGGATCTTGCTGTGTTGCCCAGGATGGTCTCAAACTCTTGGCTCCAAGCAAGCCTCCCACCTCAGCCTCCCAAAGTGCTGAAATTACAGGCATGAGCCACTGCACCCAGCCTCTTGCAATGATGTTTGAGCCCACGTATACAGTCACGATGTGGGGATTGCTGGCCAAGGGAGCTGCCACACCAGAAACATTTACTTTGTACTTTGCATGAGTGAGAAATGTCTTTTGTGTATGTAAAGAAATTAATATTTTACAAATAGCATCTGACATTAGTTACTATTAATGTATGAGAAATCATAATCAGATGATGAAGAACAGGACCAGACCACCAGTTGGATGAGAATGGGGCAGAGGAAAGAGTCAGAGGTGACTCTGGATTTTCTGGTAATATGACTATGAAGGATATCCTAACTAGTGTGATACCCAGAAATCATTGCCTTTTACTAGGTTAGAGAATATAAGAAAATTAGATTTTAAGGTAGTGGTGCCAGACATGTTCAATTGTAAATATAATGTGATTATAGTTCTTATGGGAAAGCCAAGAGACAGTTAACAATACTGATCTGATTACAGGACAAAGCTATGCTTCAGGACTTTTAATCTGACAGCAGTACTATCTGAAAGATATCATTGACTAGAGATGGGCGACTAAATTGGAGGTGGAGGGCAATAAAACAGTTTAAGCAAGACATATGAAGGCATAAACCAGTGTGTGGCACTTAAAATAAAGAAAATATGAGTGGGCATTTTATAATGCAGACTTCTAGGCTTTTCAATTTATAGATTGTGAGTGGCAAGAAATTGAGAAAAAAATTAACTTCATAGACTGTAGGGCTATAGGTCAAAGACAATATTGAGGCATTGAGCTCAAGTGACAAAGAAGCTGGTGCCACCATTCACAAAAAAGGGAAATGAAGATACTGGAACAATTATTAGTAGACAGGTATGATTAAGTCATCAGCGAAAGATTGACGTGGAGATGCCTATCAGTATGTGTGGAACAGGATTTCAGAAAACGGCCGATTTCACAATTAAGAGATGTGAGTGTCCAAATAGATGCAATAATTGTGCAATAGCAGAAGGTATTTAATATATCCAAAATATAGTATAGACAGAGTAAAGGATGTAGGACAGGAGAAAAAAGACCAGATTACGAGGAACATACCTGATAGAAAAGATAATAAACATGATATGACAGTCACTGTGAGAAAAATACAGTAACCAACACTGTGTGACAGTCACTGTTCTGAACACTATGCATACATTAATTCATTTAATTCTCCACTCAAATATAAGAGGTAGGTGTTATTATTAGCTTCACTGCACAGAATAAGAAGCAGAGAACTTTAAGCAACTTCCTTAGGGTAACACCGCTAGTAAAACCTGGATCTAGGATTTGAACTCAGGCTTTTCACTTCAAGAATCTGATCTCTTAAATCATTGAGCAATGGTTGCTCTTTTAAAGTAAGGGAAAGGAGAGGGGAATACAATGCCAAAGACATTGCAGTGAGCCTTTCAAAAAGTAGTGGATTGCAAAATAATCTACAAGGCAGATAACTCAAGAGGCATGCAGAGTAAAACAACAACTATAATGTTGGAGAGTTATGAGAAAAATTTATTTCTGTGGTCAAGGAAGATGCTAAAATGAAGAGGGGGTGCAGAATGAACATTTTACAAGTAAGCACTCAAGAGGTAAAGTCTTTTGAGTGTAGAAACTCAAAATATTGGGACAGCCACATAAAAACGGTCCCCTGGCAGAACCTCTGACCAACCTGTGCACTGGGAGGAATGCACACTGGGGTGGAACCTTGGGAAGTTTGTGCCATTTGCAGGGGGCAGGAGCCTGGCCCCTCTGGTTTCGGGTGATACCTGGGATTCAATCTGTGAGGCAAGAAGCCTACTAGCACGACTCTCACTTTACTGAGAGTTCCTGTTTTCCCTTTTTTCGTTTTCACCCAATAAACCCTGCCCTTCTCAACCTTCAAAGTGTCTGTGAGCCTAATTTTTCATGGTTGTGTGACAAGGACCCCATTTTTAGCTGAACTAAGCAGAAAGTCCTACAACAATATTATGCACTGGAAAATGGCAGGAAAAAAATGGTGGCTTTTGTGGCAGAATAGCTCAGAGAAGAAAATTTGGGAAGCAATTAAGATATGTGTTTAATAAATGAACAGATGAAACAATTTCTTAGGAATTTACTTAGCTCATTTGATTCTCACAACAAACTCATGAGATCAGGGCTATTATTAATTCTACTTTAAATATGAGGGAAATGAACTTTAAAAGAAGTTGCTAGTCATCAGCTTCTCAGCTACTAAGAGATGCAGCAGGTATTCAACACCAGCTACTAACTCCAATCTTGAGCTTTCCCTTACTAAAAGCTTAGTTAATATAATAAGCTGAAACCTGTATCAAATTATTAAGAAATAACCCAGTGTCTTCATTAACAAATTTAGGAATTTGGCAATAGTCATGTCCAACCACAAAGACTAATAATTTTTAAGTATGAATCCAGGGAAAAAAACAAATGCTGGTTCTTGGATGCTAATATTGAGTTGTTATAGAAGAAAAATACATTTAAATATTTTACAGTTTGTTTAATATGATTGTTTTAAAAACACTTTATTTAAATAATGGATTCAGGAAGATCACAGAATATTAGCTACAGTGGCTAAAACGTTTTACCAGGAACTTGACATCACTGGATTTTGCTTAAGGAGATTTTTAACTGTCATTCTTGACTACAGAACAATTTAATAAATTATACAATTCTGAGGTTGCTTGAAAACTTTACACTGCTTTATTCTTTGTTTTATTCACTGACTTGAAGCTATTGTTTACTTTGGTTTTGATTTTTTAACATCTGCATAATATTTGGAGTCACATATATTTGTAAGCAAGAACATGAATTGTTCTTAATATTCAGAAAAAAATAACAATTTGCTAGGGTTTCTTTAATACCAGAATAAGAAGTTTAAATATAGGTTGCTGCTGTCATATCTTGATTTATTTCTCATTGCAAATTAAAACATATATAGTTCTACCTATCATTATAGCCTAAAGGCTTTTTTTGTAGGTTAGCTTATGTTACAAACTTTACACCGTATTTGCATTCAATATTCCTCATCAAAGGCTGTTTAAATATTCAGCAAAGCTTTAAGGCAATTTTTATTTGTATTAACTCTCTGGTTATTTGTGCATCAAAATACAATACAATTGATAAATTATAAATGAAACTATTGGCTTCATTATGGGGGAAAATCTCCTCTACATTTAACAACATAACTCAAGATTTCAGTGGGATTTAAGAAGGTGTGTGTTTACTACATCAGCAGTTTGTATTTGGAGAGAATTTTTAGTTTTTATCAGGGAACAAATACAAACATTTATACTCATTTTATTTATCCAATAAGGCATTGATGATGGCAAGGTCCTCTGGCATAAAAAGACACAAGAACTGTTAAATACTGAAGTGATAGTGTGCATTTTTAGTTTTGTATTAATTTCAACTTAATTCATGACAATCCTTAGGCACATTCTCTCAGGTCCTTCTTATATGTTTTTTTTAATGTATTTTGTTTTTTATTTTGTTTATGGGAAATAAGAGCAATTCATTTCTCTGTAGTTATTTGAACAAAGATAACCAGGAAGTTCTTCAGACCTGGACATCACCTTGTGGCCGGAACAACTTGAGATCAGGTTCGGGTTTTATCACGTGTTATCCACAAGACTTCCCTGAGCCTCAATTTCCTCATGCAGAAAATAAGGAAAGCATCTGCATGGCTTACCGTCAAAAAACCATCCTATGAGGACCACAGTGAAAAGTATAAAGTGCCTAAAAATGGGACTTTTTTTGCGTTTCTGTTGACCCTGAGTCCTCACTTCTTGGAGCATTTATTAAGTGAAAGTTTTCTCCAAATTTTTTAGTAGCTATCTTGTTCTGGTGTAGAATGAGTCACCTGCATAAGAAACTAAAGGAGTTTTGCTAAGCCAAAATTGGAGGGGTGGGTGAGGATAAGGACATTGACTATTATTTGATACGTTTGTCCATAAGGACAATGAATGATAACATATATGAGAAAAATCATGTTCTCAGAATATACGGTGCTGCCACCTGAAAAAATACAGAAGTGCTATTTTCTTTTAAAAAGTACATGTCTAAGACAGCTAGCTCTTTCACAGAATAACAGAGATCAGTAATACAATTTACGTTTTCACTTTTATTCTACTTGCATATCTCTAAAAGAATGAAAACTAATTTCAGTATTTTCAAAAAGTGTATGTGTGTGTGTTTATGTTCACACACACACAAAAATGCACCGAGTAACAGTCAATTGACGAAGTCAAGTTCAAAGTCCCTAAGGTCAGAGCAGGAACAAGCTGCAGTGATAGGAGCAGAGGTGAGAGACTGGTCTCAAACATTCAGCCTTTCTCACAAAGGAACTAACACAACCAACAACTGCAGTGATGAAAGTAAATAAAGATCACAACTCAAAGACTTGAAAAGAAGAATTTTTAGGCATTTTATTTCACCATTGAGTTAAATAAAACCCTTATTTTTTTTCTAATTTTTTGGAGTCATTATTTGAATCTTTAAAAACAAGAAAGCAGACACTTCCTTTTTGCAGGTTAATTGGAGACTGCAAGGCACACAGAAAGATGAAGCTAGAGTGAGATCAATTTCAGAAACCCACAAAGTACTACCCCATGCCTTCCACTTTGAAGCCCTCCTAGGTACACATGGCTCATGCAGGCACCTTAAACCCTCTCCTAGATCACTTCCGAAATATCCAACATTCCATTTCTAAACAACATATCATATAACCTTTCTCTCTGCTCAGCTATTCATTCTTTGTCGTAGTGTTCATTACAGGATATCTACCTTTCTGCACACATATTCTTTTTCCAATTACAGTCAAGTTATAGCTATGATAACAAAAATCTTAAAAGCAGTGGAATAAAAAGAAACATTAACTTACTAAAAGGAGTTTGAGGGAAAAAATAAATTATTCAGTTTTTATGGCTGTAATTATAGAAAGGACAAAAAGAAGCAGTAAAATGCAAAATATTAGAAATGTGTTCAGTAAGACAAAATTTTTTATTGATATATGACTAAAAATTCTTGAAGGTGACATTCCACCAAATCGTTTAGCCAGCACATTGTGTCAATTCCAAAATTATATTGTAAATTACAAATAAATATGGTAAATTATAAAACACAAATTATGTTTTGCATAATATAATTACAAAATAATATTTGAAAACATAATTTACAAACAGCACCACACGTTTTCACAAAGGAACCTCCCTTCTTCCATGCTATGATTTCATGCTGCAAAGCATTTCAAAATGGGTCCTGTTAAATAGCTGATCTTTCCCTTCAGCAAGGATTAGATGATCAGAAAAACCTTAATTATCCCATCCCCTGAATCTCTCCATCCTGTTTTTAGATATATTTCCCATTTCAACTCACACTGGGGAAGACATCACCTATAGAGAAGGATATGCAAACGTTTGGGCAGCTTGATAGCTTGTCAGAAATATAGCTTGCATTGCAAGACAGAATGAGAACAACAAAGTTTGTCTGGCATTCACCATCCCAGGAGCTAAAGGAAGATGTAACTTTTTCTGTTGTGGTTGTTATTTCTCAGGAGACAGAAAGCCTCTTCTGACTCAATGAATCTAAATGCTTCCCAGAGACCATGCAACAGTGTATCATTACAAAATGAAAAATTGGTTTTTAAAGGAAATTTTTGATTGGTTCCAGTTTTGCTCTACTGAGTAAACTAGACCTCATCTTAACTATGAGAACTTTCTTGTGTGCAGCCTGCCTTTAATGATAGAAATCCGGAGTCTGAGGTTTTACAAACTGTTTTCTCATTCTTTCCCTACCCTTTCTCCACAGCCCTGATAACTTAAATGCTTTTACTGCAAACATAATTAATCAATTGCAGTACAAAGAAAAAGGATCATTTATATGTAAAGATTAAAACATTTTATTTGCTGGAAAACCATTGAAAAATGCCTTCTTATAGTAAAATCAGTCATTTATATAATGACGATAAATTGGAAGGTGGAGAAAGACCATAACTTACCTATGTTTGAAGTGATCAACTTGAAATTGAAATAAAACTCAGATTCTACAAAATGCCGCTATCTATACAAGTCACGCAAATTAGACCAAAAGTGCACAGCAGGAAAGAAATTATGTTTGTCTAAGGACAAATATAGAATAAAAGTAAAAATTACTAATATAAATGGAAAATGTGCTTAATATTGTATCACGTTTTACTTATGCCTAGCACTAGCAGGTGCACTATTACTAATACTTTGGTCACAATGTGAGGAGCTGATTAAAGCCTTGCCATTTATTCTTTCCAGATGATTGATTTTAGTCTCTGACTTATCTGAATAGGACACTAACTTTCTAAGTAGAAAAACTTGATCATGGATTAATTGCTGTAAATTTTCCATAAAAATAGAAATAACTACCTTTTTAAAATTTCTTTTCTGCTCAACTGTACCCTTTCTTCTCCAAAATGAAATGTATACCAAACTTTTTGGGAGAAAGGTTTTATGCCATACTATCCTGGGATCTGTGTTGTTATTGTTCTTGTTGTTTTCACACAACACTCTAAAATAGAAAACATGCCCTAATGTTTCTAATTCCTATAAATATGAAATGGGAATTCCAGGTCCAATCTGTGGATATAAACTTTTAAAATGTGTTTTGACAACTCTTTTGTTTTATCGAATATTTATTCTTGAAAATCTCTTTTGAGAGGAGATCCTAAACTGTACAGATGACCACCCACATGGTATTCTCTGAATGTCTCCGAAAAGGACAAATGCATTTTACTAAATGAAAGTCAATTGCCTCATCTGTAAAGGTGAAAAGGAGACAGTTAATATGAGAGTCTTACTGAATATGACTTAGTTAATAATTGGAAAGCTCTCAAACACACATTAAAAAGAAGAAAAAGATTTCTTCAGAATGTCTGTGGTGTGTTTTGCTAGTCATCTTAATTGATTTTCTCACTTCAAAAAGCAAATGTGCAAAGAAGACAAAAGCAAAGAGCTACACCTCCGACATTATGCATCATTAGATGAACACTGCTCCATTTTAATGTGCCTATAATTGATTTTGCAGCACCAGAAATGTACAAAGAGCAACGATTGTGGGTTTCAAGAAGCACTAACTTCTTGAAAAATACATATACCCTATGAGCACTTTGGTTTAGAAGAAAACATTCCGTTGGCACTTCATCTTCAGCTGTAAGTGCAAGTAAACCTGTAACTGAAGTCAATGGGCTCTTTACTTCCCTGGTCATCAGGGCTAAATTCATGGTGAGAAATTCAAAGCATACAGTGTCCTTAAACACTTTGTAACCTTCAGAAAAGAAAAGGGCAACATCTTAATTGACAACTTGATCTTTTTGCTCAATGTTGGAGCTATTTTATATAAGCCATCACTACATAACAATCTCTATATCTCACATATTCTTTCTCCTAGGTTTATATTAATTTATTTATTTTCAATTACATGTCTTGTTATAATCTGTTTTACAGAAAAGAAAAACACAACCCACACAACACAAATAAAACAGAAATTCTTGCTTTTTGAAGTTTACAGTGAAATACAAGCTATAAGAAATATTAGTATATTCACAGCATCTACCAGTTGAAAGTTTTTATGACTGCTTCTCAAACAAATTTGTATTCAGATTACCAATTTATAAAAGTCCTATTGTTTTTTCTTAGAGGATTGGCAATAGCATAAAATAGAGACTGCTGCTTTCAAAGGAAGTTCAATATCAGTTTAAAATATAATTCAGCAGCAGTGTTAGTATTCCAGATCTGTAGTTTAAAGGAGTGTGATTTTGTATTCCATTCCTGTATTGCTCACATGAATTTTTCCCATTCTTTCTTTTTGACAGACAACTTGCCTTTACTTTCTGTGTTTGTCTAGTCAGACTAACATTTTTGTAAACTGATGATTTCAGCTCCCTTATTATTCCACATTGCACTGCTGCCGAATGCTGCACATTACGATTTTTTTTCACTCCAGCTGTGTTGAACCACAAGTAGATATGAAGTAATTGACCTTGTTGTTCATTGACTTGTACGATGCTTTGCTACCTACTGTTTTGTGCCACTCACTTCACTTCACACATCTTCTAAAGCCATGACCTTTGCAGTAGATATTACTCTCTAAGCTTGTTTTAGGAAAGCAAAACATTAAATACAATATGGCCAGCATTATGAAAATACCAAAGACAAGCAGAGCTTTATTAAGAGTAAGGGAATGCAGACCCCCTGCTTTCTAAAAAGAACACAGAACAATAACTTTAGACAATTTGAAAAATGTTGTTGTATATAATAATTTTTCATATTTTTTAAAAGTATTAACTTACCTGTTTGCTTATTGATTTGGTGTATACACAGTTAGTACTTTCTGTTCTGTTGACTCTTCTATTGGATGGTCAGATGGTGGTGATAGGGTGGATTTCAAACATTCAAAAGAAGACATATATGATATGCCACAAATAAGCATATGAAAACGTGCTCAACCTCACTGATCATTAGAGGAATGTGAATCAAAACCACAATGAGATACCATCCCACACCAGTCAGAATGGTTATGACTAAAAAGTCCTAAAATAACAGGTGCTGACAAGGCTGTGGAGAAAAGGGAACACTTATACACTGCTAGTGGAACTGTATATTAGTCCAGCCACCGTGGAAAGCACTTTGAAAATATCTCAAAGAATGTAACACAAAGCTACCATTCAACCCAGCAATCACATTATTGGGTATATAGCCAAAGAAATATAAATCGCTCTACCATAAGGACACATGCACACGTATGTTCATCGCACCACTATTCACAATAGCTAAGACATGGAAACAACTTAAATGCCCATCAGTGGTAGACTGGATGAAGAAAAGGTTGTACATATACACTGTAGAATATTACACAGCCATAAAAAGGAAGAAGATCCACCCTCTTGTTAACTTGGTATTCATATACACATCATTTAACCATATTTAAGTCTAAGGGAACACAATAAAAAAGTTAGATTTCCACTAGAAGAGTGTAACTCTCATTCATGAAACCAAAAATATAGTAACCCTCTTCTCTAAAGATACAAAATGTCTGTATTTCTTTTTTCCATCTTTGAGTGCTGTTAGTTCTTTTCTAAGCAGAACCTGTACTTCTCAGGGAGTTTCCTCATTCTTTCCTTCTGATAGACAACTTGAGTGGTAGTTCTTCTCTAAGTGGGTACATACTTGCCTTCAATATCCTATAACTTATATATTGAGATTTAGGGTTACTGTAATCAATTCATTTTTTTTTAGATAAGAGGATAGTGCAAGAATAAATGAAATGCTTAAGGGCCTGTATTACACCATTTTCATGCTGCTAATAAGGACATACCCAAGACTGGGTAATTTATACAGGAAAGAGGTTTAATGGACTCACAGTTCCATATGGCTGGGGAGGCCTCACAATCATGGCAGAAGGCAGGAGGAGCAAGTCATGTCTCACATGGATGGCAGCAGGCAAAGAGAGAGCCTGTCCAGGGAAACTTCCCCTTATAAAACTATCATATCTTGTGAGACTTATTCACTATCACGAGAATAGCACAGGAAAGACCTGCCCCCCTGATTCAATTACCTCCCATTGAGTCCCTTCTACAACACGTGGGAATTGTGGGAGCTACAGTTCAAGATGAGATTTGGGTAGGGACACAGCCAAACCATATCACGGCCTCTGAATATCTTCACAAGTTTAAGTCTGGGAATTCATTAGGAGGCCTTAACTCTAATTTGTGTTAATTCAACACAAAATTCTTTTACAAAACATAGATTGCTTCTGCTTCTATAAATCAAATAAAATGCCACAGTAGACTACCCAACTATTTCAGTAGTGGAAACACCATAAACAACTAGTCAAAACCAAAGGCTTTATCAAACTATTCTGATTAAATAGTTCAGTCATCATGCCTACATTTTCACTGCAGGTTAACTGTTGCCAATTGGTCCCTGACACTCTGGGTTCCCATGATTCCTATTGAATCCAAGGAGGCCATTTTAGTGGCAGCTTCTCCCGCTGTCACTGCTAACCTAATAGACAAGAGCCACCACAGAACTCTTCAAGGATGCCAGTGCTCCCCTCATCAATGCATGTGTCAAAGTCTCTGTACCCTCCTGGGGGACAGGGAAGGAGACAGAAGAGCAGAGCAAGCCAAACAGCAATGACATCCTAGCATCCAATCTCCCTAAATTTTAGTATGTCTTCCTCTACCTTACATCAAGGAAATTCTGACACTTCAACTTAATTTATCATAGTTCACCTTTGTGTCCAGTTTCTAGTCAACCAATCCAGGAAACTGTTGGAACCACTTCAGTTTGATCAACTTAATTAATTGAATCAGAATTGCCAGTTAAGTATGCCCATATCAGCCCTCTCCAACATCACATCTTTTCATCTCTATCCAACTCCTCTAAGATATATTCTCATACATATTCCTCCTCAACTATAAGAGTCTTGCAATAATTTTGATGTGTAAGATACCTCCTACTAATGACACATTGAACCTAGCCTCTTGAAGCCTAGTAGAATTTGAGTTTGCCTATAGTTTTACAAGCCACAGAGGTACTGCGAGTATGTCTTTAACAAGTACAGCATTCTTCTACTGTATTGGTTTTCCAAGGCTGCTGTAGAAAAACTACCACAAATGCGTGGGTTAAAACAACAAAAATGTATCTTCTCACGATTCTGGAGGCCAGAAGTCTGAAGTCAGTTTCCCTTGTTAAAATTCAAGTATCTTGCTCCTTTTAGAGCCTCTAAGAGACTATCTGTCCCTTGTTATTTCCAGCTTTTGCTGACTGCTGAAATACTTTGGTGGCTGCACTACTGCAATTTCTGCTTCTGTCGTCACATAAACTTCTCCTTCGTATGGTCTTTATTTCCACTGTATTTTCAATGGCAGCAGCTACATAGTCATCCAGAGTCTAGCCTTCTGCAGGCACTTGACTCCTGAGAATTAAAAGTGATTATTTCAGTAACTATTTTGACACTAAATGCCATGGACATTCAATGTCCCACCTACCTCTGGCAAAGGGGATCATTAATGTCTTTTACTCTAATCAGATCAGAGAACCATTCCAGGATTATAGCCTTAAGGTTCTGAGTCCTTACAACCAATACATAAAATAGCTATCACTTAGGGCAACCAGAGTCCCTAACAATATTGTGAAAGTAAGTAGTTTGCTACAGGAATTATAACATACACAAATATAGGAGGAACTAAGGAAGTTCCAGAAGAGAGGGATGTTGGAGGATCAGAGTCATTAACCATGATACCTGAAGCAGGGGTCTTTCAGAGCAGATCTGAGCTTGCAGGAAAATCTCATGAACCATACAGTTATATCTGCATAGTAGCAAAAAGGATAATAGAGGGATAAGTAGTCATGCCGAAGTCCTTGGAAGTTGTTTTCTGTCTACAAAGTGCAATCAAGCCCTTGGTGATTAGCATAAGACCTCTGTTTGTTGCCAGGGCCTTTCCGTGGGAAGAAAAACTAAAAGCTGAAGTCTGCTGACACCATATGAGACAACCATAACCTTGTGAGACTAATGACTTCTGATTTAATTTCACCTTTCAAATACTGCACAAATTGTTTTCTTGGCTAACTGTAACCTACACCACACAGGAAAGAGGACTCTGATAAATATAACTCCTAGACATAGGCAAAAGAGGTGATCTGTTCACAAAACGGATTCTAACACACTAATCATATTAATAAGTAGGGCTTAAATTGTGGGAAAAAAACTAACAAAAAAATCTTTCACTTTGAAAGCAGGAATTGATAATAAATAGGCAATTAGGTAGTTGTTAATAAGATTGGTTCCATTGTTTTCTATCCATTTACTTCCATGCTCAGTAGAATGTGTAAAAAACAAAATAATCATTCAATTCTCTTTCCAAATTTGAAGATAAAACACACAAAGAGGTAGCAAAACAATGGGAATATGTGTAAGCTATAGCAAAATGAAATGAGAGTGGGATGATCTAAAGGGAATTCATACCTATTTTAATTGGAATTCTCAACCTCTTAAGTCTCATGCAACTTCCCATGACAATAATGTTTTCTGAGCTACCTCAATATGAGATGCCCTGGTGGATATACATTGTATTTGGGTCATAACTACTTGTTCTTCTATCTTTTTAACTGAGCCACAGCATAGAAGTGCTAAAAATTCTCATTATTTTCTTAATTATTTTCTTAAGTTGTTTTACAGTGATTCCTCAAAGGTGTTAACTCTGAGCAAAAGATACGTCGATCCTCATCTTTCTCATGAAACCATGCAAAAAGGAGCAAGATACATCTACCTTATCCAGTTCTATTTGCAATTTCAGCACTATTCCAAAATGTTCAACTGTCCCTACTCACAAGCTTGGGGAAGGGACTGTCTAGAAATTTGCCTTGTGGTGGCCTCTTGTACTATTTTACCTTCTAATTATTCTTGGTTCATGCCAGAACTTATCCTGTTAGCAAGGAGGAAGATGTAATGTGAACAGGTGGAAAATTTCAAATGGTAAGAACTGACTGTTTTGGGATACAGCAGCACCAGAGATAGCACTAATTTTATGCTTCCCAGTCTAATATTAGCTAAATATTATCATCTTGACAATATAAATTTGGAAGCAGGAGGCAAGTCTCTTTCCTGGTCTTCACTTTCTAAAATCAAGATGAATATCAACACTGTACATGCAGAAGACATGTTTCCAGTAGTTCTGTTTTCACCCTACCATCTTTCTTCTTTGATACTGCGTGCCTTCACTCCTGCCCCATGATTTTCTTGTCCATAGAAGGAGCCTAGCAAATGGAAATCTCAGGGATTGGAAAATAGTCCAGGAGTCAATATTTTTTGACGAAACTAATTTTTTCAATTTCTTAATGCTAAGAAACTTATTGTAGCTATACTGAATTTGTGATCTTAAGCCCCTTCTATGATCCTGAAAATGTGCTGCTGTTAGCAGTCAAATCAAAGGATAGAAGGCAGAGTTTTATAAGGAACAAAAAATTTGAGATACTTTGAACATCAATCCTTCTTCTTTCTCTCTTGTAGACCATGATGAAAGTGACATATTTGAAATCTTGAGGCATTAGTCCCTATGCCCTCTGTAATTTTTCTCTCTTTTTTCACCATATCTGAGGCCTTGATCTCTGGCCATCTGCTTATTCTCATGCTGTGGTGTACACCTTTCATTTGTACTTCGGTCACCTTCTTTTCAGGCGTGCACCCTCTCCATCTTACCTCTGAACTAAAACAGTTTTTGAAAAGCCATGAATCTACCAGGAGCTACAGGAAGGGAAAGCAAAGGGAAGTTCACTTAAAATAAACCATAGTATTTTTCAGATAAAATTTCACAGAAGCTTTTTTGATTTTTTATAAACTATCTTCTGGAATAGTATATACAAACTGTAAAGAGTTCTCTTTTGTCTTTCCTCATTTCTAACTAGATGGTTGATATAGTCAAATGCAAGTTGTTGTGATCAAGCAGAATATAGACAGGGATATACAGCTAAATAGCTAGGATAATGACGTTAATTAGCCTAAAATAGTGGTTAATAGTAATGCAAATGTTTTAGAGTTTCTTTTAAAACAGCTCTTTCATATCGGACTTAAGTAGGGAAGTGCTTTTCCAATGTAGCAAATACAATAGGTGTATTTCATAATATTATTACCCTCATTCTAAAGATTAGAAAATAGCCTACTTATAGACCCCTACAGATAGCAAGTAACATAGCATTCTTACAACCAGTTTACCTCTCTATGGGAATTCAAGAATGCATATTTAACTAAATTTAATTTAAACTTAGGTATTTTTTCCAAACTATCACTTTTTTCATAAAGAATGGAGATACACAGGCTCTCAATTGAGCAGTTGTACATTCATTGATTTATGCAAAAATATTGAGAAACTAGTGCTAATCATTTATTTGCTAGATGATGGGGATACAAAGGTTACTAAGACAATAAACAAAGGAGAAAAGATGATAAATATTGTAAGTGAATAGGGTGACAAGATAATGCAGGAGAAGATGGTAGTTCCTTTACATGTGGTGACTGATCAGTAAAGACTCTCAGAAGTTATTTAAGCTAAATCCTAAAGGACATGAAAAAGCCAGCTATACAAGAAGGGGAAAGTATTTTAGGTAGAAGGCACGTAAATAAGAAGGTAATGAGGCAGGCAACAGCTTGGCAAGGCTCTAGTGACTTTTCGGAAGACCAGCAGGGATTTAGCACAGTGGGTAAGAGTAGCTCAGTGAATTGGAAAAGGTGGTCAGGGATCCTGCAAGCCTCCATGGGCCATCAAAGTGAACAACATGAAAGTCATTAGTGACATTTTTTTTTTTTTGCCAGGAATTGTAATAACATGGCAGAAAACACAAACTGAAGATATGTAAGTTTGAATATGAATTAGAAGTGAGAAAGTGGCAGCAACATCTCTGTGTAGACAATTCTTTTAGAAATGTTTGCTATAAAAGGCCCTAAAGGACAAAAAGTTCAAGCAGATATGCATTTATAATCAGGGTTCTGTTAAATTGTATAGCTGAACAATATAATATAAAATATATTCAGTGAATTTATATAGAGAGGAATACATCTAAAGAAAAGCACTTTTTATATTCAAAATTTCAAGAACTTATATGGGGTTTATGAAGATGAAAAAGAAATACTGTAATTTATTGGCTTGGTATTAAAATAAATAATAGAATATCTGCTACATATATTTTCTTAGACTTTCATGTGAAAATAATTGCCCATGGAGATAAAGACTAAACAAGGAATTACTTTGGTCTTAGGTCTGACATAAAACCTGTGGTCTTGAGCAAGTTCCTGTGAGATTCAATTCTATAATCTTTAAAATCAAAGAGTAGGAATAAGTGAAGCTAATTACTTTGTAGACCCTAAAATCGATTATTTTATCAGATCATAAATAGATATTTGTTTCCATCTGTTTCTATGATTGCAAGTAACACAGACCCATAAAGTTAGCTGAAGCTGTTTGTTTCCCCTGAAGATTTTTGAGCAAATGGAAAAATAGACTACTGTTTAGATAGGACAGCTCAACATCATAAAGGTGCTAATTCTTTCTAAGACAATTTATAAACTTAATACATCACGATACACATAGAAACAACTTGAGTTTGTTTCATTTTGTTTCTTTATATCTAGATAAATTAATTTTACAGTTCATATGGAAAAATACTATTTCCATACTGTCACTTTAATAGGACTTGGAAGTAAATTGAATAAAATATATGTGTTTATTCCATGAAATTAAGCTAGATCCCTCCTAAAAAGACCAAACTCTTAAGAGAGGAATGTGTTTGAATCAAGTCATTTCTCTGCAGCATGATGTAGAACATACTTTATTAATTGATGCTTCTTGTGTAAGAGGACCACTACTGGCCAAATAATCTATGGTCAAGAGAAAACATTCATGTAGGAAAAACATGGATACTCCTCCTTTGCAGTACCATGGAAGGGAGGGTGGAGGATGGAGCAGGCATTGTGGCAGTGTAAGTATAAAATGGCCATGAAATGAGCAGGAAGGCAAAATAGCAGAAAAAATAAAAGGTAAGTGATCACTTACAACTTAAAGACTTTTCATCATTTTGTCAAGTGTAGTTTTACTTTCTTTTTTTTTTTTTTTTTTTCCAAAATGACAGCCCAGTTTAACAGTAAGTTTGGTCTGAAATTCCTGAAAACTTTTTTCACTTAGATTGGCCTTTAGAACAATGTCTAAACTATCATACCTTCTTATCTTTAAGTGACATAGAGCTTCAATCACTTTATTAATGTCATTAGTTATGTTTTAACTTACGTCTTTGCATTTTAACTCATGTCATGAGAATGCTCATAGTTTTTAAATTTGTTCCCCCTGACCCTAAACTTTGCCATGCTCATTAATAATATTTAAAGTTCCTTGGTTACATTTAGATTTGGAATCGTGTCAAATCATTCTATACTCTTATGTCACATTCAGCTAATGGCAAAAAGCATAGATGTTTCTGTTGAATACTTTGCTTTCATTTCTTCTTCATTTTCCTAGTCATATCCTGTTCTAGTATGGACCCATACTCTTCTGCTCAGATTAATGGTATCAGGAGGTGCTACTCAAACAAATATGACCACCTCCTGCTTTATATTCTCATGTTCAGGAAAAATATTCTGAAAGGCTGCTCCCCTATACAGGTGTGTAGTGACTTACTGGAGAGGATAGGCAATTCAGGGATTTCAAATTTCGAATTAAATTGTTACTCTTTTGTATCAAAGAAATAAAAATATAACAAAAGGCAATATCAAGGTAACTTAATTCAATACATTTCTCACTTAAATGATGAAGGGCTGCTCACAGAGTCAGTTTATTTAGCAAAAGTTCTTTTTTTAAGACACAGTACTCTCAATCAACAACTACATGGCTGTTGCATGAGTGCCATGACTTCTTAAAGGCATAGTACACTCAATCAACAACTGCAGGACTGTTTTTATTTCCGACAATAGACTGAAGGCAATAGAACCATGTTCATAAACCAACACAACAGGGAGATTTGTTTCCAGGAAGTAAATAATTTAAAACAGATTTTATTAAAATAAGAAGATAGAATAGAATGCACAATCCACATGAATATTTTAGAAGAAGACATACAATTATAAAGAAATTTCACATTTATGGTTAGTCTCTTGGGGATTTACTCACAAATACCCAGGGATATTCATGTTCTCCTCTTTGTTCTTTCTTATTGGTTGGGGAAGTTTGTAAAGTATTGGTCTAACAAAAAAATAAACTATTTTCTTTAAAATTAAATATGCAGGGAATTCAGATTCATGCAGACTCAAGTTAAGCATTTTTTTAAGTTTTAATAGAATGCTCAGATAATTTAAGAATGTAGTAGCTCATAGAGGAAGAAGCATAATTTTTCACAGTCATATTATTGGGTGGTTTTACCTGAAATTTTAGGAATACTTTCATAAACATTGATATTTGTGAAAAATCAAACCTGATATCGGAGAAGGAATTTCCAATTCATGTTTAACCTCTCTTAGATCAATTGCATATCAATATTTTAAATTCTTAGGTAACAATGAGAATATTTCAAGAAAGTTGATAGACATTATTTAAATTATATCTATAAGAAAATAGCTCAAGCTTTAGAGTCAGTTACAACTTTCATACCCTCATATTGTACCAGTGTGAAACTGAACAAGATATTTTTCTAAGTTTCTAATTTTTCATGGGTAAAACACAGATACTAATACCTTTGTTAATAGTAGGAATACCTCTAAGTGGTCATCTATATACTCTGTGGGTTACATAAGTAACGCAGAGATTGAGATATTTTAAAACTCCTTGTAAGTAGTTCTTTGTTTTGTTTCATTTAGGTTTGGTTTTGCCTTCTTTCATTGACAAAGAGGAAGATATGCAAAGTTCAACAGACCACTTAGCTTGAGTGCCTTTTCATGTTCTCTGGTGCTCCTTCCTTGGTGCTGTTAGGAAATGTCACATCTTTAACCTGAATTACAAGAAAAGCAAAAACTAACCAACAAACAAAAAACATCTATGTATTCTTAAACTATTTTATTACCCTCTGATATTGCCTATACTCAATTGATCTAATTTAGTATCCCCAGGTTTAGATTCTGTAAAATTTCCCTCTCCATATAGAGTCTTGCCATCCTGCATTCTGTTATTTCATCACTGATCTTAGGTCCTACCCAGAATGATACCATTTTCTTAGGGACTGAAAAGGTCTGAGGAAGAAAGAACAAATGCAGGATAGCAAAATGAATGCATGTACAATGCTGGGCTTAAGAGATAAGCCGTGGTTATGGTGATGCGTACACTGTACATGCATACTATACTTAAGAGATAAGCTGTGCTGAATTGTAATATGCAGGGTTTGAAAGATAAGTTATACAACAGTTTGAACTAGAAGTAGAAAATCTGTGTGTAGGCTAATTGAACTTTGCTTAAATGCATTACAAAAACAGAAACAACTGAAATGGACATTCAGTTCATATTCTGGCCATTCAAGTAAAGCAACACCTACTGTCATTTCATAGACTAAAGATATGGAACTATGTTGACATTGTAAAGGTTTTAAGTTCAGAGGTACATGTGCAGGATGTACAGGTTTGTTACAGAGGTAAACGTGTGTCATGGGGGTTTGTCACAAGGATTATTTCATCACCAGCTATTAAGCTTAGTACCCATTAGTTATTTTTCCTGGTCCTCTCCCTCCTCCCACATTTTACCCTCCAATAGGCTCCAGTATGTGTTGTTCTCACCTATGTGTCCATATGTTCTCATCTTTTAGCTCCCACTTATAAGTGAGAACATGCAGTATTTGGTTTTCTACTCTTGCATTAGTTTGCTAAAGATAAGGGCCTTCAGCTTCATCCAGGTCCCTGCAAAGGCCATGATCTCATTATTTTTATGGCTGCATAAAATTCCATGGTGTATATGTACCACATTTTCTTTATCCAGTTTATCATTGACGGGCATTTAGGCTGATTCCATGGCTTTGCTTTTGTGAATGGTGCTGTGATGAACATTCATGTGCATGTGGTTTTTATAATAGAATGATTTATATTCCTTTGGGTGTATACACAATAATGGGATTGCTGGGTTGAATGGTACTTCTGTCTTTAGGTCTTTGAGGAATCGCCACACTCTTCCACAATGGTTGAACTAATTTACACTCCCACCAATGGTGTATAAGTGCTTCTTTTTCTCCACAACCTCGCCAGCATCTGTTATTTTATTGACTTTTTAAAAATAACCATTCTGACTGATATGAGATGGTATCTCATTGTGGTTTTGATTTGCATTTGTCCAATTATCAGTGATGTTGAGCTTTTTCATGATTCTTGACCGCATGTATGTCTTCTTTTGAGAAGCGTCTGCTCATGTTCTTTGCCCGCTTTTTAATGGCTTTTTACTTGTAAATTTGTTTAAGTTCCTTATAGATACTGGATATTAGACCTTTGTCAGATGCATAGTTTTCAAAAATTTTCTCCCATTCTGCAGGTTGTCTGTTTACTCTATTGGTAGTTTCTTTTGCTCTCCAGAAGCTCTTTAGATTGTCATTAGCTTGAGTTTGTGTTTTTTCTGTATATTTTTAATGGTACCTGGAGAGCTGGACCATTTGTTGAAGGGATATTTGATATGCCACTGTCTAAAATGCAAATCCTATGATAACACTTACCTGCTTGCAATCTTTCAGTCTCCACACAAATCCTTCACAACAAAGTCAAACTTCATGGGAAGATCCATCATGGTAAGGGCCCCTGCAAATGTATCTAGCCTTATTCCAACTATTTCTCTGACACATACACATACATGCATACACACCACACTTACATGTATATATACTAGTTACATTCAATATGTACACAATTCTTGCAATAGGATAACTTTTTATACCTATACATTTCATACCTTCACATAGGCCCTTTTTAAAACTTAAACTCAGCACAAATATTTTTCTTGCCTCTACAATCTGGGTGGAGTACACCCGCTTAGTGTTACAATACCAGCTTATTCATGTATATACCATTATGTCTAAGTCATTCTACTGTAATTGGAGGTATACATCTTGATGATAGGATCATGAATTATTAGTTTATGGTGTTCAGTACATAGAATATAAAATATGTAAATATATAGGATAAATGAATGAATGATTGAATTAATGGAATTTATTTCTTGACACTATATACAGCAATTGATATTTCACTTCTGATTTATAGATTTTTATTTTTAAAACATTTATAAAATGCTTTAAATACAAGCACAACTTAAAATAATCTTATATCCTACTATTCAAGAAATAAATGTTAGCATTTTGCTTTATTCCCTGAATTCATTCACATATCCACATGTCTATAATTTAAAATAAAAACAGAATATTCTAGAACTGCAATTTTGAATCATTTATCTTTAAAATGAGGCAATAAGTATTTTAATAAGTTGGCTAAATCCATTTAAATTCTAAGAAAGTAGTGGGTTATTTTTAAAGAAAAAGACCACTTTTTTTGTTTGGAAGAAATGTTAATGAGCCCTTTAGTTATTCTAAGGAGAGACAAGAGTAGATTGGAGAGGCTAAGACAAATTGGAGTTAATTTGCCCAGTGAAACAATGTAAAAGAAACTCTCCTTTTCACATTATCACAAAATTGCTGATATTTAGCTGGACACATGGCTGCCTAGAATAAAAACATTTCTCAGTCTCTCATGTAGTGTGACTGCACAGTAATACATAAGACAAAGCTTCCTAGAACTGTCCATAAATGACAGCTGCTGTATGTTCCTAGTCCTTTCTCCTTCATTCTGCTGGTGTGACAGTTGGAACTCTACTTATATATAAACAATTTTATAATGACCTAACCTGAACATGAATCTGATACATGTATCTGATTGTTTTGTAGGGGAGCATTTTTAGAAAGAGAACCTGTGCTTAATGTATTCAATACAAATTGTCAAATTGCACTCTGAAATAGTAGTGGCAAAATATAATCACATAATGGAAGAATGTCTGAATTCAAAATATTCTGAATATCACTGAACATTCTTAACATTTGAATCTTTGCTAATTTTTCAACAAAAGCATTTCACCAACATTTTAGTATATATTTTGTATTACTAGTTAGGTTAAATTTTACTCAGGCTTATATTGGCCTTATGTAAGTTTTTGCTCTTGGTCTTTTCTTTATATCAACTTTTCTGTTTTAGTTCATCTTATTCTCCTAGTAATTGAAATAGTTGTGTATTTTAAATTTTCATTATCTCTTCCCTTAAAAGTGAAAATACTTTTATCCTAGTTTGAAATCTGTCTTTAATTCTCATTATGGTATGTTTTAAGGTACTAAATTTTAAATTATTGATAAAAATATGCTTCTAGGCTATTGTTAGTAAAGGGGGAAACTTGGATAGTTTATTGTTTTATTTTAAAAAAAACTTTTTATCGATGTATGTTTAAACACAGAGACAGAATAGAAAATAATGTCTAACATAGGCCTTAACTTTAAGTGGAATCTTCTAATCCACATTGAAAACAGCTTGCCTTCATCCACACAGCTTAACTGGATCAAGAACTCAGCAGTTGTAATTAACAAGACCTTACCATCTTACCATTCAAAGGAATTCTAAGTCAGGAAGACAAGTAGTGGCAAACTTTATTATTTATTTCAGAAACTTTTCAAAAATTCATTTTTCTGAACAATATATTTCTCTACTATAACTCTCTTAGGACAATAGAATCTTTTTATGGTAAATAGTCCTCTTCTCCAGGTATAAATCACTCGAGTGGGCAAACCACTTGCTTATCAAAATAATTTACTCATCAAATGCTCACTTCGTTGTGTCCACCAATCCTAAATATCTCTATCATGGACTCCAGCCAATCCTAACCAAATCTCTCTATCAATCAACTTCGGCCTAATACCAGATCCCAAAACCCTATGAATATGTGGCTTTGACCTTTACACACTTCAGAAGCACTATCAAGAAAATATATTGAGGTGGCAAGGTAAAGTCTCCTTACTGCCAGTAGGTGATAAGCTTGGTTTTCATTCAGTGACAGATTATTAGCAGGTTATTTGGTGATATTTTTGGAGAGTTGACAATAGATGATACAGACTCCCCAAAAGGCTGAGTCTTGTATTAGTTAGGGAAACAGAAACAACTCAGAGAAACAAAACCAATAAATATATGCATTATACAGGAATAATGTATTCTATATTATATATAAATCTCTTTTTATATATTATTTATAAACCTCTATATATTATATATGTACATATTATTTATATTTATATATTATATATTTATGAAGAAAGAGAGTGAGAGAGAAAGATTTATTAGAAGGAATTGGCTTATGCTATTATAAACGTTAAGAACTTCAGGCCCAGGAGAGTCAACGATATACTTCTGTCTGAGTCCAAAGGCCAGAAAAGATCAATGTTCAGCTCAAATCCAGGCAGAGAGAAATGATGTTTTTTGTTTTAATTTTACTTTAAGTTCTGGGATACATGTGCTGAATGTGCAGGTTTGCTACACAGGTATACATGTGCCAGGGTGGTTTGCTGCACCTTTCAGCCCGTCATCTAGATTTTAAGCCCCACAAGCATTAGGTATAAATTTTTTTAACTAGCTTTTTTTTTTTATTAAGGCCTTAAATGGATTAAATGAGGCACACCCATATTAGGGAGGGCAATCTGCTTTACTCAGTCCATAGATTCAAATATTAATTCTATCCAGAAATACTCTCACAGACATATCCAGAAATAATGGTTAACCAGATATACAAGTATCCAGTGGCTCATTCAAGTTGATATATAAAATTAGCCATCCAAGTCTACCCTATGTCAACTTGGCACTCACACATATTTCCTTAAGCCATACTCAATCTCTAAACAAAGGCAATAATAAGGTCATAATTCTGCCTAACATGATACAACTATTCAGTGTACAACCCAAATTCACAAACCCTTTCCCCAGATAGAGAGGCAAAGTAGTTATATTTGCTCATCTCCTTCATATTCCATAACTTAAATAGTATGATGTGAAATAAATGAACCATGCCTGCAAAGTACTATCCCTTCGGTGATATAACTGAGACTTCAAAAGGCAATTCCACCATTCTAGCAAATTGACTGCTTTAGAATAGTGGGAAATAAGATAAGACTAGTGAATTTTATGAAAATGGACCCATTGCTACATGATTTTTTCTTTGAAGTGAGTTTATTTTTTTAAATCAGAACCAATGCTGTGTGGAATATCATGAAGGTGAATATAGGATTCTGTAATTACATGGGTTGCAGTTTTGACAGAAACATGTGTCTGTTCTGGTAAGAACAAAATGCTGCTCTTTCCTTAGTGGAAGCAGTCCAATGTGCTCAACCTGTCATCAGGTAGCTGGCAGATCACCCTGGGAAATGATGCTACATCAGGAACTCAGTGTTGATCTCTGCTTCTGGCCAGCTGTGGTAATAGCCATGTCAGCCTTGATGAGTGGAAGTACATGTTGCTCAACCCATGCATAACTTGCATCACTACCACCTTGGCCACTCTGTTCATGAGCCCATTGGGCAATGATAGGGGGTGGTATGGAAAAATAGGGTGACTGATATCTACAGAATGGGTCATCCTATCCATCTGGATATTAAAATTCTCCTCTGTTGATGTTAATTTTGTGAGCATTCACATAGGACACAAACATATTCATGTTCTTTTGCCTGTTCAGACATATCTATCCACATATCTCTTCCCAAAATTTTATTTCTACCAGTTTTCCAATCATATTATTTCCAAGTTCCTGACCATCTAGCCAAACCATTGGCCACAGTCCATGAATTGTAATCCAATCGCATGTCTGGCCATTTCTCCTTCCAAGCAAAGTGGACAACCAGGTTCAGTGCTTGAAGCTCTGCCAACTGGGAGAATTTCTCTTCACCACTGTCCTTCATGGATGTCCCACAAAGGGGCTATACAGATATAGCTGTCCAATTTGAGGTGGTGCCTGCATATCCTGCAGAACCATCTGAAAACAAGGCCCAAGCTTTCTCTTTCTCTGTCAACTGATCATAGGAAATGCCTCATTAGGTCATGGATGTAGGCTGACAGAAATAAGGCAGGGTAGCAGAAGCAGGAACCATAGGCATTTGGGCCACTTCTTCATGTAACTTACTTGTACATTCAGGGTTGCTCTGGTCCTATCATGTCTATACCACTTCCATTTGATGACAGGGTGTTGCAATGCATGCTCAACTTTATGGCTTGATTGGTCAGATCATATCCCCTTCATGATGGGCAGCTCAGATTTCATGGTAACTTGGTGGTCAATGGTTAACCACTTAGTCCCTCCTAAGACCCAGTGGTGAGCTAAGAGGTGTTTCTTAAAAGGGGACTCGTGTGGGTAAGACGGTAGGACCTTAATCTAAAAACCTGAGAACTTATGTTGTTATTCACCTATAAGGGCCTTCCAAAGGCTCCAATCAGTATTTCTGTCTACCATAAACGCTTCAAGTGCCATTGGATTGGCTGTATTAGATGGCCCAAGCAGCAGACCAGCTTGCACAGCAACCTTGGCCTGTTGCAAAACTGTCCCTTGTTCTAAGCCCCACTAAAACCTAGCATATTTGGGGATCATTCATTAAATGGGCTGGAGTAATGCACCAAAATAAGGAATATCTTTCCTCCAAAGCCCAAAGAGGTCCACTAGGCTCTTAGACTTTGTATCCTCCACTGGATTCTTAGAAATTGTATCGTGGTAGAAGGCTCATGGAATTTTGCTAAATTTATTTCTCACCTTCTGACAGGCAAATGTCTTCCTAATAAGCCTATGGTAGTTGCTAATTCTAGCTCACTAGGTCCAATCAGCATAATGGCATCAATATAATACATCAGTATGATAGCTTGTGGAAGAGAAAGGTGATCAAGATCCCTGTAAAATAATGTATGACATATCGCTGGAGCAAACTCTCTGCTGGAAAGCAAACTGTTCTGGTGGTCTTCACTCACAAGTATCAAGAAACAAAGCATTTTCAGGTTAATAACTGGATACCAGGTAAAAGGAGACATGTTAGTTTGGTTAAGCAATGAAGTCACATCTGATAAAGCAGCTGCAATTGGAGTTACCACCTGGTTAACTTAAGATAATCCACTGTCATTCTCCCAGATCCTTCTCTCTCTTCTGCACAGGTCAAATAGGTGAACTGAATAGGGTTGTGGTGGGAATCACCACCCCTGCATCTTTCAAGTCCTCGATTATGGTACTAATCTCTGTAATCCCTCCAGAAATGTGATATTGTTCTTGGTTTACTATTTTCTTATGTGGAGACAGTTCTAGCGGCTTCCACTTAGACTTTCACCCATATTAGTCCTTGACCCAAAGGTCAGGGAACCAATATTGGGATTTTACTAGCTGCTGAGTATGTCTATTTCAACTGTACATCCAGAACTGTAGAAATAACTATAGGATGGGTTCAGGGAACAACTGGATCCACGGTGAGAAGACAGAGCTGAGCTAAAGCGCCATTGATCACTTACCTCTACAAGCTCCTATTCTGACTGGTAAACTATAGTGATGTGTTAGGTCTCCCATAACTGGTGTTTATGTTCAGTAGTTCTCCAAAGGTCCAATTATTTTTATTTCCTACATGCACAGTTAACCTGGTAGAAGACTATAGGTCCCTTTGGAGTAGTTTCAGAGAAAGATTAAGAACATAAACATTTATCCTTCCACAGTGTACTGAGTCCTTCCTTAAGGTAACACAGCCTCTTCTTTTTAGGGACTTCTGGTACTGTAAACTCGTTCAAATCTGGAAACTGATTGAAGGGTAATGACTCTGTTTTCATGAATCAAATTACACCTTTGTTCACCTGAGCTAGAGCCTTTCTGCTTATACAGATCAAGTAAGAAGGCTTTCAAGTAGTAGGCTTTCTATCTATTTTACTTCTAGGAACACCATGATCACCTAACCAATGCCATAAATCTGTACAAGTCAGACTATTCTAATTTCTGCATTGAATCTGCTGACCATTATGACAACCACCGCACCTTGCCTTTGGCAGTTGTCTGTTGCCACTTGGCCTCTGCCACAACATAATCCAATTATTCCTATTGCATTTAGGTTTTCCAATTCAGTGACTGTAGCCCCACTGTAAAGTCCACCTATGGATAAACATGATCATGGAGCTCTTTGAGGATGCCAGCCCTTCTCTCACATATTTATTCCTCATAGGAATGGTAAAAGGTATGTCTTCTGGACCTCCCAGTGTAGGTAAAGTTTAACTACAAATTATCTCTAACATTCCAATCTCCCTAAGCCTTTGAATCCATATATATATATGGATCCATATATATATATGAATCCCTATACATATGAATCCCTATATATATATATGAATCCATATATATATATTTTTTTTTTAAAGGCAGGTCATGTATTTGTAATTCACTCACTTTGGGTTCATGTTTCAGCCAAAACTAAACAGTGAGAACCCTTCCAAACTCCCTGAGCTGAAACATTAGATGGAGAATCTACTCTTAGACCATAGTAGTAAATTCAGCCTGATGCAACATTATGATACTTCTACCATTATTCCATGTTTTAAATATTCATCTCTGTACATGTTCCCCCAACTTCCGTCTGTATAAATTGGAAAATTAAAACATTTCTTTTAGAGTACAGCACACCACATCATGGGTCCCACTTTGTACCTTACCTTCTATGTCCTGCTTGGACTTGTATGTAGTTATAGGTATAGAAGCCCAAAGAGGTGTTGGAGGTAGGCCCTGAGGAGAAAGTACATTGTCTTGCATGGCCATGTCTTAAAAGAGGCAATTATGCTTTCCTCAGGCAATGCAGGTTTCTCACATGGGAGTGGAGAGGCAACTACCACTCGGGGTGGGGAGACCATGTCTACTGGAGATAGGGGGCCTCTTCCACTGGCAAAGAAGACTCATTAGAATGTTTGGGCTCAGTGACCCCAGTTGCATCAAGGTCTTTCCGCAAGCCCCATTTCAACTTATAGGATCCCATTCTCTCCCAAACAACACTCTCATTTAAAAAATGGATGCCCCATGAAACTAAAAGTTCAATTTGCACTGTGATCAGCAGCAACAGGATAGGATTTGGGGTTTAATTTTCAGTAATCTCAGTTCTGGGGCTGGAAGAGATAGGGATCTCCTTCAAGGTACATATGGAAGTTTTCAGGGCAATTATGCAGCCCTTGAGCTGGGAAACCAAATCCCTGAGCTCATTCTTTTCTTTCACTACTTTGTCCAGTGATAATAGGAGCAACTATTCTACCTACTTAGTTATATTGAATTATATTTCCAAAAATATGTGAAAGTATTACATACACGCTCATCTCCCTGCTTCTTGCAAGCAATTGATTAGGAGGTTTCCAATGGAGCATTTTACATATCTCTATTATAAAGATATTGGAATATTGGTGCTTTCTTTACAACTGGAAAGTCATTAGCATCTTTAAATCTAATCAGATTAGAGAGTCAATTCCAGAAAACCAGAAACCCAAGAATCAATTCAGAAAACTGATCCCTAAGTTTTGGTCTGTTTAGAACCATTCTTGGTACCAAAATCTGTATTACCTTCAGGGTTGTCCCAAGAAACAGATATGAAAGGATAAACAGATAGACAGATATAGATATAAAGATTTATTATAAAGGATTTATATAAGGAATTGTGTTATAATATAGTCAGCCCTTTGTATATGCAGGTTCCACATCCATGAATTCAACTGCAGATAGAAAATATTTAAAAAAATAAAAAAGAATATGAAGTACAGCATAGCAACTGTTTCCATAGCATTTACATTCTATTAGACATAGTAAGTAATCTAGAGATTTTTAGAAGTATACGGGGGATATGCATAGGTTATTTGCAAATACTAATCAATTTTGTATGAGCAACTTGAGCATCTGTGGATTTTGGCATCCGCAAGGTACCCTTGAACAAATCTCTCATGGATATGCAGGACTACTCTATATGTATATGCACACACGTGCACACACACCCACACACACAGACACACACACACACACAGACACAGAGAGACACAGAGAGAGAGAGAGAGAGAGAGAGAGAGAGAGAGAGAAACACATACAGAGAGATTTATTGTAGGGGATTGGCTTATGCAATTACAGAGGCTTACAAGTCCAAACCCAGAAGAGCTGAGTATATAATTCCAGTCTGTCCAATGGCAAGAGAACACCAATGTCCCAGTTTAAAGACAGGCAAAAACAAAGAATTCTTTCTTACTCAATCTTTTATTATATTTAGGTCTTTATAGGATTGAATGTGGCCTACCTACATTGGGAAGAACAGTCTACTCAGTCTACATATTCAAATATTTCTCTTGGCCAGGTGTAGTGGCTCACACCTGTAATCCCAGCGCTTTGGGAGGCTGAGGTGGGCAGATCACTTGAGGTGAGGAGTTCGAGACCAGCCTGGCCAACATGGTGAAACCCCATCTCTCCTAAAAATATAAAAATTAGCCAGGCATGGTGACACAGGCCTGTAATCCCAGCTACTCAGGAGGCTGGGGCAGGAGAATTGCTTGAACCCTGGAGGCGAAGGTTGCAGTGAGCTGAGCTCACACCACTGCACTCCAGCCTAAGTGCAGAGCGAAACATGGCTCGAAAGAAAAAAAAAGTTCATCTTTTTGATAAACACCCTAATAGACACGCTCAGAAATAACATTTAACCAAATATATAGGCACTCTTTAGCTCAGTCATGTTGACACACAAAATTAACATCATAAGACTTAATGTGTGGCTCTTCCCCATTTAATACTCCCTCCTCGTGCCTTACTTTAATATATATTTTGATGTCAAAAGAGGATATTTTCATTTCTAGTCATTGGAAAATTCATATCTCCTTTAAAGATGGTGTCTGCTTTTCCTTTTACTTCTTTCATCTCTTTTACATCTCTGACGCTAACAGAGACTTCAGTTCTTTAGACTCTTTAAGATCCATTCTTGGATGTGTGGGCTTTAGGTAGAATGGTGAAGGGGTCATAAAGAGAGTGGAATTACACAAATGTAGAATTATCACAAAAATGAGCTTTTAAAAACACTATATTTCCAGTTAGTTAATTATGCTTCCTCTCTAATGGTTCACATTCCCTAATTCCCCATTTTTTAACTCTGAGATAAATTTGAAGAGTTAGAAAGCTACATCCCATCATTTGTAGTGTTGTTCAAACTTCATAGATTCTATGTCTCTGAGCCATTGGGTAGACAATGAGAGAGACCCAAAACACTTCTTTCCATTTCTGCAACCTAGAATTTTTCTTTCTGCCATTCCTTAAGTGTGTGTCAGTCACTAACCTTCTTTGCATTTCAGTATTTCAACAAAGAATTTCATCTGTATTTTGGCAACAGGTAGATTGCCAACTTGATTTGTCAAAAGCATTTTATAAGTTTTGAAGTGCATGTTTCATGTGTTTATTTAGATCTTCCTAAAGAGTGTTTCAGTTTTATTGATGTGCAATTGTAATGTTTTTTGAGTTTCAAATATGTTAAATTAGTTGACTACTGTCAGCACTTTCATCAATCCTTATTTTATCTTGTCTCATCATTCAGGTATGAAAATAAAATTTTTATGTTCTATAAATATAATTTTTACATCATTAAAAAAACTTTTTATCATCCATAATTGTACATAATTTTGGAATACATGTGATATTTGATATATGCATACAATGTATAATGATCAAATACAGGTAATTGAGATGGGGTATCCATCATTTCAAACATTTATCATTTCTTTGAGTTAGGAACATTCCACCTCTTTCCTTTTAGCTGTTTTGAAATATACAATAAATTATTAACTATAGTTGCTTTATTGTAATATTAAACACTAGACATGACAAAATATTTCTATAAAAAATAGGAAGATTAATCAGACATGGTGGTATGCGTCTGTAGTCTCAGCTACTCAGGAGGCTGAAGTGGGAGGATGGCTTGTGCCCATAAGGTAGACGTTGCAGTGAGCCAAGATCATGCCACTGCATTCCAGCCTGGGTGACAGTGAGACCCTGTCTCACAAAAAAAGGAAAAAAAAATGTATGCCTGAGTAAGAAGGTATCTCCTTATTCTTCCGTTTTCTTTTATAAATATAATGTACTGGATATAATTATAAACCTGTGTCAACATTCAACTCAAAAAAATATTTATTGAAAACCGCCTATGTGTAAGATACCCTGCAAGAAACATGTTAGAAGTAAAACAGCTCTTGAGTCAAGGAGCTACGTTGTCATATGTGAAAAAGAGCTGTTAGCTAAGAAAGCACTGGTATCTAAAATGCTGTAGGAGATGATCAAGGGTTTTGCTCAGATTTTTGGTAAAAATTGAGAAATTGAATTTGGACCTTACTTTATAGCAGGGGTCCCCAATTCTGAGGCTGTGGACCAGTACCTGTTCGTCGCCTGTTAGGAACTGGGGTACACAGCAGGAGGTGAGCAGCAGCTAGTGAGCATTAGCACCTGAGCTCCATCTCCCGTCAGGTCAGCTGCAGCATTGGATTTCATAGGAGTACAAACCCTATTGGGAACTGCACATGCAAGGGATCTAGGTTGTGTGCCTCTTATGAGAATCTAATGTTAGATAATCTGAGGTGGAACAGTTTCATCCATTCCCCGCTAACCACCCCCCCCACCAAGTGTGTGGAAAAATTGTCTTCCATGAAACAGGTCCTTGGTGCCAAAAAGGTTGGAGACAGCTGATTTACAGGATACCGAAGACCTAGACCAGTGGAGTTGGAAGGGTACAATTTGTTGATGGGCTGTGGAAAGAGAACATTAAGATCCACAGTGCCTTTTGATAATTGACACAGATATTCTCATCTTTCAAAAACATTTGCTGGTTTTGTTGTCATTTTTTCTATTGTTTTTAACATGACATGCATTTTGTAAACTTATGTGTGATGGGCAGATTATCTTTAAATGGCCTACCAAACTCCCAGGAATATTGCACAGGAAGAAGGAGAGGAAAAGGGACTTATAGTTGAGCACAGCTGTACTGCAGAACATGAACAAAGCAATGATTGACAATAAATCAAAAAAATTATTAGGCTGTTTTATGGAGAATTTCACATGAATCTTAAGGGTTGTACCACATTAGATTATTGTTCACAAGATTATTGTTGGGATAATAATGCATTGCAATTGGCTTTATTACCAGATGTTTCTGTTAAAAAAGTTGGAGAGCTGTCCTGTAGTCATATGCCCAAGTTATTTTTTTTTGTTTTGAGATGGAGTCTCACTCCATTCTGTCACCCAGGCTGAGTGCAGTGGTGCAATCTCGGCTCACTGCAACCTCTGCCTCCTAGGTTGAAGTGATTCTCCTGCCTCAGCCTCCTGTGTAACTGAGACTACAGGCGTGCACCACCACGCCCTGCTGAGTTTTTTTTTTTTTTTTTTTTTAAATAGAGATAGGGTTTCACCATATTGGCCAGGCTGGTCTCGAACTTCTGACCTCGTGATCTGCCTGTCATGGACTCCCAAAGTGCTGGGATTATAGGCTTGAGCCACACAGCACCCAGCCCATATGCCCAACTTCTAAGGCCCAACCCGGGATAAGTGAGACTCCTTGTCAGAAAATGATTTTTTGTGTGTTTAATTGACAAATTATAATTGTATGTATTTATGGATATATGATATTTGATATATGCATATATTATAGAATGATTAAATCAAGCTAATTAACATATCACCTCACATGCTTATTTTTGTGTTACATTTAAAATCTGCTTTTAATGATTTTGAAATATACATGACATTGTTTTTAACTATAGTCACTATGCTGTGAAATGGCTCTCAAAGAGTTATTTCTAACAAATTTTATACCTTTTGGTCAACATCTCCCCATCTGTCCCCCATCACCATCCACCCACCTCAGCTTCTGGTAACCACTATTCTACTATCTGCTTCTATTAGTTTGACTTTTTTAGATTCCACATATAAGATTCTGTAGTATTTATTATTTTATTTAGTATAATGTCTTTTGGGCTCACCCACGTTGTCACAAATGACAGAATTTCCTTTTTTTAAGTCTCAGTAGTATTCCATTGTGTATGTATACCATCATCTGTTGGACACTTTAATTGATTTCCTATCATAGCTATTGTGAACAGTGCTGCAGTGAACATGGGAGTACAGAAAACTCTTTGACATACTGATTTCAATTGCTTTGGATATATACTCAGGTGTAAGATGCTGGGACATACGTTAAGTTTTTATTTTTCTTTTTGAGGAATCTCCATAATGTTTTTCATAATGGCTGTACTGATTTACATTCCCATCAACTGCATACAGAGTTCCCTTTCTCCACATCCCCACTAACTTGTTGTCTTTCATCTTTTGGATGGTAGCCATTCAAACAGGTATGAGGTGATATCTCATTGTGGTTTTAATTTGCATTTTCCTGATGTTAAGCATTTCTTCATATACCTATTGGCCATTGGTGTTTGCTTCTGAGAAACCTCAGGCCTTTTATACATTTTTGGATATTTACCCATTATCAGATGTGTGATTTGTATATATTTCCTTCCATTGCATAGGTTGTCTCTTTACTCAGTTACTGTTTTCTTTGCTGTGTAGAAAATTTTTAGTTTGATGCAATAGTATTTGTTTATTTTCACTTTTTTTGCTTATGCTTTTCAGGTCATATCCCAAAAACTATTGCCCACACCAATACTGTGAAGCTTTTCTCCTATGTTTTCTTTTAGTAGTTTTATAGTTTCAGGTCTTATAAAAGTATTTGTTTCTGGTTGATTTTTATAGATAGTATGAGATAAGTGTTTAATTTTATTCTACTGTATGTGGATATCTAGTTTTCCCAACCCCATTAGAGACTTTTTCCCCATTGTATGTTCTTGGTGACTTTGTCAAAAATCAATTGATAGTAATGTGTAGGTTTATTTTGGGCTCTATATCCTGTTCCATTTGTTTGTGTTTCTTTTTTTATGCAAGTACCATGCTATTTTGATAATTATAACTTTGTAATATATTTTGAAATCAGGTAGTGTGAGTCTTACAGCTTTGTTCTTTTTGCTCAAGACTGATTTGGCTTCTTTGTGGTCTTCTGTGATTCCACACAAATTTTAGAATTGCTTTTTATATTTCTGAGAAAATTGTCATTGAAATTTTGATAGGGATTGTAGTAAACATTTAGATTGTTTTGAGTAGTATGGACATTTAACAATATTACTTCTTCCAATACACAAATGTGGGATACCTATTTATGTCTTCAATTTCTTGCATCAATATTTTATAGTTTTCAGAATGTAGAACTTTTATCTTCTTGGTTAAATTTATTTCTATGTATTTTATCCTTTCTTTCAAAAGATATTTTTGATATCACCCTTTAACAAAGACAAATGCTTGCTTTAGCTGCTAACTAATTCAAGAACTTTTCTCTAATTCTATTTAGAAAATTATTGTGATTAGTCTCTGGATAAAATTGCATGTTCTGATCAGGCATCTCAGTCATCTTTATAACAGCTGAATTTTAGTGTTATAGGCAGTCAGCCATTGCTCACTCTGTATTTTGTTTGTGTTAGCCAATTGTAGCTTTATTATCTGTAGAGGATAGAGCTATGTAAGCATGCTATAGACATAACTTTGACTGGCAAGGAGACTAGGTAACAAGTGCTGCGTAGCATTCCCTCTCTGAAACTTCTACAAAGGATTAGATCTTGGAAACAGAAACAGTTCCAAGAGATGGGGCCTGATCTGGTGTTCTTGGTAGGCAATGTGAAGAAATTGAAATTTTTTAAGCAAGAGAATAATATGATCTGAGCTGAACACTGCAGAAAGCAATTTGGCAATAGTGTCAAAGTTGTATTAGAAGGAAAATATAAATTATTTAAATAGACCAAGTACAAAGCAGTAAAAACCAGCAGGAGGCATCAAAAAGGCAATGAAGAGATTTAACAGACAGAGGTAGAATGCACAAGACACTGTTACTAACTGGAAGGGAAGAAATGGTAAGGGAGTAAAAACTAAGTTTTCAAGTTTCAGTGGCTGAGAAAATAGTTTTTAGACAGAGGCATTCAGGAGAAGAATGTAGTTTTTGTGGTGGAAGCATTCAAAATTGGGTTTGTACTCAACAGGGAATATACACAAATATGTCCAGAACAAAGAAAAATTAGATATAACTTATGAAAGAGAGATGAAAATCAGATTCAGAGGCACTGACTTGGTTTATATGTACAAGATGAAAAATCCCGACTGCAAAAGTTATAGTGAATCTCTTATTAGGAAACATGTTTGTATTTGGGAAAGAAACAGCAGGTGGTTATTGCAGATATCTAAAAATATTCACTTTCAAACAAATCTTTCCTACTTATTAAAACTATAAACACGATGCTTAATTTTTAAGGGTAATATTGGGATAAGAAACAAAGAAAAATATAAATGGGACTAATATGCAAGTTTTGGGAAGTTCTTAGGTTACTTTTAGTTTAAAATAACTTAGAAAAGTAAAAATAAATTACCCTCAGGTTTCACATATTGATGCCCATTATGCTTACTTATATCAGCAAATCAATTTATAGCTTTGAGTTCAAGTCTGTTGAATCAAAGTAGGAACATTCACAATGAAAATATCTACAGATATTCTTATATTTTAAATCAAGCACACATGAAGAATTGCAAAATATGTATTTTAGCATTTTCAGCCAAAAGTTCAATTTTTTTATTTTATTTTATATTATACTTTAAGTTTTAGGGTACATGTGCACAATGTGCAGGTTAGTTACATATGTATACATGTGCCATGCTGGTGTGCTGCACCCATTAACTCGTCATTTAGCATTAGGTATAACTCCCAATGCTATCCCTCCCCTCTCCCCCAACCCCATAACAGTCCCCAGAGTGTGATGTTCCCCCTTCTGTGTGCATGTGTACTCATTGTTCAATTCCCACCTATAAGTGAGAATATGCAGTGTTTGGTTTTTTGTTCTGGCGATAGTTTACTGAGAATGATGATTTCCAATTTCATCCATGTCCCTACAAAGGACATGAACTCATCATTTTTTATGGCTGCATAGTATTCTATGGTGTATATGTGCCACATTTTCTTAATCCAGTCTATCATTGTTGGACATTTGGGTTGGTTCCAAGTCTGCTACTGTGAATAGTGCCGCAATAAACATACATGTGCATGTGTCTTTATAGCAGCATGATTTATAGTCCTTTGGGTATATACCCAGTAATGGGATGGCTGGGTCAAATGGTATTTCTAGTTCTAGATCCCTGAGGAATCGCCACACTGACTTCCACAATGGTTGAACTAGTTTACAGTCCCACCAACAGTGGAAAAGTGTTCCTATTTCTCCACATCCTCTCCAGCACCTGTTGTTTCCTGACTTTTTAATGATTGCCATTCTAACTGGTGTGAGATGGTATCTCATTGTGGTTTTGATTTGCATTTCTCTGATGCCAGTGATGGTGAGCATTTTTTCATGTGTTTTTTGGCTGCATAAATGTCTTCTTTTGAGAAGTGTCTGTTCATATCCTTTGCCCACTTTTTGATGGGGTTGTTTGTTTTTTTCTTGTAAATTTGTTTGAGTTCATTGTAGATTCTGGATATTAGCCCTTTGTCAGATGAGTAGGTTGCGAAAATTTTCTCCCATTCTGTAGGTTGCCTGTTCACTCAGATGGTAGTTTCTTTTGCTGTGCAGAAGCTCTTTAGTTTAATTAGATCCCATTTGTCAATTTTGGCTTTTGTTGCCATTGCTTTTGGTGTTGTAGACATGAAGTCCTTGTCCATGCCTATGTCCTCAATGGTAATGCCTAGGTTTTCTTCTAGGGTTTTTACGGTTTTAGGTCTAACGTTTAAGTCTTTAATCCATCTTGAATTGATTTTTGTATAAGGTGTAAGGAAGGGATCCAGTTTCAGCTTTCTATATATGGCTAGCCAGTTTTCCCAGCACCATTTATTAAATAGGGAATCCTTTCCCATTGCTTGTTTCTCTCAGGTTTGTCAAGGATCAGATAGTTGTAGATATGCTGCATTATTTCTGAGGGCTCTGTTCTGTTCCATTGATCTATATCTCTGTTTTGGTACCAGTACCATGCTGTTTTATTTACTGTAGCCTTGTAGTATAGCTTGAAGTCAGGTACTGTGGTGCCTCCAGCTTTGTTCTTTTGGCTTAGGATTGACTTGGCGATGCGGGCTCTTTTTTGGTTCCATATGAACTTTAAAGAAGTTTTTTCCAATTCTGTGAAGAAAGTCATTGGTAGCTTGATGGGGACGGCATTGAATCTATAAATTACCTTGGGCAGTATGGCCATTTTCATGATATTGATTCTTCCTACCCATGAGCATGGAATGTTCTTCCATTTGTTTGTATCCTCTTTTATTTCATTGAGCAGTGGTTTGTAGTTCTCCTTGAAGAGGTCCTTCACATCCCTTGTAAGTTGGATTCCTAGGTATTTTATTCTCTTTGAAGCAATTGTGAATGTGAGTTCACTCATGATTTGGCTCTCTGTTTGTCTGTTATTGGTGTATAAGAATGCTTGTGATTTTTTTACATTGATTTTGTATCCTGAGACTTTGCTGAAGTTGCTTATCAGCTTAAGGAGATTTTGAAAAGCACTAAACATGGAAAGGAACCACCGGTACCAGCCACTGCAAAATCATGCCAAATGGTAAAGACCATTGATGTTAGGAAGAAACTGCATCAACTAACGAGCAAAATAACCAGCTAACATCATAATGACAGGATCAAATTCACACATAACAATATTACCTTTAAATGTCAATGGACTAAATGCTCCAATTAAAAGACACAGACTGGAAAACTGGATAAAGAGTCAAGACCCATCAGGGTGCTGTATTCAGGAAACCCATCTCTCGTGCAGAGACACACATAGGCTCAAAATAAAAGGATGGAGGAAGATCTACCAAGCAAATGGAAAACAAAAAAAGGCAGGGGTTGCAATCCTAGTCTCTGATAAAACAGACTTTAAACCAACAAAGATTGAAAGAGACAAAGAAGGCCATTACATAATGGTAAAGGGATCAATTCAACAAGAAGAGCTAATTATCCTAAATATATATGCACCCAATACAGGAGCACCAAGATTCATAAAGCAAGTCCTGAGTGACCTACAAAGAGACTTAGACTCCCACACAATAATAATGGGAGACTTTAACACCCTACTGTCAACATTAGACAGCTCAACGAGACAGAAAGTTAACAAGGATACCCAGGAATTGAACTCAGCTCTGCACCAAGCGGACCTAATAGACATCTACAGAACTCTCCACCCCAAATCAACAGAATATACATTTTTTTCAGCACCACACCACACCTATTCCAAAATTGAACACATAGTTGGAAGTAAAGCACTCCTCAGCAAATGTAAAAGATCAGAAATTATAACAAACTATCTCTCAGACCACAGTGCAATCAAACTAGAACTCAGGATTAAGAAACTCACTCAAAACCACTCAACTACATGGAAACTGAACAACCTGCTCCTGAGTGACTACTGGGTACATAATGAAATGAAGGCAGAAATAAAGATGTTCTTTGAAACCAATGAGAACAAAGACACAACATAACAGAATCTCTGGGACACATTCAAAGCAGTGTGTAGAGGGAAATTTATAGCACTAAATGCCCACAAGAGAAAGCAGGAAAGATCCAAAATTGACACCCTAACATCACAATTAAAAGAACTAGAAAAGCAAGAGCAAACACATTCAAAAGCTAGCAGAAGGCAAGAAATAACTAAAATCAGAGCAGAACTGAAGGAAATAGAGACACAAAAAACCCTTCAAAAATTAATGAATCCAGGAGCTGGTTTTTTGAAAGGATCAACCAAATTGATAGACTGCTAGCAAGATTAATAAAGAAGAAAAGAGAGAAGAATCAAATAGACACAATAAAAAATGATAAAGGAGATATCACCACCAATCCCACAGAAATACAAACTACCATCAGAGAATACTACAAACACCTCTATGCAAATAAACTAGAAAATCTAGAAGAAATGGATAAATTCCTCGACACATACACCCTCCCAAGACTAAACCAGGAAGAAGTGGAATCTTTGAATAGACCAATAACAGGCTCTGAAATTGTGGCAATAATCAATAGCTTACCAACCAAAAAGAGTCCAGGACCAGATGGATTCACAGCCGAATTCTACCAGAGGTACAAGGAGGAACTGGTACCATTCCTTCTGAAACTATTCCAATCAATAGAAAATGAGGGAATCCTCCCTAACTCATTTTATGAGGCCAGCAACATCCTGATACCAAAGCTGGGCAGAGACACAACCAAAAAAAGAGAATTTTAGACCAATATCCTTGATGAACATTGATGCAAAAATCATCAATAAAATACTGGCAAGCCAAATCCAGCAGCACATCAAAAAGCTTATCCACCATGATCAAGTGGACTTCATCCCTGGGATGCAAGGCTGGTTCAATATACGCAAATCAATAAATGTAATCCAGCATATAAACAGAACCAAAAAACAAAAACCACATGATTATCTCAGTAGATGCAGAAAAGGCCTTTGACAAAATTCAACAATCCTTCATGCTAAAAACTCTCAATAAATTAGGTATTGATGGGACATATCTCAAAATAATAAGAGCTATCTATGACAAACCCACAGCCAATATCATACGGAATGGGCAAAAACTGGAAGCATTTCCTTTGAAAACTGGCACAAGACAGGAATGCCCTCTCTCACCACTCCTATTCAACATAGTGTTGGAAGTTCTGGCCAGGGCGATCAGGCAGGAGAAGGAAATAAAGGGTATTCAATTAGGAAAAGAGGAAGTCAAATTGTCCCTGTTTGCAGATGACATGATTGTATATCTAGAAAACCCCATTGTCTCAGCCCAAAAAGTTCAATGTTTATAGGCCTCAGGCAAATGCTCAATGCCTTCCCAAAGTATTAGGAATACAGTCAAGAAGGAAATTCACTCTCCATTGGAGGTTACTAAATCAACACTTGTTATATGAAATTCCTCATCTATTTCTACTGCTTAGAAAATTGAAAGACTAATCTTAATGTGAAAGCTCAATATAAAAACTACGTGTTATTTATGAAGCAGAAATTATGGTAAATAGGGCAAATCAAAGAGCAGTTATCAATCATGACTTACTTTAGCAATCTAGACTAATTTAAAATACAAAAATGTTGAATAAAAATATTTTATAATTGAAGGGATAGTCCTAAGAGATTATTTATACCAAAAGATATATGACTGAATTCTGGGAAGACATAAAAGAAGCTTGAGTTATTCTATAATTGTTTATTTAAACTTTATTTTTAAAAACTTGTGGTACCATAGTAATATCATACACCAGATATCAACACACTATTTCTCATTGGTTTTGAATTTATACTTTGAAGGTAATTCAATTTAGAGAGGAACTTGGGACAAAATAGCTTCTGGTTGTGTATTTAATTGAAGAATATGAAGAAATTTCAAATTCAGGTTTAAAATTGTAATCACACAGTAGAGAATAGCAAGCTTAATACTGGATCCCCTACAAACAAGATGGCTAAATGTAAGTTGTTTAACAATTTTAAGGGCATACGAAATAATAAATGTAAAGGGCAAATAAACAAAATAGAAAATAACAAATGATAAAGCTATAATAAAGTGGTGGCATATCTTTAACTCCCAGTTTAAAATATTTTCATACTCTTCAAAACTGATTTTTAATCTAAGAGACTGACTTTATAAATACTATCTTATAAATTGTACATATGGAATTTAAATATACAAATTTTGCATTTCATTTTAAACACATAAGCCTTTCCACCTATAGGTATTTGATCAGGAGTATCCAATGACAATATTTTATGTATCTCTATTTCACATTATACCATAAACCACCAGTGCCCTTGTTACCACTGGAAACAGAACCATTATTACCTTTAAACCTAACTACATTAGAGAATCATTTCCCAAAACCCCAGAATTCTGAAAACTTACCTTTAAGATCCTGTTCTTGTAGAGCTACTCTTAGAAACAAAATCTGTATCGGTCAGGATTCTACCAGAGAAACACATATAATATATACACACAAATATGCATATACAGAGAGAGAGAGAGATTTATTTCACGGCATTGGTTTATGCAATTGTGGGGTCTGGCTTAGCAAGTCTGAAATCTGTAGAACAGAACGGCATGCTACAAGTTCTCAGGCAGGTGTTAATGTTCAAGTCCACAAGTGATGTTTCTTCTTATTCAGAGACATTTCAATTTTATTCTTAAAATCTTTCAACTGATAATATAAAGTGCACCCAGATTACCAGTGATAATATCCTTTCCTTAAAGTTAATTGGTTATAAACGTTGGCCACATCTACTCAATACATACAAAAAACACTTAAATTAGTGTTTGGTTAAATAACTCAGGCATATAGCCAAACCAAGGTGACACATAAAACAAACTATCACAGGCAGTGAAATGAACAAATTAAGAACAAATGGGACAAATAGAGAAAAAATAATATGGTAGACTGAAATCCAACCTAGTAAGAATTACATTCTATGTTTTTTACTTTTATGTTTCAGACTTTTTGTCTAAACACAAATTAAAAGATAAATATTGTCAGGCTTGATGTAAAATAAGACCAAACTATATGCTATCTATAAGAGACAGCTTTTAAAAAATTCTTTTATTGTTTACAGACAAGGCCTTACTCTGTTACCCAGACTGGTGTGCAGTGGCACAATCATAGCTCAATGCAACCTCTTGGGCTCAAGTGATCCTTCTGCCCCAGTCTCCTAAGTAGCTAGAACTACAGGTGTCTACCACCATACCTGGCTAATTTTTTGAATTGTTTTTGTAGAGATGGAGTCTCACTATGTTGCCAGACTGATATTGAACTCCTAGCCTCAAGTGATCCTCCTGTCTCGGCCTACCAAAACACTGGGATAACAGGATTTGGGATACAGGATTGCATACCTAGTCTATAAAAGACAACTTTAAGGAAAAACCAGAGATAAGTTAGAAGTCAAAGAAAAGACACCGTTTATCATGCAAATTCAGATAACAAGAAAGTTAGAGAAGTTATATTAATTTAAGATAAAATGGGCTTCAGGAGAAAGATTACCAAAGATAAAAAGGGGCATTTCATGATAAAAGTGTAAATTCATCAAGAAAACATATCGAGCCTATATATGTATGCAACTAGTAACAGAACTTAAAAATAATGACTAGAACTGGAAAGAGAAAAATGGATAGCTGCACAATTACAATAATACTTCAGAACTGATTTTGCAAAATTGATAAAACAGGTAGAGAAAAAGGATAAAAAACACTTAATAACAAACTTGACCTGATTGATAATCACAGTACAGTACACCAAAAACTACAAAATATGCATGATTTGCAGAAACAAAACAGTCTAATAAATTTACAAAAGTGGAACTGATACAAAAATATATTCTGAGACTACAATGTAATTAAATTAAAAATTCATAACTAAGATATACTAAGAAAATCCCTAAAATTGTATGTTAAACAAGCATAGTTTAAAATTACACATGTATTAAAGAATTTGCAAAGGATAATAAAAATATTTTAGTTGAATCAAAATGAAAATGCAAAATACAAAATTTCTGGGATGTAGCAAAAAGTGTTAAAAAAATGGATAGTTCAAGAAAAGTTCAAATTCAATGACCTGATCTTTCACTTTATAAAAGTAAAAAAAAAAAAGAAGAATGTTGCCAAAATGAATAGAAGAAATAAGATAGGAACCAAAAAAAAAAAAAAAGAAAGTATATCAACAATAGAAAAAAAAGTCAACAAAGAAAAAAATTCTCTAGCTAGCTTAAGAGAAAACACACATCAACAATATCTGGAATGAAAGTGGGAACATTTCATCCTATAAACCTTAAAAAATATAAAATAATATTATGAACAACCTCATTTTAATAAATTCAATGCATAAGATGAAATGTAAAAACACCCTAAAAGACAAAAATCACTGACACTATTACAAGAAAAAAATGTAAAATTCTGAAAGTAATGCATTAATTAAATAAATTAAATTTGCAATTGAAAACTTCTCCACAAAAAAACTTCATGATTAGATGTTTTTACTGGTAAGAACTACTAAACATTTAAGAAAAAAATGTTACAACAGCTATAGCAACTCTTCCAGAAAGTATAGGAAAATAATAATTTCCATTTCATTTTATAAAGCCAGAAATACCCTGCTAACAAAACTAAAAGCATTATAAATATTTAAAAAAAAGAAAAAAAGAAACAAAATGCTATAGCCTCAAATCTTTTGTAAACAGAAACACAGAAAATGTTTTAAAAATATTTGCAGATTGAATCCAGCAAATATAGAAAGGATAAAACATAATGCTCAAGTGGGTTTTGAAGATTTGAGGTTGGTTTACCATGCAAAAAAAAAAAATTCTTTTATACAATCTTGACAGAAAAAAAATAGAGAAACCATGTGATTAACTCAACAGATAATGAAATGGCATTTGAAAATATGCAACACTTATTGATAAAAATTTTCCAGCATACTAGGAATAGAAATTCTTCACCTACAAAAAGGCATCTACAGGTAACTTACAATTCACATTATACTTGCCAGGGAGACACTTCGTGCTTTTCTCAATAGGAGTGGAGTGAGTTTTCTAGTTTCTTGTTCTAGCACAAAAACACTCTTAGTTCTCTATCCAGGCAACACACATCCTTTATTTTTATAATATCCTAATTATAATGAAGGACATTTAATTATAATGGAGCATTTCCTTCATGCTAGCAGGCAATTAGAAGTAACAGAAACAGAAAACTAGAGCTGGATTCAAGAAAATCAACTCTTTTATTTTGGTGGTCATAACTTTTTGTCCTTCATGTTCTAGATATTTTCATTAGAAATATACGGAGTTTGTTCCTGTCCTTGCTGATATCCTAGGAGGATTCTGCAGAGCATTTGCATAAACCACTTTGCCTCATTCAGAAGACAAGGATTTTTACAGAGAAAACATTATTATTGTTTCCTTTATAGTACAAGCCATGTCACATGATAAGTTCTGCTTCCCAAAGGATTGTCTATTAAAAGGGGAATGAATTTCACTTGAGCAGGAACACAGGAAAGGCCTCTCAGTAAATACTGCTTTGAAATTCTGCCCTTAGTGATCATATAATTTTGCTGCATTTTCCCACTTTAAAGCTAGCATTGTAACGTTTCTTATAAACTGACACTCTTTTGCCAGTGCCAAAATTACTTTGCAGAATCAAGTCATACAATACAGTGAAATCATATCTGGTAAATAGTTTTGCGTATAACTAATTTACTTTCAATGTGACTGGTAGACACAGAGCATTTTCTATTTTCCTAGTCAAGGGTAAGAAACAGTTTTTAACATTAAGTGTGACAAGCATGTGAGAGGTTAGAAATGGCAGCAGTGGACTCTTTCCCCTCCCTGTCACTTACTGCACACTGAACTAATCTCAGCGTAAACAAAACGCACACCAAAACAAGGGACTCTGGACACAAAAATAAATGAGCTTTAAAGAGATATTTTGGGAAGAAAATGTGATTTCCACATGATTTCTAAAATCCCAAAGTGTTAATTAACATTGACATCTCAACACAAGTAGAAATCAACTTGACTGGCCGGGCGCGGTGGCTCACGCCTGTAGTCCCAGCACTTTGGGAGGCCGAGGCGGGCGGATCACGAGGTCAGGAGATCGAGACCATCCCGGCTAAAACGGTGAAACCCCGTCTCTACTAAAAATACAAAAAATTAGCCGGGCGTAGTGGCGGGCGCCTGTAGTCCCAGCTACTTGGGAGGCTGAGGCAGGAGAATGGCGTTAACCCGGGAGGCGGAGCTTGCAGTGAGCCGAGATCCCGCCACTGCAGTCCAGCCTGGGCGACAGAGCGAGACTCCGTCTCAAAAAAAAAAAAAAAAAAAAAAAAAAAAGAAATCAACTTGACTGACAACACTCAAGCCCCATTGATGTAATAGTTGCAAACGTCCAACCGATTAATATAAAGCATGTAAAATGTATGCATTGCTAAGCTTTCTCTGATTTAGTTTATATGTCATTTGGTTTAAAAGGTTGTAACACTGACAGACACAAAAATGTTATGAGAAAGGAGATGCTGTTGTTATGATTCACAGATTTCATTTTATATTTGGATTAGAAAAATAAGTGACATTCTGTTGTCAGGTGGTGAATGGTGTTCTTCCACAAACAGGAAATATTGAACAAGAAGGGGAGGGAACAGAAAAGAAAAAGACACCATGAGCATCAGTTCCACATGCTTCTGGGGAAAAAATAAACCAGTTGTTGGGCTATCTCATTTCTATCCTGTAACATAAATTTTTCACAATCAAACACATATTGATATTCACTTGCTCTCTCTGTCAATGTCCAGGGACAGAAAAGTGTTGCTCAATTAAATTCCCATTGACTTTTATTAGAAATCTAACAGATACCAGAGGTTTCTACATATCAGACAAATTAGTTTAAAAAATCTAGTAGAAATGAAAACTACAAATATTTGAAGTTCTAAGTCATGCTTCTCATACTTTAGCATGCCTGGGAATCACCTCAAGGGCTTACTAAAACAAAGACTCCTAGGGACCAGGTCTAGATTGGGCCATGAGAATGTGCATTTCTGAAAAGCTCCCATGTGATACTGATGCTGCCAGTTTGCAGATGATGCTGAGTAACACTGCTCTTGTCATCACCTGATAATATGTATGCCCGGGCAGATTAAATGAATACCTATATTAAATTCTATTACTATTAAAAAGCCAGATAGGTTCAGCCTATAAATTTTTAGCAAAGTTGTCTTTTCTTATACAGCTATCAGAGACAACTAGGAAAGCTGGAAACTATTTTTCAGGTTCACAGCCCTAATCAAGGATCTCTGTCTTTATAAAGTACTTAGATGGTAGAACAATGGGCTTCATCAGAAAGATGACCATTACAAAAAGTGAGAAAAACATCAAGTGTTACATAAAATGTTTATCTCATAGTCACCAATTTCACAGCTGCATATCTATATCTAGATTTGTTAAATTTGCCCCTTCTGACAAAACAGTGTACTGGTCTTGATTCCATTATCATAAGTGCAGAGGCTGAGAGGTGGAGTCAGGATTGTGATATAATCAAGACATCTCAAAATCTAAACTACAGCTTTTTATAATAATTTTAAAGTGATTATTCTGAAATTTCTATATGAACTTTGACATTTATCCATTTATTCATCATAGCAATCTGAGTCTAATCAGGAGCTAGAAATCCACAGTAGGCTATACAGGGGAAGTTTAATATAAATTATTATGTATAACAAAAGTGTAATTATAAGGAAACTCTATATGGTACCCTGGGGCTGAGGGAGAGTACTCAAGGAAGGACAAATCAGACCTTTTGGAAGTATGGTTCAGCCACAAGATAGCAGAGAAATTCACTGGTTTAACCAGGCCAGAGTTAGTCTGAAGTTACTGAGTGAGCAATAGCCTACTTTCCAGGATTCAGAAAATCAGCAATTGATGGCATGAGCATGCAGTGGAAGTTCTGGTACCAACAGGGACAAATGGCCTTCAGAGAGTGCAGGCCACATGAAGACTTATAGGAGTAGCACTGAGGTACATCTCCCTCTTTGCAACAGGCAGCTGTGAGCAAGTTGCATGGTACTTACAGAGAGTCTAAGTGGCGCTTGCTTGAACAGGAGACTGTCAGAGTGCACACTGTGCAGAGGCTCTGATTTCTGTGTCCAGGGCACTACAGAATGGTTATCTCCAGACTAACATCATGAGCTCCCATTTGAACCATATTTTGGGACCGACTGGGACAGTGCTTCATCTAATGTTGTAATATTCATACCCTCCCCTTCCTATACAGCATTTGTTTGTAAAGGAACACCATTCCCCACCTGACAACAAAAATGTCACTTACCTTTCCTAATCCAAATATAAATTGTAATGTGGGAATCCTAAAAATGACATCTCCTTTCCTATAACATTTTAGCGTCTGTCAATGTTATAACCTTTTAAACCTATAAACAAAATCAGGGAAAGTTTAGTGATGCATACATTTCACATGCGTATGTATATTAATATGCTGGGTACTTGGGACTGTTACTTTGAGAAAGCTTGAGTGTTGTTATTCAACTTGATTGTTGCTTATTTCATTGATTTTTCTCTATCTTAATATAGTTATTTCTTTTATTGTTACTTGGTATTGTGTACCTCATTCCACTTTTTTGGATTAAATGTACTTTTTGTTTTTTTAGTTTAAGGTGTTAGAAACTTAGATCACTGGACTCAAACTTCTAAGTACCTAAAGCATAAATTTTCTTTGAAATATTGCTTTTACTGCAACTTACAAATTTTAGTAGGTTGTGTTTTGATTTTCACACCATTTCAAATATATTCTAATTTCCTTGTAATTTTCTCTTTGACCTATGGGTTGTTTGAAAATGTTACGCGAAGTTCTGAAATATTTGAGCTTTTCAGATATATTTTAATTGATTTCTAATTTAATATTTTTATTTTCAGAGAACACTCTGAATAATTTCAATTCCTTTAAATTAATTGAGACTTTTACAGCCAAGCATATGGTCTATCTTTGTAATGTTCCATTTGCATTTGAAGGTAATATGCATTCTGTAATAACTGGGTGTACTGGTCTATAAATGTTAATTAGGTTACATTAGTTGAAAATGTCCTTCAAGTATTCTACTTCCCAGTTTTGTGGTTTTTACTTGTTTTGTTACTGACAGAAGAGTATTAAAATCACCAACTTTAATTGTGAATTTATCTATTTCTCCTTTCTGGTTTATAAGTGTTTGCTTTAAGTGTTTTACAGTTTTTTTTTTTGTGAATACATATTTAGGCTATTATGTTCCTGATTAATTTGCTTTTTTATCATTGGGAAATGTCATCTTTATCTTTGGTAATATTCCTTGCACTAAAATTAATTTTGTCTCATATGAATATAAGCATTTAAGCTTTCTTATTAGAGTTTGTACATTATATCATTTTCCATCCCTTTAGTTTTAAATCATCTATCTTTATAATTAAAATATGTTTTCTGTAGAGAGTATATAGTCTGGCATTGCTTTGTTTTATACATCATTTTTGTGGATTACTACCTTATAATTGGTATATCTAATTCATATACATTTAACGTAATTATTGATATAGTTGAATTTAAGTCTTTGTCATTGATTTTCTATTTTTCTCATAGAATATTTTCTTTTATAATTTAAATTAATTGAATATTTGGAATATTAAATAATATATTCTCTTCGGCTTTCTTTTCATTATTTATTTTTTTACAAGGTGATCCATTGGGCAAATAGGCATCTAACTTATCACAGTCCCTGGACGCATCCATTTTGCAATGATTGTCATAAATTTTACTTCTCTGTATGTTAGAAAGCCCTTTTTTTTTTTTTTTGCATTCACCAACATGTTTACCATTTGTATAGATCTTCTGTGTAGATCCATCTACTTTATCTTAACTCCTTTGTCATGGCCTGAATTATCTTTGGAATTTCCTGAGTTAATTAAAAGGCCTCTCTTCTGACTGGCTAGACTTGAGGGGCTCTCAGCCTTGTTCCAAGTCTGATAATTATTTAGTTTGTAGGATCCCTCATGGTGGTTCTTTCTCATTTCTGTTTCTTTGTATGGGCCTGTAAAATCTTATCCTTTCCGTGTATAACTTAGTACTCAGTAAAAAACTCAAGGAGATCCCTATGCAGATTTCTGGAGTTATTTTTCTCCATAGTTTAAACAAAAACTGAAGCTGAACTCTACCTACCACTACCAAAAAAAAAAAAAAAAAAAAGGCTAGGCTAACTATTTAAATTTAGTTAATCCACACTTAATTTGTTTACTCTTTCTTCAGCATCTTTTCTATCAAATAAATCAGGAGTATGAGTAAGGGGGCCACGGCAGTAAACCAGGTGATGGACAACAGTCTTGTAGTAGGTGATAGTGATGGAGACGAGAAGTGGTTGAATTTGGACTATTATTTAAAGGTATTACAAAATTTGTTTAGAGAGGAAACATGAATTATTACAGATCATGAAGAGTCAAAACAGACTCTAGGCTTTCTTGGCCTGATTAATTGGTAGATTCACGGTATCATCTATGAGGGAAAGCATCATGGGAGAAGCAGGTTTGAAAAGTGGAAGACATGAATATGATTTTGGAGGACATAAGTTTAGTGAACCAATGAAGAGTAGAAGCTGGAAGTATAAGAAACACAGCAGGAGCAATATCCAGGAATAGTAAGTGGCAAGAAGGTGGAGGGAATAAACTTAGACAATCATTTAATAGGTAAGAAAAGAGAGTGTGGAGATACAGAAACAATAAGTTGATAAATTTGATGCAGAAGTTTGTGTAAGTTTTCTTATGATCACTACTATTTTACTAACGTCAGGAAGGAAGAGGAGGTGATTTTAAAGTCGATTAGGGGTTTTCCAGGAATTCCAGGTGAAAGAAGATAATTCTGGCTAAAGACATGGCCCACAAATGCCCTAAGTATGAAATATTATCACTTGCTGGATTTACAAAGGCATGCTCTAACGTAAAGGCAATGTTGACTTAGTTAGATATTCTTAAATTCTCTAAAGATCTAAATTGACTTTAAAGTAACTTTGAAACAAAAATTTTTAAAGATTAAAATTGATGTATCTTTTTAGCTATTCTTATGATAGGTAAGTTTTGTTTTTATAGAAAATGTAAATAATGCAAACTGAGCTTCCTTATAATTACTAATCAGAATACAGAGTCATCCTGTAGAGAAACACTTTGGGATTTCAGGAAATTAACCGATTTATAAACTTTGGAAAATTTATAAAGGTGGAAATGTCTTTTATTCCTTAATAGGTTGCTAGAGAATAAAACAGGAGTCTAAAAATTCTCCAAACACCCTCCTGTACAATTTCTGAAGGTGAATTCATGACCTAAGGAAAATGGGAGAAGAATACAAATGTTGCCCTGTCAGTAATGAAATTAAAACAGATGAAACAAAGACTGTCTCCTGACTCTTTTTTATTCGGGTAAGAAGGTTAACATGAAGATCCAGGCCAAGATGAAAGATAATGAACAATCATAATTAGAAATCTATTTGATATATTTTCTTTACTTTGATTCTGTTTAAAAGGAATAATGATTCATAATATATTCAGAGACTGGGTTTTTGCTGCTAGCTTATGATTCCATAAGGAATTAACTTATGATGGCAGCATAGCCTACAGAGCTGCTGGTACCCTATTTGCTGGTTTCTTTGAGATTTTGCTTTTTTCTTCCTTATTTTTTAAATAAAATAAAAGTGTACATGCTCAAGGATTTTTAAATTACATATAACCTTCAGATTTTCATTTCAGCATTTGTATTTATGAAATAATTGTTTTATGTGTGTGGTGAGTTACACAAAGATAAGTGAAATTAAACAGAGTACATTTTTGTGAAAGCATATGTTTGGGGACTGGGAAGTCAACAAGCTCCCTGAAGTGAACAAAGCCTCCAGGATAACATGGAATGGGTATTTCCCACATTACAACCAATGGAGCAGGGAATGGAAGCAGTTTGCTCAGAAATCAGTTGTAAAGAATAATTATTTCACAACGAGCTACTCTCCATGTCTCAGACATACTTAACAAAACTAAAGAGTATCCAACCCACGCCTAACCTCAATAATATGAAAATAATTATCCATATATACAGAGAATATGATTAAACCTATCCAGATAACTCAAATTAATAGCACATTTCCAGAAACAGGTTGCTGTGGTCTAAATGTGTCCCCCCGGCCAACTCCAAATTCATAAGTTGAAATCTCATCACTAATGTGAAGGTACTAGGAGGTGAGGTCTTTTGTTACAGCAGCACAAACTAAGACACAAATTTGTCTAGATAATCACTTAAATTCTTCACTTCTTTGACATGATTGAAACTGGATTCATAAGATTATACTGGAAAGCAGTGTGCAATAAATTATCTGGGCAATATCAGTAATAACCCAAATTCTTTACAAGGTTGCCCTGAAGACTCCCATAGCCATCCCCCATGCTCCTGTCATCCAGTTTTCTAATATTGTAAGAAGTTCAGAAATAGACTTTTATTCCCAGCTTCCAAAAGTTCTCTATGCCTTTCAAAAAAGATTTTTTAAAACAATAGTTATCCAATAGCCATTGTTGAAAAATCAGTCAATTTATAATAAACCTTGTCTACATTTATCAGATTTAATTTTTTTCCCAGTTACTAGAAAAAGCAGTGATTTTTCCCCCTAACAATCACCACCTCTATGGCATTTGGTCCCAACATGTACCTCCAAATGAACTTTTTCCCAGAATTCTTTTAAGTCATGCTATGATGAGTGATATCTGTAATTAAATCTTATCTTATTCAAACAGTTATCAAAGTCTTTCTCTTAATTTGTATAATATAATTTGTATTTATATGTTATCTATGATTCTATGCTTTCTTAAAATATTAACATATTGACAGATTATTTCAGGTAATAAAATCATAATTTCTTCTTAGAAGTGTAACTGTTTCCCAGCAGAATCTGACTTCTCAATCATATTGGTATTTAGTAACATAGAGCCTTTTTATATAAAATTGACTTTTTATTTTCACTCTGTTCACTTTGCATTTCCAAGTAATTCTAAATGTCCACCCTGCAGGGCTGATTCTGGCCAGGATCCATGGTCTTGACTTTTCCTAAATCAAATATAAGTCTGTATCTATCAAAAGCTGGGAAAATCAAAGGGAAAAGGGACAACAAAAATGAATCCTTAAGGATGTGGTGAATTCTGTAAACCCATTTCTTAGAGTCAAAACCAAAACTTTGGCTTTTGGTTAATAATTATGTTGGAGGAGAAATTTCTGGAGCTTACGCAGTGAGATGATTAGGTTGAGAAGCTGAGGATATTGTAATGGCTATCCAAAATTTGTCTGTGATACAAACAAAACTAATTTTTCTCTGCCTGAACATCTTTCCATTTCTAGTAACCCTCACAATATGTACCAGGCCAATCAAAATACATTCTCTTGTCCAATTGATTCTTAAAAAGAAAACTTATTTATTGGAAAATTAGATTAGAAAATGTCTCTGCATCGCATGTAACTTTCCCTACCTCCTCAGTAAAAAAATAACTGATTTCCTATTAATGGAACTCCATAGGCTTATGGGTCCCACTGATGTAGATAATGAAAATAGCTAATACAAAAAAAATCTTAAAATTAGCCTTGATGCCTGAACATCACTGAGTCCTCAAATTTATTTTCTGAGGAAGCCTCCTGAATTAGGAGAGATTAGGCTTGGTAGTGCTAAAAAAATTATTCTGATACTTGTTAAACTGATAAGGAAGACTTTATTCAAGACTATTGCAATAGGTATCAAGATGATCACAATAGAGAAAATAAATAGAAAAGATAGCTGAGGATCTATAACCAACTAGCGGAGAAAGGGGGATCAATAGATGGAAAATTATTGAGACATTAAGGGTAGAAGAATTCTTTCTAAACTGACTTAAGAGTCTTGCTTAAGACAGGTCAAGGATTTATACATCAAAGGTGGGAGATGAAGAACTTGAACATTTATAGAGGATTATCAGATATCAAAAGTTGAGGGGAGTCTCACTAAACTGACTTAGCAGGATTCTTGCCCAGAAAGAACAGGACAGAAAGGAAGGCCAAGGATGAGACCTACTCAAGAAGAGGACTCGGAGGAACCTAAAGTTGGTCAAGAAGAGAGTCTGTCAATAATATGTTTTAGGGTCCAAAATGACAATACTTCAACAAAATATAGATTCATTTTCCTTTAATCTCAGCCTGGGGCTAAAATAAAGCTTCGTCACTTAAGGAAAACAGGCTGTTTTTAGCGTGTGGCTCTCTCATCCTGAAGACATGGCTTACAATTCATGGTTCAAAATGGCTGCTTGACTTCTAGCAAAGAGGATACACATTCCAGCCAGAAGAAAGAAGAAAAAAGTGAAGAAGTCTACTCTTATTCCATAAGCTTATTTCCTGGAATTCACACATACTTTATCCCCTTATAGTCTCATAATCAGACTATAGCCCAATAAACATTTTCATCTTCAAAAGATGCTAGGGAATATAGAATTTATTTTGACTAGCTGTATCGCCAGCTAAAAGAGATGAGGAATTCTACTATTAAGAAATAGAGGGTGAATATATATTTGGGAAAAGAGTTAATGGATATTTGGAGACAACTAGCTGCTTCTGTTACAAAATCAAAAACAGTGGTAGAGAAAGTGCCTTCAGAACAAGCAAAAGACACCCTCACTAACAGTTCTTTTTCATAAACTCAACAAGAGCTTTATGCATCAAATATTTGCCTTTTTTTTCTGAAAACCTGGAGCAAAGAATATCAACTGAGATGAGAACGGAAGATTCAGTGGTTTACCAAGATAAACTCCACTTCTGTCATCAACAAAGATAAAAGTTTCCTGTTACTGGCTTCGATTTCACTTTAAAATCATGATAAGTGCTTTGATACAATGTCTTCTGTTGCCCCAATAATATTATTTTGTAGAAAATACAAGATGCAGGCACAAGAACAGACTTAAAAATACATTGAATTGAGGGAGGGGAGTATCATCTATTATAAAAAGTCTATCTCATAACTTTTCTTATAATTTCAATGATCTATGCTACTTAACAAAACACTCTGCAAACCTAATGACTTAAATAATAGCCACTACCCTTATTTGATCATTACACATTGCATACCGGTATTAAAATATTACATATAACCCCAAATAAGTACAACTATTATTTATGAATTAAAACCAAACAATAGCCATATTATTTGCCCATGATTCTTTGGTTAATGAAATCAGGCAGGACTCAGCAGTCTTGATTCATCTCTGTTCCATTTGGTTCTGGCTAATGTGGCTATCCTGGGGCAGGAGGATTCAACTTGACCTCACTCCCCTATCAGCCTGCAACTCTGGGGCTGGTTGCGAACTGGGACACCCAAGCTCTCCTCTATCTACATAGTTTCTCTCTCATGTTTTGTCATCTTCTAGGTTCTCTGTATGTACATTTCAGAAGGATAACCCAAACTTCTTCATATAGAAAGCATCTGTGAAGAAAGTGCATATGAAGATGAAAGAATTCTTGACGCATTAAACCAGAATTCAAACAGTATTCTTGCACCATATCTAACTGGTCAAAGCAAACTACTAGGCCAGCCTAGATTTACGGGACAGGAAATAGATTCCACCTCTTGCTGGGAAGAATGGCATATACATGTAAGGTTGGATGCAATTGGTAGTGGGCATTTTTTGCAGATAGTCAGACTTGTAGCCACAATAGTTTATAACCTTATCCCCAGTCAGAATACACTGACTACCTCCTAAAGCGACAAAGTCTCACCCAATTAGTCAGACTTGAGGTCCAGTATCTTGTGATCTACATCAAGTCTGGATGTGACTATGGCTTATCTTGATCTGATAACCTAAAAATAAAAGTTTATTTCTCTTCTCCTGACCCACACAAAGAACATGCAAAGGGCAGTGCAGCTCATCTCTACTGCACATATAAGTGGCTTGAATGGTTCTACCATTGTTGGATTATTCAATATGGCCTCACCTACTTATCTGGGGGACTTGGTGCTAGTTTTGTATTAGGGTATCTTGGTTCTTCTCCTGGTGCCTTTCTCCATCCTGTGATCTCTCACCCTCTAGGGCTTTTCTTTCTCCACATAGCCACATAGGAAGAAGATCCTAGACTTCTTTATAAAAATGCTGGTTTCCAAAAAATAAAATAGAAAACTTACATGAAGCCAAAAAGTCATACGATATCACTTTCACCACATTCTTTCTGTCAAATCAAGTAAAGTCCAGCCCAGACTCAAGAACAGAGGGAGATAAATGCCTCTGCTTGATGGGAGGAACACTGTCAATATATAGAAATGAAAAGAATTGTCAGCAGCCATCTTTGCAGACAACCCACCAAGTTAATCTTCAGGCCTTCATGTTCACTCAAAAAACTCTATATTTTTTTCACTTTTGCCTAAAAGAAGACTTGGGGGGCCTTTTCATCATTTCCTCTTACACATTTTTGACACAACCCAGAACCTCTTTATATACTCTATGTTTGATCAGCACCATATCATTGGGGTTTTTTTTTTTTGCCCCATCCCATATTGATTTACCTATCAAAGAATATTTCAAGACATGTATGCACAATGATTAATATTTTAATATCAAATTCCTGTATAAGAATACTCATTAATGTAAGGTACTAAGACAAAACATGATAGAATAAATAGTGAGGTATATGTAAAAGGAGAGAGCTTCTGAAAATTATTTGCATCCCATTATAGCAGTTTAGGATTATATCTTCCTTAGAGAAATATAGTAGAATACCAAATTACTCAACTTATAGGAATTTCAAACCCATATTTTAATAACTTACTGTAATAGAACATAATAAGGGCATTAAATTGCATTATTGGAACTAAAAAAAGTTATGATGTAAACTTAAGCTACCTTAGTCAGAGTCATGTCCACAGGCCAAGAAGAAAGATTTCCTCTGAATTTTGTTCTGTTCAGAGTACATATGTAATATTTTGCCAAGTCCTAGGATTATATTCAAAAAAGAACACGGATAATGACAAGATGGTCACTGAGGTAATCTTAAAAGAATGTGTTATGATTTTTGCATTTGAATTTATATTACAGAAGAATGAGAAATAAGGTAGTTATATTCTTACTTATAGGCTTATGTAAATAGTAATACTGTGTGTCGTTTCAGAAAGTTAGTGAAAATCAGTGGTAGAAATTTCAAATCAGTATATTGCCTCTCAAATTAAGGAAGCTTTAGACCACCAGAGGCACAAAACAGATTAGACTTCAGGTAATAATTTAATAGTCACAAAAGCTATATTTCTAGTTTGAAAACTGGCATGGCATAGAAATACGTACATATATATGTATGTATACATTATATGTATGTAATACATACATATTATACATATGTATAAATTTGTATGTATGAAATAGTGAATACCCACCTAAAAGGGCAAGATGGGAAAAGAATTCCTCAATGAGCAGTAGGAATGAATAAAAATAATGAGTAAAAATAATGAAAATAATCTCTAAATTATTTCCTAACTTTGTAATCCTATGATTTGCAAAGGAGACAGAGTCTCCTTGTATCCCATCTAAAAATGTTAATCAGTGAAAGAAACAAAAAGGTCATGTTATAAAACCGTCTAATATTCTGCCAGTCTGTGCCTTTGAGGAAATTATAGCACACCACCAGCACAACAGCCATGAAAGGAATGTTGGAATAGTAATGACGTTTTCTTCATACTATCTATCATTTCAATTCTTCTCATGATTTTTTTTCTTTAGATGTGTTTATAATAAGGTGTATGCCTTTTAAAATTTTTATTCCATTTTCATGCTTATTAAAACTCATGTGCTACCAGCCAATGACCATATCTACTTTTCTCTATATTAAGCTAAGTAAAAACCAAATAAATGTTAACTCAAGATTATTTAAGATTATTTTATCTTAGATGATTATTTCAGTTTTTCTATAATGTCATGCATTAAAACTAATATTTCAAGCCTGGATAATTCAATATAAGAAGATGCTTATTATCAATGTATAAACACATATACATTCTCTTTCACACATTATATACATACCGTAATTTCACAGATATGTGATTTCACAGAAGAAATGGATCCTATCTTTCTCCAATCTCTAACATTGAAGATATTAATTTAATAGCAAAAGTGAAATTAACCATACAATATCTCAGAAAAAAAGAGACCCATTAAAGCTCATGAAAGTTTTATTCTGAAATAATTTTTGGAACTACAGGAGTCTGGATTAAAATAAATAAGCATTTGAGAAGTGCCAGCTTCATCTTTCAGATGCACAGTTTTACTTTTGTTGTGGTACATTGTACTTAGGTAGAGATAACTGAGAAATTTTACTTTTATGGGTCAATATTAGAATTCTTGTCCATCATACATGTAGGCATACATAATACTGCTCCTTGGATGCAGAAGATAATAATAATCAATATTTACTCTTATACCTACTATCAATATTTCAAACTGAAATTTCTTGGAGTTAATGTAGGGAAGTTTCTCTTTTCTCCCCTGTGAAAGGATAGCATTTGTAAATACACTTGACAGATCATTGGCAGTGTACCACCTATAAAACTGTCTTTATAGAAGTTATGTTTGCTTTACCAACCAACAATTTATTATTCTTGTCAATAAATTTCCATTAAAATATTTTCCTGAAGTTGAAATTTTCAAAGCAGAATAAAGACTGTTTTATTGACCCATTCATTTATACTATTAAAACTGGTATCTTGACTGGCATGAATCAAATAATCATTTATCGAGTAGAAGAAGCATAAATAGGACATTGCATAATATATATGAAACACTTTAAAAATAAATCAGTGAATTTAAACCTCATTTAAACTATAAATTAGAGCACTCATCATCAAAAATCAGAAAAAGGGGTTATTAAGTAATTTTAGTGTAAGGTTAAAAGCACAGCCTCTGAATATGAGATAAAATAGCTCTGCTTCTTAAAAATTATATAACCCTGGGAAAGTTCATTTCTTTCAGCCTTAGTTGCTTGAAATGTCAATATGAAAGCCAATACTAAACTCTTAGGTCATTATGTGCATTAAATTAGATAATATACATATGTTGCTAAACTCAAAACATGGCAAACAATAAGCTCTCAATACATGGCAACCATTAGTAGTAGCAATTCAAAATTGCACTATTCTCATAACAAGCAAGTAAAATTATCCAGCTAGTTATAAATAGAAAATGAATTGAAATATTGCTAATTTAGGCTAGTTCTCCTGAGATAGTCCATTTTTGCCTAGGTTATCTAAACACAGCATCCATATTTCACTTTACAGTCCTAGCTAATGGCATAATTTTAATAAGCTGTTTCAAATGCACTTACTCAGCTCCACTCCTGAATTCACAGGACAGAGGTCAGTTACAAGGTTATGGTGAGAAACTACCCATGGATTTCAGCTGGATTACCATAATTTGCCTTCATCTCTACAAAAAAAAGTAAAGTACGGATTTTTACCTCCTTCCTTCCTACAGAGAAAATATTGTATCACCCTAAGGAGCCAAAAGAAAAATAAATGTCCTTTTGTCTTTTCTTATTAGCAACTTTAATTTCAGGGTTAAAGAAAGATTGGTTGGGCAAAAAAGACACTCTAAGTAAAATGATTTTAGAAGATATTGAATAAAAAGTATATTTTCCACAAAATATTTAATGACATCATACATAAATCATCACACTAAAACCCAAATTGTAAATCAACTCAGGGGAAGTTACAAAGGTTAGAGCTTAGACAAGTAATAAATGAGGAGAGTATCTTCATTACCTTAAGGGGAGGTGTTGTATCACGACGAAGGTTTTCTGCAGATCTGATTTATTAGTGCTTTCAAGCAAAAATGTACTAAGAATCTTGTTCATAAAATTCTCCAGCTGTTAATTCATGCTGTTCTATTTGCATGGATGCTGTGTGTGTATATTTGATTCCTGACCACAGATTTTCCATTAAAAGTAACATGCAATCTTTTTCCTAAGTAGCAGAGAATCACAGTGATATGGTTTGGCTGTGTCCTCACCTAAATCTCATCTTGAATTGTAGTTTTCATAGTCCCCACATGTGGTGGACGGGAACCAGTGGGAGGTAACTGAATCATGGGGGCAGTTCCCCCCATGCTATTCTCATGATAGTAAGTTCTCACGAGATCTGATGGTTTTATAAGTGGCTTCTCCTTTCACTCGGCTCTTACTCTTCTCCTTCCTGCCACCATGTAAAGAAGTATGTGTTTGCTTCCCCTTCCACCATGACTGTAAGTTTCCTGAGGCCTCCCCAGCCGTATGGAACTGTCAGTCAATCAAACATCTTTCCCTTATAATTTACCCAGTCTTGGGCAGTTCTTTATAGCAGCATGAGAATGGACTAAAAACATAGGAATTTTACACATCATTGTTCTCCGTTTTAACTCTGTTCAAGAGGGTTACTCAATATCTGTATTTCAAATTCTGTAAGTACTGTGGTGTGCAGCTGCATTTCACATCAAAATGAAAGAAGCCACCATCTCTCCTTGTCACCCAAGCTCAAAATGTTAGAATTATTTTTTATTCTCTTGCAACCCCAACCCCATTTAGCTATTTGTCCAGTCTTGTCAATCTCACCTCCAACACATCTCTCATGTTGACCCTCTCTTTTCCAGGCTGTCTGAAAAAATAAGAATGCAGATCACATGACCTTTTGCCTGTTATTACCATGGTGTCCTAAGTGGTTTTTCTAACATCCAGCTTCCCCTTATCTAGCACATTCTTTTTACAAAGTTTAGTCTTCCTAAAATACCTCACTGATCACACCACTTATCTGATCCAAAGTTTTTATAGGTTCCCTGTGGCGGAAAAGAGCTTATTATAGATTCAACACGTAGTCGGAGCTCAGAGAAATTAGGAATCTATAAGCCTCACATTATTTAATTCATACAATAATTCTGTGTCAGGAAAATACAAATGTTAACATATGTATTATTACTTAAGGTTGTAAACTGGATGTTTATGGAGGTGATAATTAACTTGCTATGACATCACTGAACTAGAGCTAATTAGTTCACCCTCCGTCAAAGGACTTTGGATACTCTTTTGAACACAGGTGAGGCAGAGTTGTGAAAAAAAGTGCTTAAAGGTAAAATGAACATATTTCAATAGATTAATATCAAATCAAAAAGCAGAACTTTCATTTGCCAACACAGCTCTTATGACACATCTCAAATCTAAACCATTTCCTAAATGCTCTCCTCTCATTCTTTTCAAACAGTATCATGATACCTTTGTACTTTCCTCTCCCAGATGTAAATTTTAAGGGAAACACAGAATTTTAAACTAACCCTATATATAGAAGAGAAAGCAGGGAAGGTCCACATATGTTAAGTTTGAGATTTTGGTTTCTGGTTTGACTTCTGGTTTTGCTTGCATATTTTTCTTCTGTTTTGCTTTTCAGTGAAATTTCTACTGCTATTAGATAGGTTATTTAAAATGTTATTATGCAGAATTAGAAGAAAATAAGAGAATGAAGGGAATAAAAAAACAAGAGACTGCTTGTGTAGGCACATGCCTAGACTGCTTGTGTAGGCTAATGTCTAGGAAAGGAAATGACTCAAGAAATTTGGATAAACTAGAAATGTAACAAAAGTAGATGTGACAATCTAGTTTAGTGGAATATGTTGCCTGAGGTCTCCTTTGGACTGTTCTTCTGGAACTATCAACAAAGATGCCTTCTCTTCTTTCTGGAATTATACATTATAAAGCCAATGTAAGCTTGAGCTGCATGCAGCTATTTTCCCTGATGGCACAGACCTAGCCCTCTTAAATTGGAGAAGATGAGACCATGCAGAGAAAATGAGGCCAGGGATGGAGGGAAAACCCCCAAAACATAAGATTTTTCAGTCAACTATGTGGACCAGTTTATCCCATTGACTTTTCAGTGTAATGAACTAAAAGTAGTTCAGTGTAATGAACTATTCTTTTACTTTTAAACTTAACCTGTTTTAAATTATTTTTCCGGATCCTGTAGTTGAAATAATTCTAATTAACACTGAAATAAAAAGACACTTGGGTGTTTATTACAATGGGTGTGTGTATGAATTGAGTAAATCAAAGAGAAATGAATTATTTTGAATATATTTTTCATTGCTGGACTATGTTCCATTAATAACAGCACTGCTCTGGGAATAGACCTTGCAGATTAATGTTTTAGTAAAGTTAGAAATTAGATATAGTCTAATTGTTAAAGCATAAAACTTTTATTTAACAAGAGTTGGGGTTGATTTCTGGCTCTCATTTATTTGTCCCATGGTGTCATGAAACTCCCTGAACTCTCCAAGGCACAGATCTCTAAAATATCAGATAAGTCCAGGAAGTTGCACTAGACAATGGCCAATATTTTATTGAAAAAGCCGCTCAATTATTATTTTTTTGCCTATTTCAAAGCATTTTTTTCTAACAAAATGTTAAAGAAATTTTGCCTTATTAGCCTATGAGGAGTTACTAACATGGGAGCGCTAACCATCTTTGAACTTTGTAACTCCTGTTTTATTATCCTGAAGTTCTCCCTACTTCTGAAACTAAGAAAAGCAAGGTTGGTTCTGTTCTCCATAATGGCCTCTGAAAATGCAAAGTTTCCCCATGACTATAAGTATTTGCTTTTCTGAGATCTCTAGATTAGTTGATGCTTGTAGCACTGATAATTCCTCATTCCTGGAAAATTTGGCTTTACCATTTCTACACCCATAACAAAAAGTATTAATTGTTTAGTGTAACAGTCTTCTGTGACTGGTCCCAACCTATCTTGCCAATCTCATGTATCACTGCTCTCCCTACTTTACATAAACTTGTGTAATCTCTGTTCACAGCACAAATCCCGGGCTGTCCCGATTGTCAGTTTTCATGATGTTCCGTCATTCAGAATATCCATTTATTCACATCTGTACACATAAGAGACTGGTCACTGGAATTTGACCTCCTAGTTAAAAATCCTGATGCTGTTATTATTTTTTCGTAATTTAACCTCTCTGTATCTCAGTTTACTCATTTGTACATGAGAATAATAATAGTCCTTCTTCAGAGGGTCCTTAGAATTGAGATAGATAATAAATTGCTGGCACCTAATTAACACTCGTTGTTAGCCATCATCATCATCATCGCTGTTATTATTCTCCAAGGCCTAGCACAATGTCTCACTTAAAAATTTTGCCTTTTTAAATGGAAAGAAAAAAAGCTTTTGTCTAAGAATCCTCATAGTTCTATCGTTCTTAGGCAGGGAAATCTTATTTGAAAAGATGGGTAAGAGGTATAAATTCAAAGATCTTTCAGCAAAGTAGCTCTCCACTCCTGTCACCCCTTTCTAAAGTAGAATATAACCTGTATAATAATTACAATAAATATATTTGACTTTCCCTTGTTTTTCTACTAGTTCAAACCATGGTGATCATAATCTTGGCTGCCCTTTGGACTCACATGCTGCCACTCAAATCTGTTAGTCTCAGGTGTTTTTATTTGTTGTTTTCATGTATCTTTTTTGTGGTCTGATGATTATTAATCTCATCTTTATGGCACAAAGAAAATTGAAAGAGAAGACTACAATCCAGTATTTTTAGTTCTCAACCAGATGCCTACCACTGCTATAAGTTGAGGGAGACATGGAAAGGAGTTATTCTATCTAAGAACTCCAAACATCAGGGTAGTGTCCAGGTGAACCAGAGTGAATCACAGAAAGCTCTGGTTGAGTTAGTGGCAGAAATTTTCTATTACCAAGGAATGCCATTCTTTTGTATCTCTTGTATACAAGTTAAGGGTTTTTCATAAACTCCTCATTTAAAAACCCTGTCCTAGGCCCTTAGCTGATCATGGCCCTCTAGATGCCATACTTCAAATGGCAAAGAAAAAGAGAAGATGAGTCCCAAGACCTAGGATTAGCCAAGCTTAAGGGAGGCACAGCTAGGCATTTCCAGGTGGGGTTAACCATCCCAAGCAGAACCTGGGTAGTTGTTTCCATAGCAACCAGCTGTGAGAAGCCAGAGCAATCTGAAACCTGTGAATTCCCAAACACTACATCTAAATGTTCATGCTGCGAAGACTTCATGGCTTCTATTCTCTTAAAATGAATCACTCTTTCATTTGATAAAAATTTATTAAAGGCAGAGTTACCATGCTAATAGGAGATAAAATAGTGAACAAAATAGACATGATGATATACATACTCACAGGGCATATATTTCAGGAAGGAGTTAGACAAGGAAGCTAGAATTTACTTTCAGAAGAGTGAATAGGGCTTTGACAAAGGTACATACAATGCGGTACAAATTGAGGACAGAAGGGGGTCAAATAGCAGAAGCAACCAACCACGCCAAGGAGGTTTAAGCAAAGCATTCTGGAGGAAATGCCATCTAAGTTGAAATCTACTGAGCACATAAATATTAACGCAGTTAACCTTGAAGGAAGAGTAAATTATGACATAGAACAGGGATAATATGATCAAAGATGCTCATATCCCTAAACATTCTACTTGTCACAAAATGGCCCTTTAGCCTTTCCCCACATTTTACAGTTTTACTAATCTCTGAAGCATTTATAATAAGAAACAGAGTAGGGATTAACATTTTTGCCTGAAGTACAATAGAACTTTGGAGTTAAATTAGCTGATATAATTTTACAAGCCATATCATAGATTTTTAGGTCAAAGACTAAACCCACTCACCAACATTTCAAGAAGAAATAAATGAAGAAAAAATGTTTGCCAATAGGATAGTGGATTCATATGTGTTTGAACAGGACTGTTAATAAACTGTAGATGTTCTCTCATTTGATAAGAGCTTGTGGCTCTGTGTAGTAGAGCTGTGACTCTACTATAAGTTACCTAGTTCAACCCAATGAGTCAGAAAGGCTGGTAAATACTGGATAGTCAGGGATAGTGATGACCTTCATTTTTCTTACCTGATATGACCATAATGGGATTTCCACTATAGTAAGCTCCTTGGCTTGTTTTCAACATATAACACACCCCCTGCCAAAAGATACACACACACACATACCTACAAACACACACAAAATTCTCATAGTAGAAGAAATAACAAATGACTCTGTCGTGGTGAGTTGAGAAAAACAGCTATGTTCAGCCCAGTCAATTTTTCACTCCTTAAGGAGAGTACATTCTAGTCTTCTTGGGACCATGTGGCAATTTCCCTGCCCCTATGAACCATGACTGAGGTGGCCTAGCTGTCTCCATGATGCAGCCCAGGAAATAGGGGGAAGGAACTATCAACAAAGGGATACAGAGAAGGGAACAGGGGTATGCACTTTTCTTGGGAGCTCAAACAGGTTATGAACAACTGACCTAGAAACCACTGCAGATTTATTCTGTGGCAGTCTTGTAAACCTTACAAATGCTAGCAAAAGATGAGTTACAGAAGGAAATTTGTGAATAGCTTAAATTTTGAAACTTTAAACAGAAAAACCTTGGGAAAATTTCTGGAGCATCAGATGCTTTCTAAATTTAGAGGTTGTTTCTAGTCGTCCTTAGCAGAATAAATTTCCATTCATTTTTACAATAAATATCTATTTTAATATTTATTATTTTTCCTTTTGTGTTTCTATCGTCTGCCAGATATTGTCTTAGGTATTGGAGATAAAGCAATAAACAGATAAAAATCTTCATACATGTATGTGTAGGCATAGATAAGTGTGTACACATAGTGTTAGTGATGAGTGCTAAAGAGACAAAAATAATATGGAGAAGGGGATTATAAAGTGCTGGAGATGGGGTGTGTTACTGGGAATGTGGATCTACAGTTCTTGTCTTCTTGGTGAAAAGAATTAAAGCAAGAGAAACACAGCAATAAAGATATCAGTGCAAGGCAGTTTATTGAAAAAGCAAAAGTACACTCTGAAAGCCAAGTCAGAACAGGACATTTGAAGATGAGATGATAGTGACTGACACTGGGGAAAATTCCCTTTATGGGAGTCTTACATGATTATTCACCAAGTGGGAGAAAGAGGTGTTACTAATAAGCATGTTCTGGGTGGTCCTCTGGGTGCACATGTGCTGTAGCTGTACATGGCAGTACATATATTGTATGTTCCATTCTTATCTTTAATCTCCACACAGGGGTGTGTTTTTTTACTATTACCATGAGTGAAAGGTCACTCTTAGAACAAGCAAAAGTTCAGGTATTTCTTCATAGCAATGCAAGAACAGACTAACACAGAAAATTGGTACCAGAAGTGAAGTACTGCTATAAAGATATTTGAAAATGTGAAAGCAGCTTTGGAACTGAGTAATGGCAGAGCCATTGCACTCCAGCCTGAGCAACAAGAGTGAAACTCCATCTCAAAAAAAAAAAAAAAAAAAAAAAAAAGCATGTGGTACCTCCCTCATCTCTTCTTCCAGCTTCAGCCATGTAAGATATGCCTGCTTCCCCTTCACCTTCCGTCATAACTGAAAGTTTCCGAAGGCCTCCCCAGAAGTCCTATGCTTCCTGAACAGCCTGCAGAACTGTGAGCCAATTAAAACTCTTTTCTTTATAAATTATACAGTCTTGGGTATTTCTTTATAGTGATGCAAGAATGGACTAATACATTGCCTGACTTACCTATTTATTTGGCTCTGGGTAAAAGTATTGAGTGATGTCTAGTTTCTATTTCAAATGAACATGCACAAGGAGCATCTTCAATCTGGGAATAGAAGTAGGATGTAGGGAAGGCTTGTCACACAAGAAAGGAAGATAAATACAGGTCAAAAATTCACCAGTTTCTAATCTGGTCAAGTTCTATCCCTGTACATATAATTACTAACACATTTTTTCATTGGATATCTCTAAGTTATGCTAAATAGCCCTTTTCTGTGTCCTAGTATTTCTTTTTACATGAAATTCTAGAAAGTGCACCTCTATATCCTATTTTCCACAGGCATATGCCTCTGTTTATTTACTGCCAATGTATTTGTTTGCTAAGTAGAAAGAGTCATGATGATGGCTTCCAGCTTTGCTTTATGTGCAGCTTCAATTATCAATTGCAGCTGGTGGAAAGCACCTCTTACACTCCCCCATCCATTTTTTCCAAGCAAAACTTGTAAATTTTAGCTCTCTTACTATCAAATATACTAAAATGATTACTTCTTTTTTATGTCTGCCTTTGCATTCACAGCAATTTCTTAACCTCTTTTGTAAATTTGCCAGAATGTTAATTGCATTTGAAAGGGCAAGCAAACTAAAATGTATGAAACAGTATACCAAAAATAGACATTTGAGGAAAGAGAAAAGTAAAATGAAACAAAAAGAGGAACATGTAAGGCTCATTTTAAAAAAAATCCAATTATCATATTATAATATGGGTAAAAAACTTCAGTTGTCTGCAGAAGAATTTTAAAAATTACACCACATTCTTAAAATTCTTAAAGTTAACACTTTTAAAGTAGTTCTCTATCTAGTTGGTTTAAATCCTGATAATTTAGTGTTAATACCAGAACAATTAACGAGATAAGTTACTCAGTTTTGGAGAGTCTGAAAAAAATTTCCTAAGAAATTTTAGTTAATTCCTAAATTCTTAAAATTTTATTATGTAAATCTTCCCTGGGATTTTGTTTTACATTTCATATCTTCTACATAATAAATTTTATAATATTCAGTTTGATGTGTAAAGAAAATATTGAGGAATACACGCAAGTTCATGGAAAAAAATGAATGTTAAAAAACCATCAACAACCATCTTTCTCTTTTTAAAACAGAAAGGTGTTGAATCAGAGTAGATACAGGTCCTACATGATTCATAATAGAATAACTCATTTATAACAAAACATCTAATATAAAACAGCAGAAAAATTTAAAAATATCAAATCTTCATTCCAAGCTGAAAAGATATATTTGCCTAAGAGTAAGCATTCTTTAGAGTTGGTTTGAAACTTAACATCTGAATGAGAATATAACTTGGCTATAAAGACGCATTCCAACTTTTATATCTTGTGAGCTAAGAAAACCTAATTCTAGATAACCTTCCAAGAGCTCAAAGTAAAAGCCAAGTAACATTTGTAATTATTTTAAGTCATGTTATACTAGTTCTTGTAATTTAAGCAAAATCTGATATCCTTAAAAATCACTCAATTATTCATCATTAGTCATTTCTCATTTTATATTTGAAGGGATGAGCCCTTAACGATCTTCACATTTGTAATAATATGAATTTTTAAGTTATTGCTGTGATTGGAAGCTCTTAAACTAGTAAGCAAGTCTTTTAGGATCCCATTTTATCAATTAAGATTTTGTGTTTGAAAATGACATAAGAATCAACCCAAAGTGGATGAACAAAAACAGTTCAGATAAAGCTTCATACAGTTTTATCTAAGACTCAAATTAGGTGTGGTAGCTAGCCATAAAGATGACCCCAAATACTTCTAGCCTCCCAGCATTTATGCCCACCCATAATGAATCAGGGAATATTTGCATCATCAAAAGAATACTACAGAAATTCCCATGCGGAAGTTTCAAGGCAGCTCATAAAAGACACAACACCTCCCACACTGGCCTGTGGATAACACTTTGAGAGAAGCCTGCCACTATATTGTGAGAGTACTAAAGCAGTCTTCTGGAGAGAACCACCTAGAGGAAAACTTACACCTCTTGACAATAGCCAGCTTCAACTTGCCATCCACGTGAATGATCCTGCCTGGAGGCTCAGTAGATCCTCAAATGGCTGCAACCCTAGCCAACTTATGACATTACTACTACAGGAATCTCATGAGGCCCATAGCCAAAACATCCCAGCAAGCTGCTCATTAATCCTTACCCACAGAAACTGTGACAAATAATCAATTATACTGTCATTCTGTTTTCAGATAATATATTAGGTAACCATAGATAAATAGCAAACTCTGCTACCAAGTACAAGTCTTTGTACATTTCTTGATTCTGTGTCTTCATGTTAGTGGAAATCTCAGGCCACAAAAAATCTCAGGATATCTTCTAACAACTTGAGAGTGGTGGGACTTAAAATTAGAGAGGTTGTGAGGGGCCATAAAGAGCATTGTAAGGATGAGAGTGATAGAGATGGTGAGAAGTGGTCAGAGTCACACATTTACTACTTGTGATATCTTCAGCAAGTTACTAAACTCTCAATCAGTTTTCCTAAGTGTAAACTTGAAACAGTAATATCTTCCTCACAGTGTATTATAGTAGCCCCCTCTTATCCATGGGGGATAGATTCCTAGATCTCCAGTGACTGCCTGAAACTTCAGACAGTACTGAACACCATTTACACTATATTTTTCCTTTTTAAATCAAAAACGTTCACCTTTTCACTTAAAGGAAGCACTTTATATCTACTCTTTGGCATATCCAAGCTGCCAGCTTCACTACTCTTATGCTTTATGGCCATTAAGTTAAATAAGGGTTCCTTGAACACAAACGCTGTAATACTGCCACAGTCAATAAGATAACTGAGATGGCTACCAAGGGACTCACAGGCAGGTAACGCAGATAACATGAATACAGTGGACAATGGGATGATTTATATCCTGGGTGGGATGGAGTGGAACAGCACGAGATTTCATCATGCTACTCTCAGAACAACACACAATTTAAAACTTATAAATTATTTCTGTAATTTTTCATTTAATATCTTTGGACTGTGGATGACCTTGGGTAGCCGAAACTGCAGAAAGTGAAACTGAAAATAAAGAGGGACTAGTATATACAGTGTTATATAAAAGGAGAATAGAAACACCTCTACTCCTACTCACACCTCACTCTCTAATACTCACAATGTATGAGTAGAAAAACACATGTGGAGGACAGGGAAAACAGAACTTTGAAACTGTAGATCACAGGATGAAGAGGACTGGATAAACATTTAGCTAATCTTGTTTGTATATGTGAATACTTTAAAGTTAGAAAAATAATAGAACATTGTGGATAGAAGGAAATGAGATCTCTTCACTTTATTGAAATTTTACATTGGAGTAACTATAGCATAAATGAAAATTAGGTTAACCTATAGACCCATAAAAATAAAAACATGTCAATACATTTTCATGACAGCCGCTATATCATTGGTGATTGAAGTCTCCAGTCTTTACTAGTATAATTCACAGCCTTACAAAATGCAGAAGTCAGTGTTGGTCTAGAAAACCAAACAAAATTCCTGAAACAGAGGATCAGAGGTAAAGCCATGAGGATCTCCTGGTTTAAATAAGTATTGTTGCTTTCAACAGGATAAAATCTGGATCTTAAGTAGGTGCCAAAGGCCTCCAGCTTTAGGGAGAAGAGTGATATTAGAAATAAGATGGAGCTAGAGCCTGGCACTGAACTCTGAATGTTTTCCAATATATTTATTTGCCAACAATTTTGAGTTATGAAAAATTAAGGAAATTATGAAAGTTTAAAAAATAGAAGCAATACTTTTCAAAATATTCTTTATGAGAACTAATCCATTTATTACATTCTGATCCATTTGCTATGGTTTAACTGATTTGGTGTGTAGTGAGCAAGGTTTGCAAGCCATTGTCATCTGCCCTTCAGAAATTTGTAGCCTTCCCTACTTCTCCAAATACAAAAACCCAGATTCAAATAGAAATATACACCAAATAATGCAAAACATCATCCAAAATATTTATACAACAAAAACAAGGACAACACATGGAAAGATATGCAAAATCTCTTTAAAATAATTTTCAAAAGCTGGGTAAAAAGATGAAATAAAAATAATATAATCCTAAATTTACAGATGAAATTAGCATGGCTAAATGTGGACAGTTACTTACTTTTATGCTGTTACTGTTTCATGTGTTGCTTTTTTGTCTAATGTATGTATATCTGATCCATCTTCATCTTCCATAGAAGATGTAATAAAAGCACTGTGTTATATCTACACTGTAAGTTTGTTTAAAGGTGCATTTTCACAGCCAAAATAGTATAATACCTGCAGACTTCTGAAATAAGAAATGATTGTCATGAAGAATCTAACATGTTGATTTCATCACAAACTGTCCAATACAGTGACCACTTGCTACTTGTGGTTCTCAAGCACTTGAAATGTGCTAGTCCAAACTACGATGCGTTACGGGGAAAAATGCACATAAGATTTCAAAGACTTAATATAAATTATGAGAGTCATATTTCTCAGTAATAATTTTATATTGATTATATGTCTTGAAATACTTTGTGCCTGGTGTAAACTACCACATTAAAATAATTTTCACTCATTGTATTCTTTTAATGTGACTATTAGAATATTTTAAACTAAGTATGTGAATCACTTTTGTTACTCTCATTAGCTTCCATCAGATAGCATCATCGTAGTGGTTTGTCCCAGCATTTTCACAAGCATGATAGATTTTCAGTAGTTTAAAAGTTTAAAAGACAAAAATACATTTTAATCTACTAAGAAATGACTTTTTCTCTCTGGCTTTCTAAGCTGGGATTAACTTGAGGATGTAATAAAAGGAAATCTATTCAGATTTATTCCTTGAATTTCTTCAGACTGTGACATTTGGCATCAAAAAGAGGGACAGCATCAATAGAAGTGGGCTGGCCAGTTAATTTACTACTCCAGACAGGTTAGGGGTTGATCACTACTTGTTTATGCCACGGGTTTATCTATGGAAGACGCCTGTTTCTGAGCAGTAGTATCTCTCCACTAGTGTGCATTCCACTTTTCCCTGCTTAATATATGGATAAAGGAAATTCCCAACCCATACAAGCCTCTGAGTGCCTCTGAAGCCCCTTCTTGTCTCCCATCAGCCATGTATGCTATGACATATTTGGTGAACACAATTCTCCATGCCCAGCCCGCAATAAGTGTCAGAATTCTGCTTGTCAACACTGAGGACTCTCCTGAACCCAAATGTCTTGGAGCTTGCCACCACTTCTGCACCTTTCAGGCACACACATTCATCTCTCAGGAGTCAGGTACCCTATAAAGCACCAAACTACCTTCAGCACCGGATTCTAAGCAGATGTCTATAAATGGTAATGTGTTTTCTAATTCCAATGTCCTAGAATTTCAATTATATTTCCAATCTTCAATATTTATCTCAAAAAAGAGAACTCCAGAAATGCATGTTTTCTGTTTTACATTTAATCACCTCTATGATAACTCATTTGCATAAATTTGAGATCCATTTTTTTTTTTTTTTTAAAGCATGCTTTGTGACCTAAATGTTGAGCATATGGCATGTAATTTCATGAAGGAAATTGCTTGGTTTTTCAAATTCTCATTTCAGCATTTCCCTTGAGTTATCATATCAGCAGTTCCTGACAGTAAAATAAATATATCACTGTGTTTTAACAAAGCAAAAGTGATGCTGCCACTCTTGGTTCATGAAACCTTTAAAAAACAAGGCACAAAAATTTATAGAAAACACTGACTTCTTCAATGGTGAAGTGCTCTATCTCTTTCATGTTTGACTATAAAGTACTGTGGCATTTTATCAAAATATCTTACAAGACTAAACTGAGAAATATACTAAATTTTTCCTTTATAAAAAAAGTATAAAAGGCAAACAAAATAAAAATGTTTCACAAGTTCAATTTGTCCAGCTCCTTTTAATAAAGAATAAGTCACTGATAGAAAAATGAGCAAGATTGCCACAAATAGCCTGTCAGTTCACGATATATTGCATCAGTGAAAAAATCCCAAACTGTATAAAGAGCAAAAAGAAATTGGTGAAACCTCAGTGGATTTACTTTAAGAACACCAGACAGCAACTGGGGATATTTAAGCTATTTGAAGAAATGGAAAAAGAAAGGGATTTTTTGGCCAAAGAGATAATTTTTTTCTAAATATCATATTTTACAAATAAATTCAAATAAAATTTTTAAATGGAATTTAATAGCATGAGAATATTTTAAGATGATAAAAGAGACAGAGCCCTCAGAAATAACGCCGCATATCTACAACTATCTGATCTTTGACAAACCTGAGAAAAACAAGCAATGGGGAAAGGATTCCCTATTTAATAAACGGTGCTGGGAAAACTGGCTAGCCATATGTAGAAAGCTGAAACTGGATCCCTTCCTTACACCTTATACAAAAATCAATTCAAGATGTATTAAAGACTTAAACGTTAGACCTAAAACCATAAAAACCCTAGAAGAAAACCTAGGCATTACTATTCAGGACATAGGCATGGGCAAGGACTTCATGTCTAAAACACCAAAAGCAATGGCAACCACAGCCAAAATTGACAAATGGGATCTAATTCAACTAAAGAGCTTCTGCACAGCAAAAGAAACTACCATCAGAGTGAAAAGGCAACCCAGAAAATGGGAGAAAATTTTCGCAACCTACTCATCTGACAAAGGGCTAATATCCAGAATCTACAATGAACTCAAACAAATTTACAAGAGGCAACTAATACAATTAATATTATAAAATACTGAGTAAATATATTTCATATTATATTTTTAAAAGGGCTAAAAGGATAGATAACTAAAGCATTGGTTTCATGTGTTCTAGAATACTTTCAAATAAGCTTATACAAGGAAATAGTTACTAGCATAGTACGTAAAGCCAATAATTATAAAATCTATATTTGCTACACTCTAAACGCAATATCTGAGTTATTCCTCAGAAACCAAAACATTGTTCCTGTTTTGTTAGGAAGAAACCCTACATATAAAGGTTAAGTGACTCTTTCAAAGTCCACCCAACTAATATAAGTGACAGAACTCAGATTTAAACTTAAGAATTAAAGGTCCATAGCTCAAATTCTTTAGCACCATTACGTACTGATGAATATTCCATGCCTGGATAACTTAAAACTAACTTAAAAAAAAATTGTCAGGAAAAATGATCTCTAGAGTAGGGATTTTAGAGGAAGCCACATTCTTAGAAAACTATCTGATATAAACCAAAACTTTCACATATTAGTACACTTGCCCATGGAATTTAATGATTTAGGCCAAAGGTGATTTTTTATTAGAAACATTTTGTTCAAAATTCAGTGGAGACTCTCTCATCCTTAAAAGATCTTAAACTCAATAAAGTACTAGTTGAAATATTCAGACATCATTCCAAAGAGAAATTTTATTTCTTTAGCTTTTCTTAAAGTGGAATTTTGTTGCATATAATTGGGCTACTACTAATCATGTGTTTTAGTCCATTTTATTTGTTGATTGATGTGGTAGGCAGAATTCTAAAATGGCCCCTAAAATTTCCTGCCCTTCTGGTATATGTGCCCTACAGTAATTAACTGGAGCTGTGAATTTGATGGTTTTTACTCCTGTGATTAGGTTATGTGAATATGGCACAGACAACCTTGAGACAGGAGATTATCCAGGTACGCCTTAACTAAATATATGAGCTCTTTAAATATCGAACTTTTTTCCAGCTGGTTGCAGAAGAGAAAGTAAAAGAGTCAAAGACTGAAAAGGCTTTGTGAGGACTAGGATGCCAAGGGCGGGAGCCTGAGTCTGTTTTATCTTGGCGAAGGCTTCCCTCATTTCTGGGGTCCACGCCATTGACTCATTTCCTGGCTCCCTTGTTGTTTAATAAAGAGGTTTTGCTATGAGCCCAAAATTTGGTACCCATATTCTACAGAACCTAGCCACTTCCAGAAAGGAACAAAACTGTTGCTTGGGGGTGGGGGGTCCCAAACCACATACAGCTTGCACCCGTTCTGGGGATACCTGCCAGTCTCTGGGATTTGGGGAATTTGATATTCCCCAAATATTGAACCCATTGGGGTGCAATTTGAGCCTTCTTTTTGAACACTTTGTATCCCTGATTGGCCAAAAAATTCAAGGTCCTTATAGTATTTTTATCAGATATCTCCTGGGTTGGGCTACACACAAGAAGGTCATCTACATACTGGAGTATACTCTTGTTTTTCTAACTGAAGATCCTTCAGATCCCTTTTTAAGGCCTGGGGGAAAAAAAATCGGGGCTGTCCTGAAATATCTGTGGGAGTACTGTCCAGTGTATTGTTCTTTTTCTTTCTCTGCCATTAGAATATTCCCATTCAAATGCAAAAAGATATTGAGACTCTAGTGCCAGAGGAATGCAGAAAAAGACATTCTTTAAGACTGAAAACAATTCTGTGTTCCCAGCACCTGAGTCAAAAGAATATGCAAGTCTGCCACCAATGGGTGGACAGAGATCACTGCTTTATTAATTATCCTGAGATCCTGTACCATACAGTATTCTCCTGAAGGTTTCAAAAACGGGCAGAATAGGGGTATTGCAGGGAGAATTACAGGGTTTTAGAAGTCCATGGGCAAGCAACTCCTTAACTATTTATGCTAGGCCCTTTCTTGCTTCCAGCTTAATTGGGTATTGTTTTTAGTTTGGAAAATGATTGGGGTCTTTGAGTTGTATTTTGACTGGCACTACTGTCCTAGGCCCTTCCAGGCCTCCTAGTATACCATGCTAGTGGGTTGACCCATTTGTTGACATGGCCTGGAACACTGTTTGCATCACTGACCATTAGCAATCTTGCCAGGTTGTGCTTAAATTTTAGCAGTGCCCCTATTTTAACCATAATATCCCTTCCCAACAGGGGGACTGGTCAGCTTGGTACTGTTAGAAACTCCTGCTGCAAAATTTGTTTTTCAAATTGGCAAATTAAATGTGGGATGAAATGCCTGATTTTATTTTTCTCTTCCATTCCTAAAATAGTTGTGGTCCTAGTGGAAGATTTTCCTGCATACGCAGTAAGGAGAGGGTAACTTGCCCCTGTATTAAAAAGAAACTGAATTTGTGTACCCATCACATCAAGTTACCCGGGGCTCCTCAATAGTAATGATGATGTTCCTGGACAGGGGTGATGAGGAAAGCCCTAGGCCCCTTCAGTAGTCATCTACGTTCTCCTTTTGCACTATGAGAGTCTTGACTGAGCCCCTCAGTGGGAGTGGGGGTAGTCAATTATCCAGTGCTAGGGGTCATGACTGGTAGGAGCAAAGGCTCTTGCAGGGGCCTGGCAGGGGCTTAGTATAATCCTTTGCCTAATGTCTTTTTTTTTTCTTGCATTTAAAGCAAGAGCCTTTGCTGACATTTTTCTTATGGCCCTTTAGATGCTCTCTAGGCATTTCCAGTGATGGCTACCATAATTTTAGCTTGCTGTTTTTCTTTACGCTCTTCCCTTTTTCCCTGCTCCAGGTCAACATACCCTAAAGGTGGTATCAAGAAGCTGATTTGGGTTAGTTTGTGGTTCCATTTGCAATTTTTGGAGTTTGTGCCTGATGTCCAGGGCAGACTAGCTAATAAAATGCTGGACCATTAGCCTCATGCCCTCAGGAGAGGAAGGGTCTAAATTTGCATATTTTCTGAAGGCCTCTTCTAACCTGCTATAAAACATAGCTGAATTTTCTTCCTTCCCTTGTGTGACTTCCCTGACCTTATCATAATTTACACTCTTGGTTATCCCCTTTTTCATACCTCCAAGGAGTACCTCAAGAAATTTGTTTTCCTATTCATTTGCACAGGGGTATTACAATCCCAATTAGGACCAGTGGTAGGCACTGCGTCTGGGCCTGAGTGACTGCCCTGGGGATTTTGGGCAAACATATCATCTGTCTCATGGGGGCTAGTCTCAAAAATCCTTTCCTTTTTCACAGGAGTGAAGCAGATTGCTAAAATAAATTGGACATCTCTCCATGATGAGTCAAAGGCCCAACTAAGGTTTGGAACCCATCTGCAAACCTGTCACGGTCCTCAGAGCACCTTCTCAACTTTTCCTTACATTATTGGATATCAGTTATGGAAGATGGGACTTGTGCTCAAACTGGCCCTTCTACTCCTGCTACTTCCCTGAGATGTAATAGTGCCAGAGGAGCTGCTGAGCAGGGTGTTCCACTCCAGGTTTGTTGGGGGCTTAATATAGTTCTTTTCTTTTCTGGCTGGCATTGCATGTTTGGAGCATTTGACAAGGGGTTATATGGGGGGTGGCTGTAGATTGCCCTGAGAGACAAGTTGTCCTTATAAGAGGGGCATCATCCACAATGTCTGGCTCAGTCTTTTTAAGGGCAAGTCTTAGAAGCTTTACAGATTGAAGGATTCTGAAAGGTGTTTCCCATAGTGATCTGGCCTAAAGAGGGCCCATCTGTTGCAGACATCTCTGTCCTTAGGGTGTCAGGCGGCGTCCCCGACCGTGGGGTGGGCATCAGTGCTGTTTTGGATGTTCTGTCTCCATAGGCAATGGAATGGTCTACTCTGAGCTTTACAGATTAAAGGATTCTGAAAGGTGTTTCCCATAGTGGTCTGGCCTAAGGAAGGCCTATTTGTTGCAGGCATCCCTGACCCTAAGGTGTCAGACATACCTGTGGATGTTTTCCCGCTATAGGCGATGGAACGGTCTATGATTCCCTTAGTCCCGAGATGCAGTGCTCAGCTTTTTGCGTCCCGCCAAGTGAAATAAACTTCAGCCTGTAACACTCGTGAAACAGGGACCTTGCAATGTACCTTAAAACTATTCACAATAAAGTTCGGGACTTATCCCTACAATTAAAAATTCCGGGTTCTCATGCTAAAATAATTCATACATAAAAGTGAAATCTTTTTTCCTACTCTGAGAAATGGAATATAAAGTAATTCGGCATGACCACTTCCCCACAAATCAATAAAACATCGAAATCAGAAAATGAAGGGTCTAACCTCCTCAAAAACATTTTGCCATACATACAAAAACCTGTCACATGGATTTGTCTTGAACTCAGCAAGACCTAAATATCCTGTTCTATGACCTAGTTATCCTGTCTTGGGAGACTTTAAGCAGCAGGTGCCCTAGTGGCTTTTAACTGCCCGACCCCTGCATGCAGATGACGGCTTTGACAAAGAAAGAGAAGAAAAAATAAATCCCAAAGTTTGGGCTTACCTCTTGGCTGGCTCTCCAAAATGTTACCAGAGTTGTGCAGGTTCTTGGGTGTTGAGCAAAGAATTGAACAAAATGAGCAAACAAGGTAACAAAAAAAATGAAGCAACGAAAAACAAAGCAACAGAAGAAAGAAGTAATGAAAGCACAGATGTATTGAAGACAACGCACAAAACAAGAGTAAGCTCGAGCAAGCGGCTCAAAATCTTCTTCCGTTAGGATTTTTTATTAAGCTGAAGGAACCCAGCAACACCCCTCGGTGCCCTTTAGAGGTCTCCAATTGGCTACACCCCATGAAGGACTGGCCTGTGACCAATCAGAGGCTGCAATGGAGGCCCAGCCCAGCAGCCAATCAGAGGTGAAAGTGGTTTGTTATCATGAGAGAGAGGATGTGTCCTATATGCTTCACCTGCTACTCTCCTACCTATACGAACTGGCTTCACCTGCTGTTCTTTTGCTTATGCAAACTGTCTGCACCTGCTGAATCCCCGTTACACTAATTTCCTAGTCTCCTGCTACACTGCCCCCTCTTCAATATCCCAGATGTTATTATTTCTTACTTTTAAAATTCATGATATAAATTTTAGATGTCTATATATGTTTATGTATTTTATATATGTCAAAATTTTATTTAGACATATATAGACATACACATAGATGTCTATATATATAGACACATATACAGACATCTATGTGTATATATGTATATATGTATGTATATATATAGACATCTATGTATATATATAGACATCTGTATGTCTATATATGTCTAAATAAAATTTTGATGTCTATATATCAAAATATGTCTAAATAAAATTTTGTTTACAATAAACTGTTCAGTCTTGATTTACTTTAAACTTTATAAAATGGGTATTATTATGATTGAACTTTTCCAAGAATTCCTATTTTCACTGAAAACTGCATTGCTAAAATTCATTTATATGTTGACTTTTATGCTTTCAGCTTATATTTTAGATAAAAGGGATACCTGTGCAGGTTTGTTACATGGGTATATTGTGTGATGCTGAGGTTTGGGGTATGACTGATCTCATTAACCAGATAGTAAGCACAGTACCCAATAGTTATTCAACACTTACCTCCCTCCACCACTCCCTCTCCTCTCTAGTAGTCTCGTCTATTGTTGCCATCTTTATGCCCATGAGTACCCAATGTTTAGCTCTCACTTATAAGTGAGAACATGCAGTATTTGGTTGCCTGTTCCAATGTTAATTCACTTAGGATAATGGCCTCCAGCTGCATCTATGTTGATGCAAAGGACATTAACTTATTTCTTTTTAATGGCTATGTAGTATTCCATGGTGTATACTTATCACATTTTCTTTATCCAATCCACCATTGATAGGCACCTAGGTCGATTTCATGCATTTGCTACTGTGAACAAAGCTGTGATGAACATAATGGTACAAGTGTCTTTTTGGTAGAACAGTATATATTCTTTTGGATATATGCCGAGTAATGGGACTGCTGGGTTAATTGGTAGTTCTGTTTTAAGTTATTTGAGAAATCTTCAAACTGCTTTCCACAGTGGCTGAACTAATTTAAATTCCCACTAACATTGTGTAAGTGTTTTATCTGCGGCCTCACCAGCACTGTTATTTTTTGACTTTTTAACCACAGCCATCCTGACTGGTGTGAGATGGTATGTCATTATGGTTTCGATTTGCATTTCTCTGACGATTAGTGATGCTGAGTATTTTTTTTCATATATTCTTTGGCCACTTGTATCTTCTTTTGAGAAATGTCTCCTCATATTGTTTGCCCACATTTTAATGGGGTTGTTTTTTGCTTATTAAATTGTTTGAGCTACTTATAGATTCTAGATATTAGACTTTCGTCAGATGCATATTTTGTGAATATTCTCTCCCATTCATATGTTGTCTGTTTACTCTGTTGATAGTTTCTTTTGCTATGCAGAAGCTCTTTAAGTCCCACTTGTCAATTTTTTGTTACAATTGCTTTAGAGGACTTACTCAATTACTCAATTACTAAATTCTTTCCCAAGGCTGATGTCCAGAATCGTGTTCCCTAGGTTTGCTTCTAGGATTTTTATAATTTTAGGCCTTACATTTAAGTTTTTGATCCATCTTGAGTTAATTTTTGTTTATGTTCAAAGATAGGGGTTCAGTTTTATCCTTCTGCATATGGCTAGACAGCTATCCCAGCACGATTTATTGAATAGACAGTCCTTTCCCCATTGCTTATTCTTGTCAATTCTTTCAAAGATCAGATGGCTGTAAGTATGCAGCTTTATTTCTCTGTTCCCCATTCTGTTCCATTGGTCTGTGTGTCTGTACCAGTACTATGCTGTTTTGGTTAGCGTAGCCTTATAGTGTAGTTTGAAGTCAGGTATTGTGATGCTTTTAAAGGATTTACTCTTTTTGCTTAGGATTTCTTTGCCTATTTGCACTTTTTTTTTGGTTTCATATGAATTTTAGAATCATTTTTCTAAGTTTCTGGCTAAAATTCATTTATATGAATTAAGTCATACCTTATCATTCCATTTCATGATCATATCAGAATGTATTTATTTTTATTGATCATTTATATTTGATTTTATTTCCTTCTCTCTTTTTTTTTTTTCTATTTAAAAATTACATTGGGCTAGGCGCGGTGGCTCACGCCTGTAATCCCAACACTTTGGGATGCCGAGGCGGGTGGATCACCTGAGGTCAGTAGTTCAAGACCAGCCTGGCCAACATGGTGAAACCCCATCTCTACTAAAAATACAAAAATTACCTGAAGGTGGTGGCACACATCTTTGTAATCCCAGCTACTCCAGAGGCTAAGGCAGGAGAATCGCTTGAACCAGGTAGGCAGAGGTAGCAGTGAGCCAAGGTCATGCCACTGCACTGCAGCCTGGGCAACAGACAAGACTCTCTTTCAAAAAAAAGAAAAATGACATGCACAAGCATGTCTCCAAGTGCACATGTACAAAAGTTTGTCTTGGACATACCTAGGAAAGGAGTTGCTAAGTTGTAGGAAATACGAATGGTCAAGTATAAGACACTTCCAAACTATTTTCAAAAGTGATTGTACAAATTTACTTTCCCACCAGCAACAGTAGGAAACTTCCCCATTTTCTCTAACGTTTAGTATTGTTGAACTTGTTAATCTTTGCCAATAGAATGTCATCTGTTTTTCACCTGTTTTGTATTTACATTATTAATGAGGTTTTGAGTCGCATATGACTTTTGGCCAAATATGTTTTCTTTTCTTTGAAATACCTTTTCATGATTTTTCTCACTTTTCTCATGATTGCTGTTATTCTTCATTGATTTTAAACTTCTAACAGTCCTCATAATAATGTAACATCAGCTAATGCTGCATATTCTCACACTTTCTGTCTTTTCGTTTTCTTTAAAGTCTCTTTTTATGGCAAAAGTTCTTAATTTAAAATGTCAAAGTGTCTATGTTATAGTGATTTTTCCATTTGCATCTTAGGAATTCTTTCTGACCCAAGATCAGAAATACACTCATCTATGCCTTCTTCCAAAATTTCTCAAAATTTTGCTTGGCACTTTAAGGCTTGAATTCATCTGAAGTTGAGAAACAGGTGACATGGGTGTCTGGGTTACCTGTTTATGCATTTTATTTGTGCCACCTGGCCCTGTTAATGCTTTATCCTGGATGTTCCACTTCCATCTAACAATGATTTCTCCTGGACTTGCCTGATCATATGATTTGGTAATATCTAATAGAACCCAGGTTAAAATTAGCAGTTCTGGTTTTGTGGTTACTTTGTGCACCATGTTCAGACACCCTACCTCTGCCAGGGCCTGGTAACATATGAGGAGCTTATTTTTATACAGGTATTTGATTTTTATGCTGCAGATAACCTAGGGGTCTCCTTTGTGATTCTCCCTTGTGACATTCCATACAGGGTCTTTTCCTACCTCTATATCTCCAATGTCATGGGATTTTCTATGTTATAAGGCCTGCTGCAGAGCACTTTCTGTTTTGGGTTCCCCTCAGAGCTGCAAACCTTTTGTACCACCCAGTATATGGGTTGGAGCGTTATTTCCAGATGTGGAATGTGTTGCCTGCAGAATCTGAAGAGGGCTACTGCTACTAGCCATTGTGTTTCATTTTCAGTGTAGGTATAAGAGATAGGACTGTACCACCATTCCTCACACCACCAGGCATCCAAAAGTTTTACTGATGTAGCAGGCTCATTAAAGGGTTTACTTCCCACCATTTAGAGAACACTTTTCAAGGCCAGTGGCACACTAGCCACTAGCTCACGTGATCCAGTGAACATGATACTTGTGATGGATGTTAGTCAATACAAGTGTTTCTGATTGTGCTGTGGCAGACAGCAAGTTAGTTAATATTGTCCTGGGGCAATCATGTAAATTTATAAAGTGGTTTATTTCAAGTGAATGCAAACTGTTTCTGATCCTCCTTTAGCATAGCAGTGGGTAGGTACACATTCACTAGATCAATGGCAACATACCATTAACCTGACTTTGCATTAATCTATTCTAGTGAAGATATTATACCTGGCTCAGCAGCGGCCAGTGGAGCTAGTACCTAACCAGTTTGGTTGTTGAAGGTAGCCCATTATCTGGCTTTTTTAGGGGTCAGAGTGGTGAAATAAGTGCAAATGTTAATGGACCACCACCACTGGTCTTTTACGTCTTTAAAGCCCTCCTGGCTGTCATTTGGACTTGGCTTCTTGAGGTTAAGTGCTGCCCCTGACTTTGTGGTTTCAGTATTATTACAATGAGTACTGAGGGTGAGCGCAGTTTGTAATGGCACCTGCTATCACACCCCTAGTGTGCAGAGGAAAGCCACCACAGAACTTCGTTGTAAAGCAGGCACTTTCACCAGCATATCTCATTGCTTTGGTAAATATTCTATCTTACAAGCTCCCATATGGAATATAAACAACTGACAGAGCTCTGGTCTTTCTCTGGTCTTTTTTTTTCTTTCTTTCTTTCTTTCTTTTTTTTTTTTTTTTTTTGAGACAAGGTTTCACTCTGTCACCCAGGCTGGAGTGCAATAAAACAATCACAGATCACTGCAACCTCGACCATCTGGGTTCAAGTCATCTTCCCACCTCAGCCTCCCAAGTAGCTGGAACTGCAGGTGCATAGCACCATGCCAGGCTAATTATTATTATTATTATTGTTTTTAGAGGCAGGCTCTTGCTATGTTGCCCAGGCTTGTCTCAAACTCCTGGATGTAAGTGATCCTCCCGCTCAGGCCTCCCAAAGTGTTGGGATTAAAAGTGTGAGCTACCACACTTGGCAGGCCCAGGGTCTTAAAAAGTGTTTTGGTGTAGCTTTCTCTCTACTATGAGCTTTCTAATCTCTTCCACTATCTGCCACAGCTACACTGTAATTTATATCACACTTAATGAGGACTGTTGCTTTTACCATACTTCTAAGAGCCATCCAAATAATGTGTTTGCACCATCGTCTTTAATAGGGTGTTAAATCCAGTGTATTCAGAGAGTGCTTTGAAATCAGTATTTCCCTTATGCATCTTCATGTTACATCCTTTTTGATCCAACACCCTCTTAGAATCCAGTCCCATAAACTCTCTACATTCTCTGGTGGAAGGGGTGAACAAGCTCATTCAGGCCTCCATTATGAAGACACTAATCCCAATCATGAGACTGGAGCCCTCAATAGGTTTCAAAATACGGATTTTGGCATGACACAAACATTCAAACCATAGCAACAAGCTTTCTCTAATGTCTAACAGCAATAATTCAAAGTAGCAAACATGCAAAACAATCTCATGAGATAAATTCATATCTATAGACTAAACAAATGTTATTCTTTCATTGAATCTCTTTGTTTTAAATAGTACAGATCCTTTTTTGGAAATGTAAAGGTCAAACTTTGCTGTACCAAGAAATAATGAGAGTTAATTAATCCACCTTCAAGATGCCACATGAATGAAGCTTTGCCCTATGGCAAAAGACAAAAGAATTTGCTTAATAATATTGGCCAGTGGTCCTGGCCTAATAATTTTAGCAGCAGACATAAAACAGAATATATATCCTATTTTCCATTATAAGATTTATTTACAACTGATTTTAATTTGTGTTCATACTTAGCATGAACATACGGAAAACAGCCCTTAAGTGCAGAAATCTCTGTACAGGTATTTATTTCTTTGATGTGCATAGCACAACATCCTCCTCATTTGTTTTTTTAAATTAATGGCCCTGCGTTTTTCTACAATGAATTCATTTCGGCTTTTTTTTATGTTCTCACCACTGACTTCTTGGGTAAATGGGCTAATGGCACCACGTTGTAGGACTAAGGAGGGGTTGATTTTGATATCCCATTTATTAAGACTTATTATTTAGAAAGAAAATTTAGGTAATAGGCTCTCTAAATTGGCTTTATGATGCATAATAAATTATTAAAGAATTTTTTAATGCTAAATATATTTTTTCCAAGAGGTTTCTTCAGCAAATTAATTTACTAGATGTAATAAACATTTTCTGTAAAGAATCAGAAAGTATTTTAACCTTTGTAGGCCATATGGTCTGTGACACAACTATACAACCCTGCCATTATAGTGCAAAAGCAGTCACAGACAATACACAAATGAATCAGCATGGCAGTGTTCCAATGAAACCTTACAAAGACAGATTCTGGGGCAAATTTGGCTCCTGGCTTGAATTTTGCCCAATCCCTGTTCCAGACAAAGGTTCTTAATTAGTTGCTTTATTTTGGCTCTGTTCTTCTATTCCAATACACTGTAAATTTAAAAGCAGGTGAGGGATATAGAAAAGAAATGAAGGACAGTATGTGTTTGTCTGTCTCATGTGGCACAAGCACAGCTGTTTCCATCTTGAAACTGCTAGAGGTGCTATTAATGAAGAAAACAATTAAAAACACAAAGCAAAACCTACATACTAATACTCATTTTGCACCATGGCAGAATCTATGATTTCCTGGCTTCAGAAAATGGCCATTATCAACTGGCAATTAGATCAACATCTAAAGAAATGTACTGAGGGAAACGTGTCCAGTTTGGTAAATGGATAAGGTTTGGATATCACCGCAAGCCTCATGCTGTAAGCACACTGAACCCAGCAGGGATCAGAAGAGAGTGGAACTGGGCAAATTCTCTTCAACTACTACTAGAAGAGCAATTCACATCATATGACTTACAACTGTGTTTCATTAACATTTTCTTGGAATTCAGCTTGCATTGGATTTCATAGATTTGTCTAGAATTTGTCATAAGAATTCAGAGGTAAATAAGGCATATAATGTGGCCATCCAATACTAAAAAACCTAATCCAGAGACAGAAAATACACTTCATCTTGGGCTGGGTGTGGTGGCTCATGCCTGTAATCCCACCACTTTGGGAGGCCAAGGCAAGCAGATCACTTGAGTTCAGAAGTTCCAAACCAGCTTGGCCAGCATGGTGAAACCCTGTCTCTACTAAAAATACAAAAAATTAGCTGGGCGTGGTGGTGCATGCCTGTAATTCCAGCTACTCAGGAGGCTGAGGAACAAGAATCGCTTGAACCTGGGAGGCAGAGGTTACAGTAAGCCAAGATCACGCCATTGCACCCCAGCCTGGGCAACAGAGCAAGGCTCTGTCTCAAATTAAAAAAAAAAAAAAAAGAAAGAAAGAAAATACACTTCATCTTAAGTGCCACATGTAAATTGATCATTGTTATCTCTAAACTACTTTAACAAAGATTCTGAGTTCTTTTCAGGCTTGAGGGGAAAATCTGTCACAATGGTCAAGTCATATCTGCCATGAATAGGTACCCAGGTGCCCAACATAATTTTTGTCCTTGATCTATCTAATTATTTGTGCTTGAAGAATAATTTACTCCTGATTGCATTATTTCCTTTATTAACTTTATTCAATTGAGTATGACACTAAAAATATAGAGATGAATAAGATGATTTTTTTTACCAAGTCCAGTTAAAGGGTTAAACATGAAAAGAAATAGTAATGTACAACCTACAACTGTGTCAAAAACACACATATTTAAAAGTGGTATGTGAGAGTAGATGCAGAATGATACAGTCTTTGGAAAATCAGTGAAGACATAACAGAGTTACAAATATCAGTTTCCTCTGTTTCCTATGCATGCAAGTATTGTAAATAGCCCAGCCTACACTGTGTGACCATGAGACATAGTTCTGGCCAATGGAACACAATCATAAGTGATTAACATGATTTTCAACACTGACCTGTTAAAAAACAATTACAAAATCCTATCCTCTAGGAGTCAGCAAACTTGCTATGTAAAAGGCTAGATAGTAAATATTTTAGGCTTTGAGGGCCTTGTGAGCTCATGCACAATTGCTCAACTCTGTCATTGTAGCACAGCACACAAGTAGTCATAAACATTGTGTAAACAAATGGCATGGCAATGTTCCAATAAAACTTTATTAACAAAAACAGGCAGTAGGCTAGATTTGGCTTTAGCCTCTATGTCTTTTAATTTTTCTATCTGCAACAGACAAAGTCAAGGGATTGAAGGCTTAATAAGTGGGAAAGAATTTTATGCCAGTGAAAACTAAGTTTTCATTGCATTTGGTTAAATAACTCAGTAGTTGGATTACTGGCTTACATGGTAAGTGTATAATTAACTTTTTATAAGAAATTATCAAACTGTTTTCCAAAGTGGCCGTATTATTTCGCATTCTCATTAGCAGTTGATCTGCATCCATGCCAGGAATTGGTATTTGTAAGTATATGCTAGAATGTGCCAGGGGAATAAAAAACACACACAAAAAGATTCTGCAGTTTTTGATTTAAGCTTTTCTCAATAAAGCCATGAAACTAAACTTATATTGCAAAAATGCTATTTGCATGAGATTGCAAAAATAACCATAATTCTTTATCTCTTCCTATATCCACTCCTCTTTGTATAGCAACTTTGCCACTCTTTCTTCACCCCTTAAATCTTGTCTGACCTTATAACTTGCATTGATTAGTAAAATGTGGTAGAAATAACAGACTAATTTTGTGCCTAGCCCTTGAAAGATTTTGCATATTTCCCATTTTGCTTTTGGATCTCTATTACTGTCGTGTGAATAAGCCTCAGAAGATACTTAAATGTAAAAAAGCAGAGTCAGGTCATCCTAGCTGAAGTCATTTCAGATGAACCAGCCTCCACCCAGTCTGGCAGCTGATCACAGATGCATGAATGACCTAAGTCAAAAACAAAAGACATGCTTAGCTCAACCCAGACAACATTGCCAAACTGGAGAATCCCAATTAAATAAGTGGTTGCAGTTTTAGGCCACTAAGTTGTGAGGTCGCTTATTATGCAGTAATAGCTAATTGATATACTGTTTCATCTCTAATCTAATCTACATAACCCAAAATAAGATATATGCTTCCATGATTAAATAAAATTAATGTTTTTTTACTGGCTCTTATTTTCTGTAACCATTCAAATTTGCAACATAAAAGGGTTTGCTTTAAAAATAAAATGGTACTTCATAAAAGCGTGCATATTGGTTTCTGTAAATAATTTATAGTCAGTACTACTAGAACTAAAGCTATGTGGCTTCAGAAAAATCATTTAACTTTTGTTTGCCACAAAAATCTTCATTTGTAAAATGAGGATATTTGGATAAGCCACATTTCAGGGCAATAAAAAGTGTGTGTGTGTGTTTTATATGCATATACGATGTATATATCAATATTATACACACATACATATTTATGTGCATGTAAGTATTATTTTATATAGAGATATACAGATACATAGATAAATTTTAAAAGCCTTTAAAGAACAAACTGTAAATGAAGCTGAGTCAAAAGTGGTGTTAGTGGTCCCGAGATACGTAAAGTAAGTGGCTTATATTTCTGAACCATCTTAGTAAACCTTAAATATATATTAGTCTACAACTAGCAGCAAAAGATTTTTTTTAATTTATTTATTTATTATTATTATACTTTCAGTTTTAGGGTACATGTGCACAATGTGCAGGTTAGTTACATACGTATACATGTGCCATGCTGGTGCACTGCACCCACTAACTCGTCATCTAGCATTAGGTATATCTCCCAGTGCTATCCCTACCCCCTCCCCCCACCCCACAACAGTCCCCAGAGTGTGATGTTCCCCTTCCTGTGTCCATGTGTTCTCATTGTTCAATTCCCACCTATGAGTGAGAATATGCGGTGTTTGGTTTTTTGTTCTTGCAATAGTTTACTGAGAATGATGATTTCCAATTTCATCCATGTCCCTACAAAGCACATGAATTCATCATTTTTTATGGCTGCATAGTATTCCATGGTGTATATGTGCCACATTTTCTTAATCCAGTCTATCATTGTTGGACATTTGGGTTGGTTCCAAGTCTTTGCTATTGTGAATAGTGCCGCAATAAACATACGTGTGCATGTGTCTTTATAGCAGCATGATTTATAGTCCTTTGGGTATATACCCAGTAATGGGATGGCTGGGTCAAATGGTATTTCTAGTTCTAGATCCCTGAGGAATCGCCACACTGACTTCCACAATGGTTGAACTAGTTTACAGTCCCACCAACAGTGTAAAAGTGTTCCTATTTCTCCACATCCTCTCCAGCACCTGTTGTTTCCTGACTTTTTAATGATTGCCATTCTAATTGGTGTGAGATGGTATCTCATTGTGGTTTTGATTTGCATTTCTCTGATGGCCAGTGATGGTGAGCATTTTTTCATGTGTTTTTTCAGCACCACACCACACCAATTCCAAAATTGACCACATACTTGGAAGTAAAGCTGTCCTCAGCAAATGTAAAAGAACAGAAATTATAACAAACTATCTCTCAGACCACAGTGCAATCAAACTACAACTCAGGATTAAGAATCTCACTCAAAACCATTCAACTACATGGAAACTGAACAACCTGCTCCTGAATGACTACTGGGTACATAACGAAATGAAGGCAGAAATAAAGATGTTCTTTGAAACCAAGGAGAACAAAGACACAACATACCAGAATCTCTGGGACGCATTCAAAGCAGTGTGTAGAGGGAAATTTATAGCACTAAATGCCCACAAGAGAAAGCAGGAAAGATCCAAAATTGACACCCTAACATCACAATTAAAAGAACTAGAGAAGCAAGAGCAAACACATTCAAAAGCTAGCAGAAGGCAAGAAATAATTAAAATCAGAGCAGAACTGAAGGAAATAGAGACACAAAAAACCCTTCAAAAAATTAATGAATCCAGGAGCTGGTTTTTTGAAAGGATCAACAAAATTGATAAACCACTAGCAAGAGTAATAAAGAAAAAAAGAGAGAAGAATCAAATAGACACAATAAAAAATGATAAAGGGGATATCACCACCATTCCCACAGAAATACAAACTACCATCAGAGAATACTACAAACACCTCTACGCAAATAAACTACAAAATCTAGAAGAAATGGATAAATTCCCCGACACATACACTCTCCCAAGACTAAACCAGTAAGAAGTTGAATCTCTGAATAGACCAATAACAGGATCTGAAATTGTGGCAATAATCAATAGCTTACCAACCAAAAAGAGTCCAGGACCAGATGGATTCACAGCCGAATTCCACCAGAGGTACAAGGAGGAACTGGTACCATTCCTTCTGAAACTATTCCAATCAATAGAAAAAGAGGAATCCTCTCTAACTCATTTTATGAGGCCAGCATCATCCTGATACCAAAGCTGGGCAGAGACACAACCAAAAAAGAGAATTTTAGACCAATATCCTTGATGAACATTGATGCAAAAATCCTCAATAAAATACTGGCAAAATGAATCCAGCAGCACATCAAAAAGCTTATCCACCATGATCAAGTGGGCTTCATCCCTGGGATGCAAGGCTGGTTCAATATATGCAAATCAATAAATGGAATCCAGCATATAAACAGAACCAAAGACAAAAACCACATGATTATCTCAATAGATGCAGAAAAGGCCTTTGACAAAATTCAACAACCCTTCATGCTAAAAACTCTCAATCAATTAGGTATTGATGGGACGTATTTCAAAATAATAAGAGCTATCTATGACAAACCCACAGCCAATATCATACGGAATGGGCAAAAACTGGAAGCATTCCCTTTGAAAACTGGCACAAGACAGGGATGCCCTCTCTCACCACTCCTATTCAACATAGTGTTGGAAGTTCTGGCCAGGGCAATTAGGCAGGAGAAGGAAATAAAGGGTATTCAATTAGGAAAAGAGGAAGTCAAATTGTCCCTGTTTGCAGATGACATGATTGTATATCTAGAAAACTCCATCGTCTCAGCCCAAAATCTCCTTAAGCTGATAAGCAACTTCAGCAAAGTCTCAGGATACAAAATCAATGTACAAAAATCACAAGCATTCTTATACACCAATAACTGACAAACAGCGAGCCAAATCATGAGTGAACTCCCATTCACAACTGCTTCAAAGAGAATAAAATACCTAGGAATCCAACTTACAAGGGATGTGAAGGACCTCTTCAAGGAGAACTACAAACCACTGCTCAAGGAAATAAAAGAGGATACAAACAAATGGAAGAACATTCCATGCTCATGGGTAGGAAGAATCAATATCGTGAAAATGGCCATACTGCCCAAGGTAATTTACAGATTCAATGCCATCCCCATCAAGCTACCAATGACTTTCTTCACAGAATTGGAAAAAACTACTTTAAAGTTCATATGGAACCAAAAAAGAGCCCGCATCGCCAAGTCAATCCTAAGCCAAAAGAACAAAGCTGGAGGCATCACGCTACCTGATTTCAAATTATACTACAAGGCTACAGTAACCAAAACAGCATGGTACTGGTACCAAAACAGAGATATAGATCAATGGAACAGAACAGAGCCCTCAGAAATAACGCCACATATCTACAACTATCTGATCTTTGACAAACCTGAGAAAAACAAGCAATAGGGAAAGGATTCCCTATTTAATAAATGGTGCTGGGAAAACTGGCTAGCCATATGTAGAAAGCTGAAACTGGATCCCTTCCTTACACCTTATACAAAAATCAATTCAAGATGGATTAAAGACTTAAACGTTAGACCTAAAACCATAAAAACCCTAGAAGAAAACATAGGTTTTACCATTCAGGACATAGGCATGGGCAAGGACTTCATTTCTAAAACACCAAAAGCAATGGCAACCACAGCCAAAATTGACAAATGGGATCTAATTAAACGAAAGAGTTTCTGCACAGCAAAAGAAACTACCATCAGAGTGAACAGGCAACCTACAAAATGGGAGAACATTTTCGCAACCTACTCATCTGACAAAGGGCTAATATCCAGAATCTACAATGAACTCAAACAAATTTACAAGAAAAAAACAAACAACCCCATCAAAAAGTGGGCAAAGGATATGAACAGACACTTCTCAACAGAAGACATTTATGCAGCCAAAAGATTTTTTTAAAAGAAAGTAGAAATGTATAGCAAATGTTTGATAAAAATTATCTCTGTGAGTGATAATGAAAGCCAACTGGCCATTAAATGGCTAATACACAGTGAAAGATGTAAGCAGAACTGTTGTATATAGCACAGGGAAAGCAAGCCACAACTGTTGGTTAAATTAATTATCATAGAACTTTAGAGATAGCAGGAACTTTAAAAATCTCCAACTCCAACATTCAGAGTTTATTTATTTGAATCGATTCAACAAACAATTAGTGAAAATCTCCACTCTGAAACATAGTATGCATATGTTATCAAAATTCTATTATAGAAAGATCAAATAACTTACATAAAATCAACCAATTAATAGTTGAGAGTAGAAAACACGTTTCCTCATTTCCCTTTCAGTGCTCTTTCTACTTCACCAGTTAACTACTCTAAATATTGACAAAATATATGACTATCTCTGACAGGTTATAATTATTTATTAATTATGCATTAAATAAAACAAAAAGGAATTTTGGTATACTGTCAGAGAACAAGCTCTTTAATGTAATTTTATTTTGAAAAGATTTTTTAGAGGAAATGAAGTGAAGAACATTCTCTAATTTAACCAAAAGACCAGTATAATCAAACTCCTACATCTTCTTTGGATTTCTGGGATCCTATCTATGTAGAATCGAAATTGTCCTGCCAATCACAGCTCAGAACTGGGTTACAAGCTGCTGAAATCAATTCATGCCTCACCCACTTTGCTTCCTATCTTAGAAAGGATGCCTTAATCACCGTAATGGTAGGAAACTTTTTTCTGATACCTCTTTCTTTGTACTATGAAACTCTCAATCTTCCTGTGCCACAAATGTCACTTAAAATTAACTATTTTCTCTCAGTCGTAATGGTCTCCTTTCTCCTCTTCTCCTTCTCAAGTCATCTATTCCATTTTGTTCAGCTTCTCCTTTAATATGAGATTACGTTCCTATTTGGGGAAAGGAGTGGGGAAAGACTGTCAAATTGTCCTGATTTTGCGAAAAAAAAAATGGCGATATAAAGACAGCTGTTGCTTTTTGATGTTTCTATTTCTGGAAAAAAAAAATAAAAGTTTGTAAGGCTAATGGTACATGCCCTTAAATTATTTGTCTCACTGATTCAGGAAAGTCACAGTTCTAGGACGCAGACTGTAGGGCTTGAGATTGACAGAGGTTCCAGGTTGGTAAAGCAGATATATTTACAAACTGTCATAACCATTAGCATACTTTATCACTTGTTGATTTTAGTCCCACCAATTAATTAAGCTGCATATATAAAACCAGAGGATGTCTGATTTAGTCAATTCAAATAAAGGCTAAATTAAAAAAAAAAAAAACCTTAGTCAAATCAATTGTTGACACTATTGACTAATAATAATATTTCTAAAATATTTCACAGTTTCTTAAAAGTTAGAATAAATGTTACCTCCTGGGTAAAGCCAGGCAGTATTTCTAGTCTTATTTAACATTTGAAGAAACTGGGATTAACCGGGTTTAAGTGATTTAATAAGAAAGAATATAATCATTGGAGGATACAATATAGATTTAATGACTTAATAAGGGGTTAAAATAATTATCAAAATTGGAATATAGGCATAAATATCTTAACTTTGATTCTAGTGTTGTTCCTACTGCTTCCGGCTGCCTCATGTCAAGAAGTTCTCATGGCATGTTTCACTGGCTCAAAATCATATTAGATTAGGAAAGAAATACCTAAGACATGTATGATTATACAGTAAAACTAGATTGCCTGAATGTCGGAAAAAATGTGGGCATTTTATTCCTTATAGTATGCCCATATTACTTAAAGTATGTATCTCTCTTTGTGAGAGATGATCAAACTCAGCTCAATGATTAAATGCATTTCAAATGCTAAGTTGCAGTATATAGCAAGCTGAAAATCACCTTCCAATTTGTCTACCACTCTAAATCTAGGGACCTTAGGGTAAATCGTGCTGTAATCCAGAACATTTTTTCAATTAGCTTCTTTTTCACTCTAGGAAAATATTCTTTGATACCAGAGCTGTATCTCTACCAATTCTCTTTACCAATTACTATGCCCTTACCCTAAGAGGCCCTTTTGAGCTGTAAGCATTCTTGGGAGAAAGATATGCCCATGAGCTTTACATTCTGCATATTATTAAATTAGGTATTATATTACTTTGCCTATAAAAGCACTCTTTCCAAAATTGTCAAGTCATTCTTTTTATCTGAAATGGTACAAGAAATACACCATTTTTAGATTTAGTTTTAAAAGGATATAGCTTTTAAAGAGATGTAAACCTTTACAACTCAATCTTTGAAGTCCCATTTTGCTTTCTACCTTTACTGACATTTCTTGATTTCTTTAAATATTGTGATGAGACATACTTGTACTTAAAAACAATGAAGCAATGCTTTCAAAGGAAAAACTACTCCACACACCATTGTATAGCTACATAGATTTTATTTCTTCTTCTAAAAAAAAAAACCTATCACACCAGAGGGATTGCAACAATAAGTCAATAATTCCTTAACATTTATGGAGGAAGTTAGTTACAAAATGCTGCTGCATGGTGTGTCTGTGAGTCGTATTTGAAGAGACATTATTGGGCACTATTTTACTCTATTTGGAATATTTTCTTCCTAAATATGATTTCCACAGATCTGGAAAGAAATTCACAATATATAAGTTGATATCTTTCTAGTTTACCAGATGAGGGGGAAAACTGAGACTTGAAACAACTCAAATGAAAAGGCATTTTTGAAGCTTGCTATATGCTTATACTCATCCCATCATCATTTATTCATTTAACAAATATTTATTGGAAACTAATTATGTGTCAGGCAATAAGACAGGCCTTCAGGGTACATCAATGAAGAAAGAAAGTTTATTTTTTCAGAACTGACAAGTATAACAGGAAATACAGACAAGTTTACAGTTATAATGAGAAAGACATTATAACAAGAGTAGATTCAGAAAACAGTATAACCGGATAAAGAGGTATAGAAACCAGATTAAAGGAGTTAAAGAAGGCTATAAATAAGGAGAATGACTCAGGAGTATGATTTAAGCATGCAAGAGAGAAAGGGCCAACCATTGTAAGAATGTGGAGGTTGAAGTATGATAATTTTTAGAAAGTCACAGGTTTGGTATAAAAGCACTGGAATGATCTTTGGGCACAGGTAGTTACTACATGGTTTTAACTAAAAAGGTGAAGGAGTTTGAGAGTATTCTCAATAGTAGCTGGTGACATAAATTAGTACTAAGTGGAAGTGAGAGAGAGAAGATAAGAAATCAAAGAAATTAACCTTGTAAGGGGGGAAAATAAAAGATAGAAGAAAATTGATTTTAAAAAGTGGGACATTTTAACTTAAATTTTAAATTAAAGTTTCAGAGTTAGAGCAGAAGGAAATAACTTTTTTTAAAATTTAAGACCATTTTAAAAGAAAAGTAATCAGAACTTTGAAAAGAGACATAGTGGGTTATCCTTCAAAAACCAAAGAAAATGCCTCATTTACAAAAAATATTTCAGGAAACAGAGTAAAATGCTAGAAGACTTCTAGTTAGTATTTTCAATAGTTGTATCTAAAAATATAGAGAAGATTATCATCAAGGGAAAACCAGCTGAAATCTCAAAAAGATTTTTCAGAATTTAAAAACTTAACTGACAAATTATAAGCCACAGTGAAAATAGTAGAGTAAATATTGTAAAAATCGTACCAGTAACATTAAGAGAGAAAAATCAAGAAGTACTCCTAGGCCGGAAGTCAAGGCACATTCCTATAATTCCAGCACTTGCAAGGTCGAGGCGGGAAGATTGCCTGAGCCCAGGAGTTTGAGACTAGCCTGGCAAACATACAGAGGCCGTTTTTTATACAAAACATTTAAAAATTAGCCAGGCATAGTGGTGCACAGTTTTAGTCCCAGCTGCTTGGAAGGCTGTGGTGACCCGTGATTGCACCACTGCATTCCAGCCTGGGTGACAGGGCAAGACCCTGTCTTTAAAAAAGAAAAAGAAAAGTACTCCTAGAATTCAAAGTGAATTAACTTAAAAAAAAAACTTCTTAAATTGAAGAACTTCATATTAAAGTTAAATGGGAGAAGAGAGTTACAATGTGTAAAATCATTATGCAGCATATGCCTTCTTCAAATGAACAACAAAAAGAGAGCACAAGGTATGAAATGGCAATTTACAGATGGCTAACAAAAAGCTAACAAGTATATGTATAGATAATCAACTTTTGCACAGAAATGCAAAATGAAACATAAATTATACTGTTCTTTACATTCATCAGAGGGGTGAATGTTTGAAAAGTAGATAATGTCAAGAGTTAGTAAGGATGCTTGGGGACTGGGAGCTTCATGAATTACTGATAGAATTGTCAACTAGCGGACGGGCACATTGGCTCACAGTGTAATCCCAGCACTTTGGGAGGCTGAGGTGGGCGGATCACGAGGTCGGGAGATGGAGACCATCCTGGCTAACATGGTGAAACCCCGTCTCTACTAAAAAAAAAAATACAAAAAATTAGCCAGGCGTGGTAGCGGGCGCCTGTAGTCCCAGCTACTCGGGAGGCTGGGCAGGAGAATGGTATGAACCCGGTGGAGCTTGCAGTGAGCCGAGATCACACCACTGCACTCCAGCCTGGGCGACAGAGCGAGACTCCGTCTCAAAAAAAAAAAAAAAAAAAGTCAACTAGTATGGCCATGTTGACATGAATTTTGCCAATAATTTAGTGACACATTAACCTAGTATCCCATGCAAACCCAGTGAATTTTGGCAATAATTTAGTGAAATATTAATCAAGTATCCCGCATAAACCAGCTATCCCATTCCTATGTATAAACAGTAGGGCAATTCTTCCACTAGCCTATAGGAAACACATAGGAATATGTCTTAGTGAAGTATTTATAATAGTGGGTAATTTGTGTTTATCATTAGAGGAATATTTATATGATATATGTACACCATGTATTACTATGTCCCAGATGAAACAAATTAATAATATAAACTTTAGAAAGAGAAAAATCTTAAAGCAGAGCATGTTAAGAGAAAAATTAAGAAATAAAATAGTAGATATGACACAATACACTTATGTAAACTAAAAACACATATGAACAAAAATAATAAATATTTTATAAGGATATGTATAGACACATATCCAATAAAATAGATCAAATACTTTAGAGTGAATATCAGTGTTAAAGAAGGGAAATAGCTTACTAAAAGAGAGTAATCTTGTATACATCTATAATGACAGTTCCCCATAAAGAATATGTCTAACTCAAGTGTCTCTTAGTTCCAAAAGGAAAAGCATGAGAAAATAATTAGAGAAATTATAAAATAAATTATGAAAAATAAGAAATACCTATCCAGAGGAGGCAATGAACATACTCATGCATATTATACCTTGACTGTAAATCAAAACATATATTTTATTCTTTATCTATATTACAGAACAAAATAGACAAAGCAAAAATAATTCTCAAAGGAAGAAAATGAAGCAAAATATTTTCTAAGCTGAAAAAAATCCAAAATCTGGCAATCAAAAGAGCTATATGAAAATACAGTGTATTAGATAGGATTGATTGAGTTATATTGCAAACAACCTCCAAGTTAACTATCTTAACCCAACTGAAGTATTTTTCTTGCTTCTAAAAAGTCTGCTAAGGGTCTAGTAACATTTGAGGGCAGCTGTTCTCCACACAGTGGCTGAGTGTTCCAAGCTGTTTCTACATTGTGGCACTCAATTTCAACATGAGCATCCACAATTCATGTGGTAGAGAAATAAAACTCAGAGAATCAAAGACCAACTCTAAAATGCACACGTCCCTTCTGCTCTCAGCCCGTTAATTAGAACTCATGACATGGCCAGTTATCAAGAATACTAAAAAATAAAAGGTTGCATAAGCCCAGGAACAGAGAAGAAACAGATATATGGGTAAGCACAAGTAATACTTCTTCATACAGTATATAAATCTCTTAATTGAGGCAAATTGATAATTTAAAAAATTAGTGAATAAATATTTATAATGATTCATCCAAAATGAAGTTTATGTGTAAGAAAGGAAATCCTTCAACTAGAGGTTTGAATGTTTTCAGTATACTCCAGGTGCATGCATTTATTAACGATGTAATTATTAATAAATAAATAAATTTCTTAGAGTCACAATCTAATTATCCTGAATATAATAGTTGATAATAGTACAAATGTTCTCAGTGCTTACCCTGTGTAAGTCATTCCTCTAAATGTTTTGCATGTATAGCTCATGTAATCTTCACAACCACCTCTGAGGTTGGATTAAGTATCCTCATTTTGTAGTTGAGCATACTCAGAAAGGTTAAATAATTTTTTTGAAGTCACAGAGATACAATAATAGAGTAGCAGAAATCAGAGCCTAGGCAGGTTGACAACATCCCAGCATGAAGCTTTTGTCATCTTATGTCATTCCTATCTTCTCAATGTCACATGATTGTATTAGTCTGTTTTCATGCTGCTGATAACGACATACCTGGGACTGGGAAGAAAAAGGTTTAATTGGACTTACAGTTCCACATGGCTGGGGAGGATTCAGAATCATGGTGGGAGGCAAAAGGTACTTCTCACATGGCAGCAGCAAGAGAAAATGAGAGGACGAAAGAGGAAACCCGTGATAAACCCATCAGATCTCGTGAGACTTATTCAGTATCACGAGAATAGCATGGGAAAGACCATCCCCCATGATTCAATTACCTCCCCCTAGGTCCCTCCCACAACTCGAGGGAATTCTGGGGGATACAATTCAAGTTGAGATTTGAATGGGGACACAGCCAAACCATGTCAGTGATCAACTGGAATAACAAATGAGATTATAAAAGTACTTTACAAATTACAATGCTCCGCACAAAAAATAGATGATTCACAAAAATCTGCAGATACTTTTCTCACATTGTTTGGCTACCATACCTTTGAGTCATCTTATGTCATTCCTATCCACTCAATGTCAGGTGATCAATTGGAATAGCAAATAAAATTATAAAAGTACTTTACGAGTTACAAAACTCTGCACAAAAATAGATGGTTTACAAAAATCTGCAGATACTTTTCTTTTTTATTTTATTTTATTATTATTATACTTTAAGTTTTAGGGTCTGAAGATACTTTTCTTACATTCTTTGGCTACCATACCTTTCAGACATAAAATATTCAGTTAAAAATAAAAACAGTAAGATTTGTTATTTCTTGCCACCCCTCACATCTTAGGATTTTTTCCATCATAGGTATAGATTACTCTTGCCATTATCTTTTTAGAAATAGAGAATTATAAAAGTATACTAATTATTTGAGCTCCACTATAAACAATGCTATCCAGAAAAAGATAAACTTTTCCAAACATCACTTAATCTGTTCAAATCTGTATGGAAATACTTTTTTATTAAAATCTACCATATTAAGCTTGCAAATTTATCCTGTGAAAATATGAGCATTTTACCCATAATTATACTATTTTCATTGTGTCAGACAACTATATTTTGTTTCATAATTTGATTTATTTATGCCAAATAATTGATTTGATTAAGTATTTTCACTTTCAAGCAAATGTTTTGTTTCCTCTTCTTCATATTTCTTTCTATGTCAACCTAGTGAAAGCTACCTCCTTAGATGGGAAGATACCACTCGTAATTTGATAATTACAATTGGTTTGTATCTAACCTGTTAACTGAGAAGTTTTACTGGGCCTCTGCTACTCATGGCCCTTAGAGTCCAGAAGCAGGAGTTAACTCTAATCCTGTAAGCCTTCCTGATCTCTGAACTTTATCCACTCCTTACAAACTATGTTTGAAAACCAAACAATTCATACCAGAACTCATATCTTCTTGTAATATCTTGCTAAAGGCAGCCAATATTAGCCAACAATGGCTCTCATATTCTAGTTCTTCATAACAATTCTCTTCCATCTTTAGGTTCACTGAGCACATGGCTGCCTTCAAAGTTACCACAGGCAACAGCTGCCTTACAGCATCACAGAGCTTTTGTGCCTCCTACTTTATTTTATTTCTTCTTCTTTGTTGACTATCATTCAACTACAAAGTCATAACCACACAGTTTAGATATGTTATGGCAGAACCCCATTATTAATTTTTTTATTAGTTAGAATAATGTTAATAAACATATCTGAAATATGAGTGGCTTGATATAACTACATTTCTTGTGTGTGTAAAAATCCAATTTGTAGGCATTCCAAATTAGAAGGAGGGACTTTTGATATGTACTCAGGATAACAGACAATGTCATATTTAATACATGAGCTAAGGTTACCCTGCACATTGACTTCTGTCCAAGAGAGGAAAAGAGTGTTTGGAGAAGATAATCTTTCTTCTTAACTACCTTGGCCTAAAAGTAGAACACATCATTTTTCTTAGCTTTCCCCTGTAAAAACAAGACACAGGTACTGCCTAGATGCAAAGATTATTGAAAAATATAATCTCTGCATAGGTAGACAACATGAAGCAGTAACACCACATGACAGAAAGAGAATGAATATTGTCATTCGACAGCCAACCATTTCTGCCAAGCAGAAACAATCAGACATTTACTGCTCAAAGTTTATTGGCTATTTTTTTTTTTTTACTGGTTACTGTTATATTGCTTTCATTTAGTCTAGGAAACACCTATACTTGCATCCCTGTTTTCTAGGGTTGGCTTCTTCTAACTCAATAATGATTTATTTATTTGTCATCATATTTGAAACACTTAGGAGCCTTAATGAATACTGATATCTGGATCTAATCATAATCTCTGGGTTAAAGACTTAGGTACAGTACTTAGTAAAATCTTATCTGGTGATTCTAATTGGCTGCCAGAGTTGAGGACCTCTGCCTGCCATGTGTGAGAAGTCAGAACTCTTGTAATTATATACCTCCTGAGTGGACTATACTCAATGATCAGTTGCCTCCTGTTCCTTTGCAGGCTTATATTCACTTTGCTGCTAAGTTTCCTGAAACCCCTTTTGCTTCTCTGTTGGCACCAGCAAAAAAAGTGAATGTGGGGTCCCCTAAAAATAATTACAATTTGGTGTTGGGTATGGGTGTGCAGGTGTAATGTGACATAACTTGGAGTTGGCTTGAAATCTTGCAAGTTGTTTTCTAATATTTAAAGGTTCTTTTGAGAAGATACAACTCAATGACAGAGAGGATAGGCAGAACTCTTTGTTATTTATGATCCAAATGGGAGAAGGTTGACAGGCAAGAACAAACAGGAAGTTGCATCCAGGGACAGGGTGACAGCAAGCAGTAGCTGCACGGAGGGTAGTTTATGTGTGGGAGTTGGAATGGGGAAAGCTAAGTTTCTCAAGCTCCCTATTGGTTGGTGTATTAATCCATTCTTGTGCTGCTATAAAGAACTACCTGAGACTGGGTAATTTATAAAGGAAAGAAGTCTAATTGACTCACAGTTCCACAGGGTTGGGGAGGCCTCAGGAAACTTAGAATCATGGCAAAAGGGGAATCAAGTACATTCTTCTTCATAAGGTGGCAGGAAGGTGAAGTGCTGAGCAAAGGGGGAAAAGCCCCTTATAAAACCACCAGATTTCATGAAAACTCACTCACTATCCTAAGAATAACAATGGAGTAACCACCCCCATGATTCGATTACCTCCCACTGAGTTCCTCCCACGACATGTCATGTGGGGATTATAGGAAATACAATTCAAGATAAGATTTGGGTAGGGTCACAGCCAAACCATATTAATTGGCTAGTTTGAATAATTTTGAGGACTTCCAGGGTTAGGGGCTTTCATTAGTTATGGCCCCAGGACAATTAAGTCAGCTACTTAGTGGACCTAGAGTGTAAGAGTCTGATAAGAGATGTGGTTGGGGTGTGAATTTAACCAGTTGCTTAAGAAGTAGAACCTACCAACCTCTAGCCAGAACCTCAAAACTGGGTCAAGGTAGAGAGTATGAAATGATGGTTCAGTAAGGTATAGGTAAAGGTTAGTGGTATGTGATTGCAGTCAAATAGTTGTGGTGGTCACGGTAAGCAACTTGGAGTGCGAGGTCATGGTGGAAGGCTAGATCGGTGAAATAAGAGAAGGTGCTGGAGAGTGAGAGATATTCTCCCAAGGGAATCAAGGAATGGGTCAATATGAAGCAGTTGCTTCCAGAGGAAAGCAATAATCTCTTTTTTTTTTTTTTTTAGGATGGCACAGATACCATTAATAGTGCCTTCTACAAGGTTTTTTAGGATTGGGAATGTAGGGGTGAACTTGCGGTGTGTTGCTTCCATAATTCAAGACATAATGGGAAGGTGGGTACAGAGGGTCACAGGCTCAGGATCTGTGACAGCCTTTATTTTCAAAAAAGAACAGTATGTGGGCAGCAGTTGCTGCTCTAATGGTGTATAGCACAGGATGAAAAAGAACCGTTTCTTGTATCAGAAGCCCATGGGCAATGTAAGGCCATCATAAGTCATCCAGAGACGCTGGGAGATTGCCAAAGCTTCTAAATTGAAGGAGTTTCTGAGGACGGTAACAGGATTGCCTGCTGGTTTTAATTCGGACAGATTCTAGAACGTTTTGTTGAGCCTTAAATGGCTTTCCATTTAAGATGGACTGATTTGTTAGTAGCAGCAGCAGTGAGATTAAATAAAATTTGTAAATGAGGAATCTGTTGCCTCCAAAATCCAAAAAAGACTAAGATATTGGACTTGCATGTCCTTAATAAGTATGTCAAATGAATCTCTTCAGGGGAAGATTCCATCACTGTAACATCCTACCTATGCTTCTAGAAAAGATGCTGCATGTAAGGTCTTGTCTGCGAAGACTGTGTGTGACGAAAAGCTATTGAGACACCCTCTGGGTAGCCCTGTGAAAGTGTGCTACATTCCTTCTAAGGTGAAAGCAAACTGCAGCTGAGACGCTGGTGTGAAATAGCCACTGTATAAAATGTATTATCCAAACCTATAATGGCAAGAAATTTATCAATTATTGATTGGATGAAGTTAGCAATTTTATTAATATTGGTTATTGGGTAGGAAGGCCTTAATGGATAGAGACACAGCATTTAGGTTACAGTAATCACTGTGTGGTGCCATTCATTCTTTCCAGGTTTAAGAAGACGCCTAATTGGACTGTCAAATAGAAAATCAGTGGCAAACCCATTGATTAATTAGGTCTTACATAGAAGAAGTTATCATCTTCAAAGTCAAGCTTCAACTTATTTTGGGCCATATTAACTGTTTTAACTGGGGATCTATGAGGTCCCATTTTGTCAAACCAGTTTGTTACTGTCAAAGATTTAATTTTAATTTCCTACTCACTGTGTCAGAGTGTCTATGCCTCCTATGGGATATTTTAGATCCATGAGTACTATGGCTGTGGGAAATTTAGGCAAAGCTATATAGTTAAAATGAAGCAAACCTATTTTCCTCTATTTTATATTTAGTTATTTTCCCATGATTATAGGGGATACCATGTTTATGCATAGTAGGATCCCATATGCAACTGTAATTTGATCCCCAGTATTGATTAAATCCATGAAGCTTGGCCAGTTGGTGCATTTTAGCAAATGTTCAAATTAATCCAGATTCTATGCTGTAGAGGCACAAAAGACAATCAGCAACCTTTCTGTTTGTTATTAATATATAAATTATTTTAATACATTTTGGATTCCCAATTGGGTCATATTATAGATCTTTGTTTCAATTTAACTGCATAATAATTAAACACATATAATATTTAAATATGTTTGTTAATGTTATATGGTTAAATATGTAATTAAAATGAAACAAAGGTCTATGACATATATCTGTGTATGTGTATGTGCTTTTAATTCCCTCCCCTTCTATCCAAGATATGTTTTATTCTTTTTTTTTCACTATTACTATACTTTAAGTTCTAGGGTACATGTGCACAATGTGCAGGTTTGTTACATATGTATACATGTGCCATGCTGGTGTGCTGCACCCATTAACTCATCATTTACATTCGGTATTTCTCTTAATCTATCCCTCCCCCATCCCCCACCCCACGACAAGCCCTGGTATGTGCTGTTCCCCGCCATGTGTCCAAGTGTTCTCCTTGTTCGATTCTCACCTATGAGTGAGAACATGTGGTGTTTGGTTTTCTGTCCTTGCGATAGTTTGCTCAGAATGATGGTTTCCAGCTTCACGCTTCATCCATGTCCCTAGAAAGGACATGAACTCATCCCTTTTTTTTTTTTTTTTTTTTTTTTTTTGAGATGGAGTCTCGCTGTGTCACCCAGGCTGGAGTGCACTGGCATGATCTCAGCTCACTGCAAGCTTTGCCCCTGGGGTTAATGCCATTCTCCTGCCTCAGCCTCCCAAGTAGCTGGGACTACAGGCACCCGCCACCACGCCTGGCTAATTTTTTTTGTATTTTTTAGTACAGACGGGGTTTCACCATGTTAGCCAGGATGGTCTCGATCTCCTGACCTCGTGATCTGCCCACCTCGGCCTCCCAAAGTGCTGGGATTATAGGCATGAGCCTCCGCGCCCAGCCACAACTAATCCTTTCTTATGGCTGCATAGTATACCATGGTGTATATGTGCCACATTTTTTTTCTTTTTCTTTTTTAAATTTTATTATTATTACACTTTAAGTTTTAGGGTACATGTGCACAGTGTGCAGGTTTGTTACATATGTATACATGTTCCATGTTGGTGTGCTGCACCCATTAACTCGTCATTTAACATTAGGTATATCTCCTAATGCTATCCCTCCCCTCTCCCCCCACCCCACAACAGTCCCCAGAGTGTGATGTTCCCCTTCCTGTGTCCATGTGTTCTCATTGTTCAATTTCCACCTATGAGTGAGAACATGTGGTGTTTGGTTTTTTGTCCTTGCGATAGTTTGCTGAGAATGATGGTTTCCAGTTTCATCCATGTCCCTACAAAGGACATGAACTCATCATTTTTTATGGCTGCATAGTATTCCATGGTGTATAGTGCCACATTTTCTTTATCCAGTCTATCATTGATGGACATTTGGGTTGGTTCCAAGTCTTTGCTATCGTGAATAGTGCCACAATAAACATATGTGTGCTTGTGTCTTTATAGTAGCATGATTTCTAATCCTTTGGGCATATACTCAGTAATGGGATCCCTGGGTCAAATGGTATTTCCAGTTCTAGATCATTGAGGAATCACCACACTGTCTTCCACAATGGTTGAACTAGTTTACACACCAACCAGCAGTGTAAAAGTGTTCCTATGTCTCCACATCCTCTCCAGCACCTGTTGTTTCCTGACTTTTTAATGATTGCCATTCTAACATTCTAACTGGTGTGAGATGGTATCTCATTGTGGTTTTGATTTGCATTTCTCTGATGGCCAGTGATGATGAGCATTTTTTCATTTGTCTGTTGAATGCATAAATGTCTTCTTTTGAAAAGTGTCTGTTCATATCCTTTGCCCACTTTTTGATGGGGTTGTTTGATTTTTTTCTTGTAAATTTGTTTAAGTTCTTTGTAGATTCTGGATATTAGCCTTTTGTCAGATGGGTAGATGGTGAAAATGTTCTCCCATTCTGTAGATTGCCTATTCACTCTGATGGTAGTTTCTTTTGCTGTGCAGAAGCTCTTTAGTTTAATTAGATCCCATTTGTCAATTTTGGCTTTTGTTGCCATTGCTTTTGGTGTCTTAGTCATGAAGTCCTTGCCCATGCCCATGTCCTGAATGGTATTGCCTAGGTTTTCTTCTAGGGTTTTTACGGTTTAGGTCTAACATTTACATCTTTAATCCAACTTGAATTAATTTTTGTATAAGGTGTAAGGAAGGGATCCAGTTTCAGCTTTCTACATATAGCCAGCCAGTTTTCCCAGCACCATTTATTAAATAAGGAATCCTTTCCTCATTTCTTGTTTTTGTCAGGTGTGTCAAAGATCAGATGGTTGTAGATGTGTGGTGTTATTTCTGAAGCCTCTGTTCTGTTCCATTGGTCTATATCTCTGTTTTGGTACCAGTACCATGCTGTTTTGGTTACTGTAGCCTTGTAGTATAGTTTGAAGTCAGGTAGCAGGATGCCTCCAGCTTTGTTCTTTTTGCTAAGGATTGTCTTGGCAATGCAGGCTCTTTTTTGGTTTTGTATGAACTTTAAAGAAGTTTTTTCCAATTCTGTGAAGAAAGTCATTGGTAGCTTGATGGGGATGGCATTGAATCTATAAATTACTTGGGCAGTATGGCCATTTTCATGATATTGATTCTTCCTGTCCATGAGCATGGAATGTTCTTCCATTTGTTTATGCCCTCTTTTATTTCCTTGAGCAGCGGTTTGTAGTTCTCCTGGAAGGGGTCCTTCACATCCCTTGTAAGTTGGATTCCCAGGTATTTTATTCTCTTTGATGCAATTGTGGATGGGAGTTCACTCATGATTTGGCTCGCTGTTTGTCTATTATTGGTGTATAGGAATGCTTGTGATTTTTGCACATTGATTTTGTATCCTGAGACTTTGCTGAATTTGCTCATCAGCTTAAGGAGATTTGGGGCTGAGATGATGGGGTTTTCTAAATATAAAATCATGTCATCTGCAAACAGGGACAATTTGACTTCCTCTTTTCCTAATTGAATGCCATTTATTTCTTTCTCCTGCCTGATTGCCCTGGCCAGAACTTCAGGCACTATGTTGAATAGGAGTGGTGAGAGAGGGTATCCCTGTCTTGTGCCAGTTTTTAAAGGGAATGCTTCCAGTTTTTGCCCATTCAGTTTGATATTGGCTGTGGGTCTGTCATAAATAGCTCTTATTATTTTGAGATACGTCCCATCAATACCTAGTTTATTGAGAGTATTTATCATGAAAGGCTGTTGAATTTTGTTGAATGCCTTTTCTGCATCTATTGAGATAATCATGTGGTTTTTGTCTTTGGTTCTGTTTATGTGATGGATTACGTTTATTGATTTGCGTATGTTGAACCAGCCTTGCATCCCAGGGATGAAGCCCACTTGATCGTGGTGGATAAGCTTTTTGATGTGCTTCTGGATTCAATTTGCCAATATTTTATTGAGGATTTTTGCATCGATGTTCATCAGGGATACTGGTCTAAAATTCCTTTTTTTGTTGTGTCTCTGCCAGGCTTTGGTATCAGGATGATGCTGGCCTCATAAAATGAGTTAGGGAGGATTCCCTCTTTTTGTATTCATTGGAATAGTTTCAGAAGGAATGGTAGCAGCTCCTCCTTGCACCTCTGGTAGAATTCGGCTGTGAATCCGTCTGGTCCTGGACTTTTTTTGGTTAGTAGGCTATTAATTATTGCCTCAATTTCAGGGCCTGTTATTGGTCTACTCAGGGATTCAACTTCTTCCTGGTTTAGTCTTGAGAGGGTGTATGTGTCCAGGAATTTATCCATTTGTTCTAGATTTTCTAGTTTATTTGTGTAGAGGTGTTTATAGTATTCTTTGATGGTAGTTTGCATTTCTGTGGGATAGGTGGTGATATCCTCTTTATCATTTTTTTATTGTGTCTATTTGATTCTTCTCTCTTTTCTTCTTTATTAGTCTTGCTAGCGGGCTATCTATTTTGTTGATCTTTTCAAAAAACCACCTCCTAGATTCATTGATTTTTTGAAGGGTTTTTTGTGTCTCTATCTCCTTCAGCTCTGCTCTGATCTTCGTTATTTCTTGCCTTCTGCTAGCTTTTGAATGTGTTTGTTCTTGCTTCTCTAGTTCTTTTAATTGTGATGTTAGGGTGTCAATTTTAGATCTTTCCTGCTTTCTCTTGTGGGCCTTTAGTGCTATAAATTTCCCTCTACACACTGCTTTAAATGTGTCTCAGAGATTCTGGTATGTTGTGTCTTTGTTCTCATTGGTTACAAAGAACATCTTTATTTCTGCCTTCATTTTGTTATTTACCCAGTAGTCACTCAGGAGCAGGTTGTTCAGTTTCCATGTAGTTGTGTGGTTTTGAGTGAGTTTCTTAATCCTGAGTTTTAATTTGATTGCACTGTGGTCTGAGAGAGAGTTTGTTGTAATTTCTGTTCTTTTACATTTGCTGAGGAGAGCTTTACTTCCAACTATGTGGTCAATTTTGGAATAAGTGTGATGTGGTGCTGAGAAGAATCTATATTCTGTTGATTTGGGGTGGAGAGTTCTGGAGATGTCTATTAGGTCTGCTTGGTGTAGAGCTGAGTTCAAGTCCTGGATATCCTTTTCAACCTTCTGTCTTGTTGATCTGTCTAATATTGACAGTGGAGTGTTAAATTCTCCCATTATTATTGTGTGGGAGTCTAAGTCTCTTTGTAGGTCTCTAAGGACTTGCTTTATGAATCTGGATGCTCCTATATTGGGTGCATATATATTTAGGATAGTTAGCTCTTCTTGTTGAATTGATCCCTTTACCATTTTGATCTTTGTTGGTTTAAAGTCTGTTTTATCAGAGACTAGGATTGCAACCCCTGCTTTTTTTTTGTTTTCCATTTGCTTGGTAAATCTTCCTCCATCTCTTTCTTTTGAGCCTATGTGTGTCTCTGCATGTGAGATGGGTCTCCTGAATACAGCACACTGATGGGTCGTGACTCTTTATCCAGTTTGTCACTCTGTGTCTTTTAATTGGAGTATTTAGCCCATTCACATTTAAGGTTAATATTGTTATGTGTGAATTTGATCCTGTCATTATGATGTTAGCTGGTTATTTTGCTGGTTAGTTGATGCAGTTTCTTCCTAACATCAATGGTCTTTACAATTTGGCGTGTTTTTGCCGTGGCTGGTAGTGGTTGTTCCTTTCCATGTTTAGTGCTTCCTTCAGGAGCTCTTGTAAGGCAGGACTGCTGGTGACAAAATCTCCCAGCACTTGCTTGTCAGTAAAGGATTTTATTTCTCCTTCACTTATGAAGCTTAGTTTGGCTGGATATGAAATTCTGGGTTGAAAATTCTTTAAGAATGTTGAATATTGGCCCACACTCTCTTCTGGCTTGTAGAGTTTCTGCCAAAAGATCTGTTAGTCTGTTAGGAACAGTTAGTCTGTTAGTCTATTAGGAATAGTTTCTGCCAAAGGAACTGATGTTAGGAAAGGGAAACGCCCCGACCCCTTGCGCTTCCCGGATGAGGTGACACTCCGCCCTGCTTCGGCTCACCCTCCGTGGGCTGCATCCACTGTCCAACCAGTCTCAGTGAGATGAGCCACCTACCTCAGTTGGAAATGGAGAAATCACCCATCTTCTGTGTTGATCACGCTGGGAGCTGCAGACTGGAGCTGTTCCTGTTCAACCCTCTTGGAACCAGAATCTATTTTTTTTTTAATTAAGCCACTTAATATATTTCACAGGTGTTCTCTTTGTCATGTATCTCTTCATCTAAATTTATAAATGTCTTCCTCTAGAGAATATCCAATCAGTATCATCAGGGTTAGGGACCTCCCTCATCGCAATGAGTATATGTTTTAAAGATCCCAGATGTAAGTCAGATTACTCCTTCTTTGTGACACAGGAGTACTAAAGGTGTTTTCTACTATAACCTTGAAAGTTAGTTTTTTTTTTGTTGTTGTTGTAACAGAGCCATAGTAGTACAGTGGCACAGCAAGAGTGCTAGACACTCAAACTAAAACTTATCAGAACAAAACCAACTTCCATTATGGCTTTGCTTTCTTAAGTAGTGGTTTTCAGCTTTTGTATTTGTCCAATGATTGTCATCTTATCTTCACCCAATAATTCACAGTAGAAACCTTCTAAGTATTACTGGGAAAAGGGGCAGGGGACCCCAATGGCCTGTCTCATAGAAGGCCATCCATCTCTCATTCCAAGGCTCTCCAGTCCAGCTCTGAGAGATTATGGTTTGCACTTAGAGAAGATTACAGCTGCTCCTTGAGAAAACACAGTCAGCCCCCTTGTCAAAAGTACCAGTGCCTTTGAATACTGATATGGAAGAACACTTAATTAAGCACAAGCATCCTGGCTGTGGGTCTTGCATTGTTATGCAGTTGGATAACTTTGACAAGTATTCCAAAGAGGGTGAGGGATGCAGGGATGAGAAATTCATTCTGTTGTTCTTTTGGATAAACATTGACTCCTGGCCTCGGAAGTTGACATTCACTAATCCTTGACCGTTTGGGGAACACGAAGATTGCCAGGGACAGCAGCAAGATACACAGCTGTAGAGAAGATAAGTGAATCTGCTACTCTCACTCAAGCAATATTACTCAGAGTAATAATAGTAACAATGTATTAGGAGATTATAGCTTATGAATAAGTAAAATGAATGTGATAAGATACTAGATAAAAGATTTAGGAATATATATATATATATTCCTATATATGTAAGGTACATGTGATTCCTATGAAGTGGTGTAGTGTTATGAGGATGGAATTAGATTCATTATAAGTGGATATTGCAAACTCTAGGGAAACCACTGAACATTATTTTAAAAGAAGTACAGTTTATATGGTAAGAGGATAGACAATATAATAATATAATATATTTAATCAAAGCCATGGAGGTCAGAAAAGGGAGCAAAAAAACAAAGAAACAAAGAACAACTGCAATAAACAGAAATAGTTACAAATATGGTATATATTAATATAAATATATAAATAATTATCTTAAATGTAAGTAGTATAAATGCAACAATTAAAAGACATAGAATGTCGAAGTGTATAAAAAGCAAGACTCAACTATATGTTGTCTACAAGAAACACACTTTAAATATAAAACCATGGCTAGGTTAAAAATAAAGAAAAAAAAACTATATATCATGCTCACATTATTCAACAGAAAGCTGGAATAGCTATACTGGCATGCCTCAGAGATATTGTGGATTGAGTTCCAGACCACCAAAATAAAGTTAATCACACATATTTTTTGGTTTCCCAGTATACATAAAAGTCATGTTTAAAACATATTGTAGTCTATTAAGTGTGGAATAGTATTGTCTAAAAAACAATATACCTATCTAAATTTAAAAATATTTTATTGCTAAGAAGTGCTAACAATCATCTGACTCTTCAGTGAGTCACAGTCTTTTTGCAGGTGAAGAGTCTCACCTCAGTGTTAATAGTTGCTAATTGATCAGGGTGGTGGTTGCTGAAGTTTGGGGTAGCCATGGCAATTTCTTCAAATAAGACGATAATGAAGTTTGCTGCATTCATTGACTCTTCCTTTCACAAAAGATTTCTCTGTAGCATGTGATGCTGTTCGATAGCATTTTACCCACACTACAACAGCTTTCAAACTTAGAGTTAATCCTCTCAAGCCCTGCCCTGGTTTATCAACTAAGTTTATATAATAATATTCTAAATCCTTTGTTGTCATTTCAACAATGTTCATAGCATCTTCTTCAGGAGTAGATTCCATTTCGAGAGACCATTTCCTTTCTTTATCCATAAGAAGCTACTCCTCATCTGTTCAAATTTTGTCATGCACTTGCAATAATTTAGTCATATCTTCAGGCTCCACTTTTAATTCCAGTTCTCTTGCTATTTCCTCCATATCTGCACTTACTTTCTTCATGAAGTCCTGAACCCCTAAAAGTTATCTATGAATGTTGGAATCAACTTTCAAGCTCCTGTTAATGTTTATATTTTGGCCCTTTCCCATGAATCACAAATGTTCTTAATGGTATATAGAATGGTGAATCCTTTCCAGAAGATTTTCAATTTACTTTGTCCAGATTTATCAGAGGAATCACTCTGTATAGCAGCCATAGACTTATACAATATATTTCTTAAATAATAAGACTTGAAAGTCAAAATTAATCCTTGATCCATGGACTGCAGAATGGAGTTGCTTTTAGAAAACATGAAAACAACATTAATCTCCTTGTATACCTCATCAGGGCTCTTGAGTAACTAGGTACATTGTCAATGAGCAGTAATATTCAGAAAAAAAAATATTCTTTCCTGAGCAGTGAGCCCTGACAGTGGGCTTAAAATATTCAATAAACCATGCTGTAAACAGGTGTGCTGTCATTCAGCCTTTGTTGTTCCATTTACAGAGAACAGGCAAAGTGGATTTAGCACAATTCTTAAGGGCCCTAGGAATTTCTAAATGGTAACTATAATGGAATTTCTAAATGGTGAATAACTATTGGCTTCATCTTAAAGTCTCCAGTCACATTAGCTCCTAACAAGGAAGTCATCCTGTCCTTTGAAGATTTGAAGCCAGGCAGTAAAATATCCTCTTAAGCTATAACAATCCTAGATGACAATATCTTCCAATATAAAACAATCCTAGATGACAATTTTTTCCAATATAAAACAACGAAAATTTGTTTTTTAGTGTAGCCCCCTTCATCAATGATCTCAGCTAAATCTTCTGGATAACTTGCTGCAGCTTCTGCATCAGCACTTGCTGCTTCACCTTGCACTTTCATGTTATGGAGATGGCTGCTTTTCCTAAACTTCATGAAGCAACATTTGCTAGCCTCAAACTTTTCTTTGGCAGCTTCCTCACCTCTCTCAGCCTTCGGAGAATTGAAGAGAGTTATAATCTTAGTCTAGCTTAGGATTTGGCTTGAATGAATCTTGTGGCTAGTTTGATCTCCTAACCAGACCACTATAACTTTCTCCATAACCGCAATAAGGCTGTTTTGTTTTCTTATTATTTGTGTGCTCACAAATAATAAAAAATAAATAAACAAAAAGTAGCACTTTTAAGGCTAGTTCAACATGTGCAAATCAATAGATGTAATCCATCATATAAACAGAACCAATGACAAAAATGACATGATTAGCTCCACAGATGAAGAAAAGGCCTTCAATAAAATTCAACACCTCTTCTGCCAGGGTCTGACCCTCAGACCCAGGCTGCACAATGGATGAATAATGTACTCAGACACCAATATTCAGTGAAAGAGTGGGCCACGAGGCCCGGCCATGCACAGAAAGAGGTGTGGCAGCGGCGTGCCAACTAGCTGGCCTTGCTGGCATTTATTCAGCACAGATTTAATCACAAAGGCTTTGAGTCAACACACCTGTGGGTAATTAATCTGGTTACCCTACCCAGAGAGAGCAGTCTTATGAACAATCAAAGGCTGGTCTGAGGACCACGTGAGTAAACAAGCTATTTAAACTTCCTTACATTCCTTTGTACCTACTCTAAGCTATTAACTCAAGGTAAGAGGATTAGGTTGCTTTCAGCCATAACCCTATCCTGAGGTTTTTGCAAATCAAGACTTGAAAACTGAATAAAAACTTTGTTGGCTAAAACGTCCTTAATTCTCTTAAGTTTATCAAAAGGGTATTCAAATAGGAAGTCAAATTGTCTCTGTTTGCAGATGACATGATTGTATATTCAGAAAACCCCATCATCTCAGCCCCACATCTCCTGAAGCTGACAAGCAATTTCAGCAAAGTCTCAGGATACAATTGTGCAAAAATCATAAGCATTTCTTTACAGCAATAATAGAAAGCCAAATCATGAGTGAACTCTCATTCACAATTGCTATAAAGAGAATAAAATACCTAGGAATACAACTTACAAGGGATGTGAAGGAACTCTTCAAGGAGAACTGCAAATAACAGCTGAAGAAAATAAGAGAGGACACACACAATTGGGAAAACATTCTATGCTCATGGACAAGAAGAATCAATATCATTCAAATGGCCATACCGCCCAAAGTAATTTATAGATTAATGTTATTCCCATCAAGCTACCGCTGACTTTCTTTGCAGAATTAGAAAAAACTACTTTAAACCTTATATGGAACCAAAAAAGAGCCCCCATAGCCAAGACAATCTTAAGCAAAAAAAAAAAAAAAAACAAAAAATACAAAGCTGGAGGCATCGTGCTACCTGACTTCAAACTACACTACAAGGCTACAGTAACCAAAACAGCATGGTACTGGTACAAAAACAGACATATAGGCCAATGGAACAGAACAGAGGCCTCAGAAATAACACCACATGTCTACAACCATCTGATCTTTGACATACCTGACAAAAACAGGTAATGGGGAAAGGATTCCCTATTTAATAAATGGTGTTGGGAAAACTGGCTAGTCATATGCAAAAAACTTAAATTAGACCCCTTCCTTACACCTTATACAAAAATTAACTCAAAATGGATTAAAGACTTAAACATAAGACCTAAAACCATAAAAACCCTAGAAGAAAACCTAGGCAATACCATTTAGGACATAGACATGCGCAAAGACTTCATGACTAAAACACAAAAAGCAATTGCAACAAAAGCCAAAATTGACAAATGGGATCTAATTAAACTAAAGAGCTTCTGCACAGCAAAAGAAACTATCATCAGAGTGAACAGGCAACCTATAAAATGGGAGAGAATTTTTGCAATCTACCCAGCTGACAAAGGCTAGTATCCAGAATATACAAGGAACTTCAACAAATTTACAAGAAAAAATCAAACAACCCCATCAAAAAGTGGGTGAAGGATATGATCAGACGCTTCTCAAAAGAAGACATTTATGCAGCCAACAAACATATTAGAAAAATGTCATAATCACTGGTCATTAGAGAAATGCAAATCAAAACCACATGGAGATACAATCTCACGCCAGTTAAAATGGTGACCATTAAAAAGTCAGGAAACAACAGATGCTGGAGAGGATGTGGAGAAATAGGAATGCTTTTACACTTTCAGTGGGAGTGTAAATTAGTTCCACCATTGTGGAAGACAGTATGGTGTTTCCTCAAGGATCTAGAACCAGAAATACCATTTGACCAGCAATCCCGTTACTGGGTATATACCCAAAGGATGATAAATCATTTTACTATAAAGACACATGCACATGTATGTTTATTGCAGCACTATTTACAATAGCAAAGACTTGGAACCAACCCAAACGCCCATCAATAATAGACTTGATAAAGAAAATGTGGCACATATACACCATGGGATACTATATAGCCAAAAAAAGGATGAGTTAATGTCTTTTGCAGGGACATGGATAAAGCTGAAAATCATCATTCTCAGCAAACTAACACAGAAACAGAAAACCAAACACCGCATGTTCTCACTCGTAAGTGAGAGTTGAACAATGAGAACATATGGTCACAGGGTGGGGAACATCACACAGCGGGGCCTGTTGGGAGGTCGGGGGCTAGAGGAGGAATAGCATTAGGTGAAATACCCAATGTAGATGACATGCTGATGGGTGCAGCAAACCACCATGGCACATGTATATCTATGTAACAAACCTGCACATTCTGCACATGTATCCCAGAACTTAAAGTATAATGACAATAATAATAAAAATAAAATGGTAGCACTTTTATTTTCCTTTAAGAAATTTTTCTTTGCATTCACAATTTGGCTAACTGTTTCATTCAAGAAACCTAGCTTTTGCTAGTCTTTGCTTTCAACATGTCTTATTCACTAAGTTTAATCATTTCTAGATTTTGGTTTAAAGTTAGAGACTTATCACTCTTCCTTTCACTTGCACAATTAAAGGCCATTGAGGGTTATTAATTAGCTTAATTTTAACATATTTTGTTTTAGGAAATAGGGAGTCTCAAAGAGATGAAAGGTGATTGGGGAAAAGCCAATCAGTGGTGCAGTCAAAACACACTCATTTATTGATTAAGTTCACCATCTTATAAGAGTATCTTACAAGTTCATGGTGCCCCAAAACAATTACAATGATAACATCAAAGATCACCTATCCCACTTCACCATTACAAATATAATAATAATAAAAGAGCTTGAAATACGGAGAGAATTACCAAAATGTGACAAAAAGACAAAAGTGAGCACGTGCTATTGGAAGAGTAGCATCGACAGACTTCCTAGTTGTAGGGTTGCCACAGACTTTCAATTTGTAAAAACTACAATATCTGCAAAATGAAATAAAGTGAGGTGCAATAAAATCAGGTATGGTTGTATTTATTTCATACAGATCATACTTAAGAACAGTAAAATTTATCACTGAGAAAGTGTCATTACATAATGATGAATGGTTCAATTATCCAAAAAGATATAACCATCATTAACATGTGTCTTTGCTCTCTTTGCACTGGTAAAATAAAATATCACAGACTGGGTAATTTATAATGAAGAAAAATGTATTAACTCACAGATCTGGAGGCTAGAAAGACCAATTTCAAGGTGCTGGCATCTGGTAAGGGCCTTCTTGCTACATCATCACATGGTGGAAGGTAGAAGGACAAAGAGACAAAAGAGGGCCAAATATGTTATTTTATTATGGCATTTATCCCATCCATGAGAGCACAGTTCTCATAATCTAATCTCTTTTTAAAGATTCTACCTCTTAATGCTGTTACAAAATGAGGATTAAATTTCAACATGATATTTGGAGGAGGCAAACATTCAAACCATACCATCATGTACGCACTTAAAAATGAGAGTGTCAAAATACATGAGGCAAAAATCTGATAGAACATGGGAAAATAGACAAATCTACTATTATATTTGGAAACCTCAGCATGCCTCTTTCAGTAATTGATAGGTCAAGCAGGCAGAAAATCGATAAGGATATAGTTGACCTAAACAAAATTATCTGTTAAGTTGATGTACTGGCTTTTGTAGAATATTCCATCCAACTACAGCAAAGCAAACATTTCTCTCAACATTTCCTGGTGCATTCACCAAGAAAGAGCACATTCTAGGTCATAAGAGACACCTAAACATTTTTTTCTAAATAGAAATTAGACAAGGTATATTTTCAGACTCTACAATGGAATTAAACTAGAAATCAATAACAGAAAGACTGCTGGCTGGAAAAATCCTAAAATACTTGATAATTAGACAGCACATTATAAAATAACACATGGAGTGAAAAAGTCAGAAGATGAATTTTTAAAATTTATAAAATAAATAAAAAGAAATATAATATTAAATTTGTGAGATACAGGAAAAGCAATTGTTAGTTTATAACATTAAACGCATATATAATAAAGAAAGAAAAACCTAAAATCAATAACCTAAACTTCTAATTTGACAACTATGTAAAGAAAAACAATTTAAACTAAAGTAAGCATACATAAAAAGAAATAATGAAAATTAAAGCAAATATCAATATTTAATACATAAAAATAATAAAGAAAATTAACAAAATCAAACACTAATTCTTTAAAATATTAATAGAGTTGATAATCCTCTAGTTAAAATAAAAAATTAAAATTGATGAAAATTACTAGTATCATAAATAAAAGAAGGGTCATCACCACTGATTCCATCCCATGGACATATAAAGGCTAATATTCAAATATTATAAATAGCTCTATGCAGTTAAATTTTTTAGCTTAGATGGAATGAACTAAATTTTGAAAGACATGAGCTACCAAAATTTATCTGTATTAGTTCGTTCTCACACTGCGATAAAGATACTACTGAAGAATGGGTAATTTATAAAGAAAAGAGGATTAACTGATTCACAGTTCCTCATGGCTGAAGAAGCCTCAGGAAATTTACAATGCTGGTGGAAAGAGAAGAGGAACATTTTATATGGCAGCAGGCAAGAGAGAGAAGTGTGAAGAGCAAAGGGAGAAGAGCCCTTTATAAAACCATCAGATCTCTTGAGAACTCACTCACTATCATAAGAACGGCATTTGGGAAACTGTCCCCATGATTCAACCACCTCCCACCAGTTCTCTCCCTAGATACATGGGGATTATGGGGATTACAATTGAAAATGAGATTTGGGTGGGGACACAGACACACCATATCATTATCCAAGGAAAAATATACAATCTGAATAAGCATACATTATTTAAATGAATTGAATCAATAATTAGTAATCCCTCAAATAAGAAAGCACCAAGCCAAGGAGATTTTATTACTAAATTCTACCAAACATTGAAGGAAAAAGTGATTTCAGTTCTCAACAATAATCTTTTCATGAGAACTGAAGTAAACACTTCCTTTTTTTTTTTTTCCACGGGATCAAAAAATACTTTATTATCTGGTGCAGAAAGTCAACATGATGAACTATATCAGGGTTTGGTCGGGTTACTTAAATCCATAAATCAATATTACTGTGGCTGCTTTGTACTGATATTTAGTACCCATGCTACATTTTGTAATCCCTAATCTGATACCTGTTCTCTCGGATTCACCCATGAATTAGAAACCTGGTTTACTTCCCTGTTTATCTACTTACCTTCCTCTTTCCACAAACTTTTCTTCCCTTTTTCTTTTTTTTTTCTTGTGCCAGTCATCCTTACTCCTCTAAATTTCTTACCCTTTCTGCTTTCCTAAAAAAAAATCCAAATCCCTTTAAAGAACTGACGGTTTCTCTATCCTAACTCTGTCATAAAAGCAGGGTGAGGAAATGTGACATGAGATCCTAATGTTGTCTACATTGCCTTTGAGGAAGCGTTGATCAATGCCTGTGATATAAATGCATATTTATTTTTTTATTTTATTATTATTATACTTTAAGTTTTAGGGTACATGTGCACAATGTGCAGGTTTCTTACATATGTAAACATGTGCCATGTTGGTGTGCTGCACCCATTAACTCGTCATTTAGCATTAGGTATATCTCCAAATGCTATCCCTCCCCACTTCCCCCACCCCACAACAGTCCCCAGAGTGTGATGTTCCCCTTCCTGTGTCCATGTGTTCTCATTGTTCAATTCCCATCTATGAGTGAGAACATGCGGTGTTTGGTTTTTTGTCCTTGCGATAGTTTACTGAGAATGATGATTTCCAATTTCATCCCTGTCCCTACAAAGGACATGAACTCATCATTTTTTATGGCTGCATAGTATTCCATGGTGTATATGTGCCACATATTTACAAGAAAAAAACAAACAACCCCATCAAAAAGTGGGCGAAGGATATGAACAGACACTTCTAAAAAGAAGACATTTATGCAGCCAAAAAACCATGAAAAAGTGCTCATCATCACTGGCCATCAGAGAAATGCAAATCAAAACCACTATGAGATACCATCTCACACCAGTTAGAATGGCAATCATTAAAAAGTCAGGAAACAACAGGTGCTGGAGAGGATGTGGAGAAATAGGAACACTTTTACACTGTTGGTGGGACTGTAAACTAGTTCAACTATTGTGGATGTCAGTGTGGCGATTCCTCAGGGATCTAGAACTAGAAATACCATTTGACCCAGACATCCCATTACTGGGTATATACCCAAAGGATTATAAATCATGCTGCTATAAAGACACATGCACACGTATGTTTATTGCGGCACTATTCACAATAGCAAAGACTTGGAACCAAGCCAAATGTCCAACAACGATAGACTGGATGAAGTAAACACTTCTTAACTCATTCTATGAAGCCAACATTATCCTGATAAAAAAAGAGATGTAGATATTTCATGAAAGAAAAATTATTGACTAATATCTGTGATAAATATTGATGCAAAAATCTCAATAAAATATTAACAAATCAAACAAAAAATATATAAAATTCAATAGTATCTAAAAGAATTACACACCATAACTTTATCCCAAGTATGCAAGGCTGATTCAACATTGAGAAATTAGTTGATGCAATTCATCATGCCAACAGAATTTTTTTAATCATATGATTATATCAATTCATGTAGAAAAAGCACTTCAGAAAATCCAACATTCATTTATCATTTTTTTATAAAAGCTCTGAGTAAAATGTAAATACAGGAGACCTTCCTCAACTTAATAAAGAACATCTAAAAAGAACCTACTGTTAACATCATACTTAATGATGAAAAAGTGGATACTGACCCCGTAGTATCAGAGACAAAACAAAGATGTCCTCTCTCAGCACCTGTATTTAACACTGTACCATAAAAACCTTATTTCATAGATTTGCATTAAATCAAAACAAATGTGTGTGTGTGTGTGTGTGTGTGTGTGTGTGTGTGTGTGGTTAAGAAGGAAAGCATAAAGCTGTCTTTGCAGACAAACATATGATTGTCCATATGAAAAATCTAAACAATCAATCACATACTTACTAAACTGATAAGTAATATAGCAAGGTCACAAGATACAATGTTAATATGCAAAAGTTAATTTCTTTTCTATATAGCAACAATGAACAGTTGGAACTTAAAATTAAAAACACAATATAATTTACAAAGCACACAATTTAAATACGTATGCATAAGTATAACAACATATGTACAAGATTTCTATGTGGTAAACAATAAAACTCTGATGAAAGAAATCAAAAAAGTTCCAAATAAGAGGATAGATATTCCAGGTTCATGGATTATAAGACTCAATATTCTTAAGCTATCAGTTCTTCCCAGCTAAATCTATGGATTTCATGTAATTCAAATCAAAATCCCAGAAAACTATTTTGTGGATATCAAGAAAGTGACTCTAAAGTTTACATGGAAAAGGCAAAAGACTTGCAATAGCCAACACAACCCTGAAGGAAAACAAAGTTGGATGACTGATATTACCCAATTTTAAGACAATGTAAGACAAATCAACAAAGACATCATGGTATTGCTGAAGGAAGAGACAAACACATCAATGGAACAGAATAAAAGGCATAGAAATACACACACACAAATATATTCAAATTTGAACAAGAAGAAAATGTCATTCAGTGGAGAAAGGATAGTGTCTTAGTCTTCTTTGGCTGCTACAGCAAAATACTATAAGCCAAGTAGCTTAGAAATAACAGGAATCTATTTCCCACAATTCCAGAGACTGAGAAACCCAAGATCAAGGCACTGGCAGATTCACTGTCTAGTGAGAACCCTCATTTTTATAGAGGGCACATTCTAGTTGTATCCTCACATAGTGAGAAGGGCACAGGAGATTTTTAGGGCCTCTTTTAGTAAGGGCACTAATCTTATTTATGAAAGTTCCACCCTTATGACCTAATGACTTCCCAAAGCCCCCCACTTCCTAATACCAACAACATAAGTGTTATGATTTCAACACATGAGTTTTGAACACATAACTGATAAATGACTTGTGTCCATAATATGAAAAAAACTGTTTAAAATTCAACAATAAGAAAGCAAATATCCAATTAAAAATGAGCAACAACCTAAACAGATACCTCACCAAATAAATATACAAATGGCATATAAACATGTGAAGGTATGTGTATCTTTTCTCATTAAGAAATTGAAAATAAAAACAACAATGAGATACCAATACACACCTATTAGAGTGGTGAAATTAACATTAGTACCAAATGTTAGAGAAGATGCAGAGCTACAGGAATGCGAATTGATTGCTGGTGGGAATGTAAAATGTTACAGCCACTTTGGAAGACAATTGCTAGTCTGAACATATATCTTATAAAATTCGGATCCAGCAATTGTTCTACATATTTATCTAATTGGCTTGAAAACCTATGTTCACATCCCAATGTTTATAGAAGTTTTATTAATAATAAATCAAAACAGAAAGCAACCAAGATGTCCTTCAATAGGTGAATGAATAAACAAACTAGGGTACATTCATACAATGGAAATTATTCAGCAATGAAAATAAATAAGCTACCAAGTCTTAAAAAAAAAAAAACTCAGGAAACTTAGATGCATTTTGTGGAGTAAAAGAAGTCAACAGAGAAAAATTATGTATTGTATGATTCCAATTATAGAGATTCTAGACAAAGTAAAACTATATGGGACAGAAAAATGACCAGTGCTTGCCAGACAAAGGGGAGGCAGGAGGAAGAAATAAGTGGAGCACAAATGATTTTTACAACAGAAAAGTTATTTTCTATGATACAATGATGATGGATACAAGACATTATTCATGTTTCAAAACCCATAGATCTTTATATAGCACAAAGAACTAATCTTACTGTATGAAAGTTGAAAAAAAATTCAGAATTTGGGAGAATCTGAAGAAATGCAGAATGTAACAAGAGAATCTAACTGTACTACAAATGTATGGAACAACTTCAATGAGAAAGATGGGAGAGAAAGGTACTTATGTAAGCAACTTTGGAAATGACAAATTCAGTAAAGCGAAAGACAAAAGGATCTGTGCATCTGCATTTTGTTCTTGATAAAGTTGTTTTCCAAAGATATACAGGTTCACAAGTCTGATACTGCTATACCTGTATACTAGAATAGAACAATTAAGTAAACGGATGGCAGATGGACAGAGTCAGGTTTTTCAATGTTGGAGTGGAAGTTTATAGATAAGCAAAATGAGGAAGTTATAATTATCCATGTTATAAGGGTTAAAGTTAAGAGATCTGTATGGATTCATGTCTAGCTTAATATAAATATAGATGCTTACATATAGAAATATTTATAAATATACGCATTTTATTAGTCAGTGTTCTCCAGAGAATCACAACCAATAAGATGTGTGCCTATGTGTGTATGTGTGTGCACAGATTTTATATGTGTGTGTGTGTGTGTGTATATATATATATATAGAGAGAGAGAGAGAGAGACAGAGAGGCAGAGAGAAAAAGAGTTATTACATGAAACTGGCTCACATAGTTACAGAGCCTGAAAGTCCCAAGTTCTATAGTCAGCAAGCTGGAGATCCAGGATGGCTAATTGTGTAGTTCAAGTATGAGTCTGAAGACCTGAGAAACAGAAAAACAATCATATAATGTCCAGTCCCAGTCCAAAGGCCTAAGAAACAGGAGAGCCAATGGTGTAAATTTCAGTCTGGGTCTGAGTCCAAAGACAAGAGAAGACTCATGTGCCAGATCAAAAACAGTCAGGCAGAGAGCAAATTCTCATTTCTTCAGACTTTTTGTTCCACGCATAGAACAGCTGATTGAATGAGAGCCACTCACACCAGGGAAGGCAATATGTTTTTCTCAGCCTACTGTATCAAATGTTAATCTCTTTGAGAAGTACTCTTACAAGCACAGCCAAAATAATATTTAATCAAATATCCAGACATCTGATGACTGAATCAAGTTGACACAAAAAATTAACCATCGCAAGTCCACTATTTATCAACTTTGCACCAATATGAATTTCTTTAAGTTATACTTAATCTCCAAATATAGACAATAACAAGGTCATAATTCCACCTAACCTTATACAAGTATCCCCCGTACAAACAAAACACACTAACCCCTTACCTGGAAGAAGAGGAAAGGTCTTTGAGTGATGTTCGCTCTTCTCCTTGATAACTTGAACCCTATGATGTAAAATTAACAATACTTAAATACTACAATATAAAGTTAATACATCTTATGTTACATGACAAGGGAATAAGAGAGAGAAAAACAGAGATATTTGCTACATACACACACAATATTAACAACAAGAGAAAAAGTTACTGTTTCTGTAACTGGTTTATATATAGTCAGCTGGTCACTGAGACTTCGCCATGAGGCTGTAGGTGAAGGTTGGAAGAAAAATAAGGCTGTGTAGGTGGAGTGTTCAACCATAGGTATTTGGGTCACTCTTTCATGCAACTTACTTGTGCCTTCAGGGCCTGCTCCAGCCTGATCATACACATATTACTTCTATTTGCTGCTGTTCATGCCCAACTTCACAGCTTGTTGGTCAGAATAATACCAAATTCATGATGAGCAGGTCTGGTCAGATGAGAACTTGATGTCCCATGGTTAAGTGTTCAGTTTCTAGTAAGGCTTAGATCCTCAAAAAGAGAGTAGTCATCTGCAAAGAATGGCAGGGCTTACACCCACATTTTAAAGGTCTACACTGCAATTCACCTATAGGGGCCTGCCAAAGGCCCTAACAGCAACCCTATCTGCCACTGAATCTTTGGGCACAAATTACCCTTACCTTAGAAGTGATATTTTGGCATGGCCTACACTACTGGACCACTACAGAATTCACTTAGGTAGAAAGCTTCTGAATTTATCATATTTATTTCCTACTCCTGACATGTAAATATCTTACCAGTAATCCTAGAGCAGTTGTTACCTCTTGCTCACTAGGTCCAATCAGCAGAATATCATCAATGTAACAAACCAATGGGATATCTTGTGGGAAACAAAAAGGTAATCAAGATGCCCATTACCTACATCATTCAAGCTGAGAACAAAATCAAGAATAAAATCCCATTTACGATAGATACAGAAACCTAGGAAAATATCTAACCAAGGAGGTGAAAGATCTCTACAAGGAGAACTTCAAAACACTGCTGAAAGAAATAGTAGATGACATAAACAAATGCAAAATCATTCCATTCTCATGGATTAAATGAGTCAATATTATAAAAATGGCTATACTGCCCAAAGTAATCTTTACATTCAGTGCTATTCCTATCAAATTATCAACATCATTTTTCACAGAATTAGAAAAACTAGTTTAAAATTCACATGGAACTGAAAAAGAGTCCAAACAGCCAAAGCAATCCTAAACAAAAAGAACAAACCTGGAGGTATCACATTACCCGACTTCAAATTATACTACAAGCCTACAATAACCAAAACAGCATGATATTGGTACAAAAAACAGACACATAGCTCAATGGAACAGAAGAGAGAACTCAGATATAAAACTGCACATATACAACCAACTGATCTTTAACCAATTTGACAAAAATAAACAATTGGTGAAGGATACTCTATTCAATAAATGATGTTGGAAAACTGGCTAACCATATGCAGTAGAATAAAACTGGACTCCTACCTCTCATCATACACAACAATTAACTCAAGATGGATTAAAGACTTAAATGTAAGACCTGAAACTATGAAAATCCTAAAATAAAAACCTAGGAAATACTCTTTCAGACATTGGCCTAGGCAAAGAATTTATGACTAAGTCTTCATAAACAAATGCAACAACAATAAAATTGGCAATTAGAACCTAATTGATCTAAGGAGCTTATGCATAGCAAAAGAAATTATCAACAGAGTAAACAGACAACCTACAGGATGGAAGAAAATATTTGCAAACTATGCATCCCACAAAGGTCTGATATCCATAGTCTATAAGGAACTTAAACAAATAAACAAGCAAAAACCAATGTTAATATTACAAGTTTTAATATTTCACTTCTAAGAACACCATGATCAATTAGCCAAGGTCATAGGTCAGCTTGAATCAAACTACTCTGATTGCCACTTTGACTCTGCTGTCTATTACAGAAACATATTGTCACTTGAACAAGTGTCATTTGACCCATTCCACCCTGGGGTCCAATTACTCCATTGTATCTAGGTTTCCTAATTCAGTGACCATAACCCCACTCTAAGGTCTACTTATGGGGAAGAGTGATCCCAGAGCTCTTCAAGGAGGCCAGGTCTCTTCGAGGCCAGGTCTCTTCTCACAGATTTACTTCTCGTAGCAGTGGTGACAAGTACATCTTCTGGACCCGTCCAGTTTGAGTAAGTTTTAACTACAAATTATATCTAACATTCCAATCTCCCTGAGCCCTTGAATACCTTTCTCTACACTAAACCAAGTCAGGTACTGCATTTCTAACTCACTCATTGTGGACCACCTTTTGGTCCATATTTCAACCAACCAATCAACCACACTAATTGTTAGAGCCATTTTTAATTACCAAGTTCCAACATTAAATGCAGAATCTGTAATTAGTAAGCCCACATCAATAAATTCATTCTGATCCAGCCTTATTATCCCACACCTCTAGTATTCATCCCATCAGGGGTAGATGCTATGGTCTGAATGCTTGTGCCTCCTCAATTTGTATGTAGAAACCCTAAGTCACAATGTGATACTCTTTGGAGATGCAGCTTTTGTAAAACAATTAGGTTAGATTAGATCACAAAAGTGGGGCTCTCGTGATTGGAATTAGTGGTCCTATACAAAGTTGAAGAGAGAGAGTTATCTCTAAGTATACACAGTGAATAATGACCATGTTAAGACATAGGGGGAAGGTAGCCATCTGCAAGATAAAAGGAGAGCCCTCACCAGAATCCAAAGATGCTGGCATTCTGATCTCAGGCTTCCATCCTCCAAAATTGTGAGGGAATACATTTCTCTTTTTAAGCCACCCAATCTATGGTATTTCATTATATCAGCCCAAGCTATGATATGCATACACAGAAGCTGTGATATATATACATTCTAGCTTCTGTATATGCATATCATAGCTTGGGCTGATATATACACACACATATATCACATATATATTTATATATATATATGTATATATATGAGATATATATGATATATATAGATACATATAGATATATATATATGTGACATCATATGAGCTCCCCTAAAAGAAATGCCTTCTCAGTCACAATGAGTACACCTCAGACCTTGGTTCCAATGCCACTCTCCAATAAAAATAACCAGGGATCTTTGGAGAAATGGATTATCGTAGGATGAGGAAAGAATAATACAAGATGAGTCTGCAGCAACTTGTAGTGCCAGAAAGTAAGAAAATGCTCAAAAAACAAGCACACAAACAAAAACAAAAGGGGATATTAAAAAAACAAAAACAAACAAATATGGTATCCTAAAAAAGGGATTTGGTAAAAACTAACAAAAGCTAAACAAACTACGGACATTAGTTAATAAAAATGTATCAACATTAATTTATTAATTGTAACAATGTATCATACTGGTATAAATGTTAATAATAGAAGAAGTTTGGTGGGGTATATGATGATTCTGTACTATATTCTCAGTATTTCTTGTCACATAGTGGGGTGTTCTAATTAGATCTGCTGCCTGATGTTGTGTAAATCCATGTGCATGGATAATCAAAAAATCACAAATGAGATACTGAACTGAACTACTTCTGTGTAATCCAGAGGGAAAAAAAATACATATTGATCTATCACATAGATTTTAAATATTTTAAAGTCAACTTAGATTTGGATTTAATACATTTCTTGTAGTATTAAAAGCAGGGTAATTGTTCGTTATGTAGAAGCTGAGTAGGAACATAAGTAAATGGAGTAATTACAAGCAAATCACCTTAATTAATACAAAGCACAGAACACTCAATAATAAAGATTAGAATTGATCCTATACAAATGAATTTGGATGACTTACACAAGATTCATAGTCAAGAGTCAAGGAATAATCCAAGCTGGTATTTTGACCTCATGAATGTAAATTTAAGCATGTAAATAATACCATGGTTCTAATATATTTGATGTACTTGTTCAATCAAATGAGCTTTAGAGAGATTATCTTAGCTTTTGAAATCATTCACTTTTGAGCAAGGGAAACAATGATTTTGTTTAACTTGTAACATAACAAAGATAGGGTATAGTTTGCTTCAAAGATACACAGTCAGAACGTTCTGACTGTGAGATATAGTCAGATATAGTCAGAAATAATCTATCAGGGCCATTGCAAGATATATTTCTCAAGTGTGGCAGTCATAGTTCCATCACGCAAGCAGAACCACTAGGTGTGAGGTAGAATATGTGATTTATTATAGAGATTAGACCTTGTCCAATCATGGCTACAGGAGAACTCCGTGGAAGGTTGTTTATTTCCAGTCAGGAAGAGGCTCTAGAGGCACAGTGGGGCAGCAGAGCCAAGAGAAAGGAAGAAAATCTGGCGTGAACCAAGGGAAAGCCAGAAAAATCTCACAACCTCAAGAAAAAAATGCAACTCACAAGGGCAAACAGAAATTACATTTGCCTTTCATAGTCTCCAATCTCATTAATGTGGATTGTGTGCAGGAACTGGTGCTTTCACCACAGAACAGCACAGAAAAGGAAATTCTGGGAAACCTAGTTCCAGCTTAACTACTTGACAGTGTAAAGCCACTTTAATAAGATTTTAATAACTCTTTTCCAAATGTTCTAGGGTCTAGGCTAACATAGGCAGTGATGCTGTGCAACAGCTTCCACTCAGAATCCGATAATCCAGCATTGGCACTTCAGCGACATTTTCTAGCTGTGTGACTCCTTTGAACAGTCTACTTAAACCTTTCTGAGTCTGTTTCTTCATCTGTTATCAAATTATAACATTATGCATTTAGCAATCTTGTTTTAAGCATTAAATAAAATTATATATATACATATATATATACACACATATGTGATGGCTAATATTAAGAGTCAACTTGATTGGATTGGAGGATGCAAAGTATTGTTTCTGGGGATATCTGGGTGTTGCCAGAATAGATTAACATTTGAGTCAGTGGACTGGGAGAGGAAGACCCACCCACAATGTGGGTGGGCACCATCCAATCTGCTGTCAGCACAGCTAGAAAAAGCAGGTGGAAGAAGGTGAAAGAATCTGACTTGCTGAGTCTTCTGGCCTTCATCTTTCTCCTGTGCTGGATGCTTCCTGCCCTCAAACATCGGACTCCAAGTTCTTCAGCTCTCGGACTCTTGGACTTACACTAGCGTTTTGCCAGGGGCTCTCAGGCCTTCGGCAGCAGACTGAAGGCTACACTGGCGGCTTCCCTACTTTTGAGGTTTGGGGACTCAGACTGAACCACTAGTGGCTCCCTTGCTCCTCAACTTGCAGATGGCCAATCATAGGACTTCACCTTGTGATCCTGTGAGTCAATTCTCCTTAATAAACTCCCTTTTACATACACATGTATCCTATTGGTTCTGTCCCTCTAGAAAACCCTGACTAATACAACATATATATCTTATCTAGTGCAATACCTTACTCATAGAAGGCGCTCAATAAATACCCAATCTATGTCTTGATACCCAATCTATGTCTTGAAACTTAAACATAAAATACATAAAATTTATCTGGAACTTTAGCCTCAACTTTAAGCTATGTATGGCTGGGCATTCACCCAAAGAGTTAATTGAGCTATAAAAACAAGTGATCTGGGACTCATTCTACATAATCAGTCGAAAATTGACCACATGCCACCTTTCTATTAAAGAAAAAGCTATCACAGAAATAAACTGCTATTTATTTTATGGTACACTTAAGGACATAAGGATACTAAATGTTTCCATAGAAAAGCGAATGTTTATAAAATCAGCATCTTAATCTTATCTAAGAATTATAATCAAAAGAAATTATTTATCATCTCCTGGGATGGCTGTTGGTGGATTAGTCGTTAATTATCCCAAATTTCCTTTGTGTACGGCATACTGGGATAAAATATTTGAGGATTTCTCTTTGTAGCATGACTATTAACCTTTGTCTTCAAGGTATTCTCTTCCTAACTTTGGGTACAATAGTCAAAACATGGAGCTTCATACTCTTGCCTTTTACAGCTATTGTTCTAACACTTGACTTTCCCTCATGGAGTTACTATTGCTTTTTTACTTCAAAATTGATCCTATTCTCCACTAATACACTTTTCAATCATTATAGAGAGGAATGTATAATAGATATTTTTGATCACTAGTAGTTGATTTCATTTAATCTTACAAGAAAATTGATATATCTATAGTAAGTTCTCAGTTAACTTTGTCAATCGGTTTTTGGAAACTGTGACTTTAAGGAAAACTACATATAATAAGACAATATTTTTTCTCATCAATGTTATAATAAAAAATGACATTAAAGGAAAGGATGTTATTCAAAGAACTGTACATTCTTATCTCTTAAAGTTGCAGTTTCCAAGAACCTATTACTTACCAAGGACTTACTGTATAAATAATCATCTTTTCCTAAATTGAAGCTCCAAGTTCAATAAACTATCCTGAGTTTCACATTCGTGAATTCCTGATTCATTATACTGTCTGTGATCAAAAAGCCTGCCCATAATCTGTAATTTGCATAAGCAATTCTACAAGCATGAAAGCCAAAGAAATAAAGTACAAAGTTACACAATCAGGAACTTGTACCAGAACTGGGAAGATTATAGAAGTGAGAGTGCTAGATCATTTCTGCTTATCTTTCTTCACACAGTGTAGCATAGAACTTTGCATATTTTTCGCTTAATATGAACGATTTCCTGATGATAACCTGGAGAGACAAACAAGAAAAAAATTACTTGCAAAAAAAGTCAGATCACATAAGTGGGAAGAGGCAGCTTTTCACAGATTCTAATACCTAAGAGATGGGGAAGCCTACTATATATTGGTAGATGCAATATCTATCTCAACTTACTTTGATCTAGATAAGATATAGAATAGCCCAAAAATTATCCACTGGCTGACTATCCATCTAGCTTTGTTAATAATATAATAGATTGACTTTGCTGATAGAAAAATTCCATGTCTTCGTAAATAGTAAGTTCCTTTGAATTTTTATGTCCTCTTTTAATTTGCCTCCTCAGAACCCTACTGCAGACATTACTGAAATCAATACACTAGTATTGTATAATATAATTTTAAAATGTTACAACACTGTGTAAAAAGCCTTTTTGAACAGTAACACGCTGATGCTAAATTGCCTTAATCCATATATTTAAACTAAAACCAGCTTTTCCAATATGCATTCCATAAAATTGAAGCATAGTTATGGAGAGTTAGGGAATCAAGCAGCAAATCTTGTTGAGTAAAAGTTTACCCAAATATGAGAATATTATCTTTCTGTATGTCATGTAGACTGATACAGGTAGAATACATATGTTACCTGACCATTGGGCGAGATTTTTGTTTTTTAATTTTTCAGTGACCTCCTGACTACCTTGGTGAAATCAGCTCAAACTAAACTGTTGATCCATATTTCACTGTGAAAAATATTCTCTGATTTCTTACTTCAAAAGGGTCTTGCAGGTAGGTTTTTTGGCTTATTCAAACATGACATTATTTTTGATTTATACGTTAGCAAGGAAAAAATTATAAATTATTGTTTATTCTATGCTTTTAAAAAGTCTGATATCTGTTTAGAGGTTGGTACATTAATGTTGATGTAAAATACTGCAGTGGATTCCTGAGATATTCGAAAATACTTACAGTTTATGAGAATGTTTAAATAGTGGTTTAAGAAGATTTGTCCAATGAATTTTAAAACATTTTGAGCACTTCTAAATACGTTGCCATAATTTATGATGTAGTCAATAACTTTTTATGTAGCAAAGTTTTACAAGAGCAGGTACCAAAATTTATGCAAAGATACATAATCAATAAGCTTTTCAAGCTCCTACTACAGCCCAAGAAATGTAAAAGAGCTAAATTTTAATGTTGTTCTTAATTCTGAACTTGCAAGATTATATGAAAGACTTGTTGATGATTTGTAATTACTAATTTATTGAAAAAGTATTAATGGAGCACTTATGCAGTACTGGAAGCTGGGGCTATATATATGCAGGTTAAATAATATTTATGACCCTATGATAGGCCAAAAAAAATTCTCCCAAAGAGCTTCGTGTCCTAATTCCTCGAATTTGTAAATATGTAATGTTATCTGACAAAGGAAAATTAAGATAACTAATAGAATTAAAGTTGCTAATCAGTTTATCTTAAAGTAGGGAGATTGTGCTAGATTATCTAGGTGGGCCGGATGTAAAAACAAGAGTCTTAAATCTGGAAGAGGGAAGCAGAAAAGTGAGTGTCAGGATAATGTGATGCAAGAAAGACTGACCAGTCATTACTGACCTTTAAGATGAAAAGCTGCAATGAGCCAAAGAGTTTGGGCATACTAGAAGCTGGAAAAAGCCTCCAGAAAGGAACAGAACCCCACCTATCAATACCTAGACTTTAGCCCAGCGAGACTCATTTGAAATTTCTGTTCTCCAGAACTATAAGAAAATAAATTTTTGCTGTTTTAAGCCAGATAATTTGTAATAATATGTTACAGCAGCAATTAAAAACGCATACTGACTCCATGTCAGAAATATGCTATAATAAAGGTAATCAGAGTATCAATGGGACCACAGGCGGGATGCTTAATTTAGCTGGTGGTGGTAGTTGGGGGAGGTCAAGAAAAAGCTTTCCTAAGGAATGACAGATACAAGAGTTGAGTTTTAATAAATGAGTGGAACACAAACATGGAAGAAAGTTATTCTAAGCAGAGAGACCAACAAGTGCAAAACTTTACAGAGGCAAAAAACATGGACTTCTTGTATACGTGGCTAAATAAGTTGGGGAAATAAGTAGAGACAAGTGCATGGTGGGCTCTGTAAGTTATACTGAGGTGAGTGGATTTTATACTGCGGGCAGAGGGGAACCAGGATGGACAGAAGAGGAGGAGTGCAGAAAATTGGTAAGAGATCTCATGAATAATTGATTTTAATTTCAAAGCTCTATTTAAGTTTCCATACTTTTTTCAGTAGTGTTCTGTTAAACCAGAAAAAAAAAAAGGCCACAATTCTAACTTGTAGCATTTGTCATTGTTTATTATGTAAAAATTCCCACCCTGGCCAATTTCAATATCATACCATTGAACGTACAAGCACAAAGATATGCACAAATGGCTTTCCTAGGCTAGTACAAGCCATCTTTAGCACGTCACTTCAATATCTTCCACAGTTAATAATAAATCTAGAAAGGAAAAAAAAAGACTTATCTTTCTACCATTTGAATGGGATTAGGAGTGCTTCTTATAGGATTTCAGGGTTCAGGAAGCTGCCCTATCTCAGAGACTCCCATACTATCATGTATTCAACAACATGGACTTATTACGAGGGAAAAGAATAGAAGCTGAACTATGGGTCTTTGAATCAAAAGCCATTATGTTGCCCTCTACAATCGGAGTCTACTTGCCTTCTCTGTAGTCTAGACTCCCTGCTTTTACAGTTCTTATTTTCCTACTGCAGATTGCTGTGCTTTTTCTTCCCTGTATACTATATCTGCCCCCAGCATAAATATCTCAACTAAATAATTCTAGCTGACTCCCTGCACTGACACTATCTTAGTTTTCAGAGGAAATATACTAATGCCATTCCTCATAATTTTTTTCAGGCAATTATTCAATATTTTCCCACACAGTGGGGCTTCCAATGATTGCAGATTTTCCTGTGATACCCCTCTGAATCACAACCAACATACAGATAATTTTTTTCTAAAGAGAGATAATATTTAAAGGCTCATACAATCATAATCTCATAGCATATGTAGCTTGGGCAAAATTTTCAGTTCAAAAATATTTCATGTTGCTTATCCCTAATTTATTTTAGAGGAGACATTTTTAAGATAAAACAAGCAATAAAATGTTTCATGTTTATACAGATAGAAAGGCTTGGAATGAAGACATCAATAAGGAAATATCAAATTATTACTTCATTCAGTGAACATTCATTAAGCCTTTACTATATCCCAGGGAGTGTATAAATTTACTATTTATCAGGCATTGTATAAATGTTAGAATTTCAGAGATGAAAGACACAATTCCTGTCCTCAAGGAATTAACAACCTAGAAAACCAGAAATATTTTAAACACATAATTGGCCAAGGTTTTTCCCTTTTCAACCCATAAATTGTTTAATTTATACTTTGCAGAAGAAATTAAAATTGTGGAAAGTCTAAACTTTTGAGTTAAATATGGGAAAGTCAAAGTCTGTGACAAGTTTACACAGTATTTTAAAATTCTATTGTGTTCTAATTTCTCCTTTTCTTCCATCTCCTTTGCAATGCTGGTAGTTGTATGGAACTGACAGTGTATTATTTTTGTGAATAATTGAATGTTTATGCCATGTCAACAAGATTTTTGTGCGCAGTGAGAAGTGTATCAGTGTTTCCTCCAAATAAGCCATCGGCCACTAAGGTGACAGCTAATTAGATGTGTTTTCATTTCATTTTTAGTATTCCTAAGCATCACCAGCAAATTTTGCCTCGTCACTTTAGGGTCTCTTTGAAGGGAACAAATAAATATATCCTGCTTCAGCTTCATAACTATTAATTAGCAGACTAGCTGTCTGTAATTCCTGTAAGATTTTTATACCACATTAACAAATTTCTAAGCACTCGCTTAGAAATAAGGTACAATCTAATTGATATTTTCAAAGTGATGTTTTTAATTAAGGAAAATACACACAAACGCCACTGATTTCCATTCTGATCATTAAGGGCATATTGAGAGAGGCTATTCCAGGGAGCTTGAGGAAATGAAGATAGTCTCTTTTGCTAGCTCTTCACCAACATTTACTGGACACTGGCTGTATGTACATCCTACATTGTGTTAATTGCAAGAGGAAGGAGAGCAAGAACATAGCATGCGATTAATACTTGCTGAGTAAATCAGGAAACAAATGAAATTATAGTTCCTGTTCTTGAGGTTATGGTACCATAGGACATAGAGGACATGCGCAATAATAGCAGTAATATGGCATTCAATAAAAATTGATTTAATAAAAAGGATATAAAAAAGTAATGTGAGGCAAGGCACAGTGGCCCACACCTGTAATCCCAGCATTTTAAAAAGCCAGGGCTGGAAGATCACTTGAGGCCAGGAGTTCAAGACTACCCTGGGCATCACAGTGAGACCCCATCTCTATAAAAAATATATAAATAAATAAAAAATTAGCCCTATGTGATGGCATGTGCTTGTAATCCCAGCACTTTGGGAGGCAAAGACAAAAGTTAAATGAAATAATTAGCTAGGCACAGTGGCACAAATCTGTAGCTCCAGCTACTTGTGAAGCTGAGAAGGGAAGATCACTTGAGCCCAAGAATTTGAGGCTGCAGTGAGCTATGATCACGCCACTGCACCCAGCCTGGGTGACAGAGCAGGACACTGTCTCTAAGAAAAAATAAAAAGAAAAATAATAATATGGACCATTAAAAGAGTAACAATGCATTTTCCGAGGACATAGAGATTTCACAGCGGAATTAGTATTTTAGCACATTCTTAAATAGAACAAACTCATAGTAGATCCTCAAATTTGAAAATGAACTCAAACAGTAATGTAAAAATTTTCCTTAACTTCACTAGAGAACTAGAACCTTTCAAAATGTCTTGAAACTTCACTTGCCGGCTAGAGAAAAGTGTAAAACTTTACTTGGTTAATTAGAACTAATAGTTCATCAATACGTTTAAGAGGGATTCTGACATTGAGGCATAAGTCTGTAACTAAGACTAAAGCAAGGTCATCAGTCCAGAAAAAGATGGTTTAGAGTTTAAATTTCTAGGCATCACTAGATGCAATTCCAAAGGAATGGTATATTTTTATTGAATATTCCAATTATACTGACTCAGGCCCCACAATCTTGATTTCCAGAATTTTAGCTCCCTTACTACTACTACCTCTACCAGCAAATGTTTCATGTAATTAAATGCCCTCAAAATCTCTGCTATTTGGCCTGTCTCCTATAATATCACTTCTATAGCATATCACTGCTCTTGGGCACGAGCGTCCTATAGTGGTGACAGCAACTGCAACAAATTCTGACCATGTTAGCTTCTCTCTTTCACTAACCCTTCCCTAGTTCCGCAACATAACCCCAGGAGCAATCTTTTTCCAGAAGGACTGACATCAGAAACATGTCTTTAAGGGAAAAAGGATTGTCTCTACAAAGGGATTGTCTTTCTTTCTAGTTCAAGTAGGACAATTAAATAATAGATCAATACCAAAGTATTTTTGTTAGTCTAAATCTAGGGAATCAGTAGTATAGTTTATACTAAGATGACAAAGTGCTGGCCAATTCCTCTTAGTGTTTCTCTTTTTAATTAACAATTAAAGAGAAGAACAAGACTACACTTTCCTTAGTCTTTCTAGTTTCTCTTCCCAAACTACTTTGAGCAATACAGTAAGAATACACACAACTATCTTCTTAAGAGCTAAAGGAAGTAATAAAGTTATAAGACACTTTAAATCCACACTTTTAAAATAAATCTACTGTTAAAAGAAACAATCTTTAAAGGTGAAACTACTAAAACTGTACTCAGCTAATATCTCTATAAACATAGAGCAGCTTAACTTGTTGAACATCTCCATCTTCAAACATCTGTTTCGGTGAAAGATATTTACTTTTCCTTTATGTAACTCAAAGGACCATATAAGTTGTAGGTTCTTTGTGTATTTATTAATATTTTATTTCAGGGAGTATTATTTTGTTTCCCAAAACAAATAAATAGGTCCCCTAAAGATAGATTCAAACCTCAACTTATTGAAATTAGCATTCATTTTTAAAAGATAGTTTTGTTCATGATTAAGACTCTCTTAAGTATAGCAGGATCCAGGCTCAGTTATAACACCCAACTGAGTACTGAAAGCAGATATATAAAATGATTCCTTGAACAGAATCAGGCTTTCTATCCAAGCAAAGATGAGAAGCAGACAGTGGAAGTTCAAGAGCATCAAACAGGAGAAGGTACAGAAATTTGAGAACATGAATCCAATCACTTGGAGATTTGTTGTTTCAAGACAGCTCAGCCCCTGAAGAACTGGAAAATAGAAATGGAACTGGTTTGCCAGATTAAAAAGTAGGTTTTTAATCAGAACAAACTGACACATGGAACAGGACCGTGGGTCACAGGCAACCAACCTGGCTATCATGGCCACATCATAACTAGACACAAATTTACTGTGACTTTATGTTCCCCAAAGTTTTGACTGGTTTCCCATCCAAACATGTCTACCCATGAGCAGAGGTTGTGCAATGGGCAAGTATCCTGAAAGATAAAAAAAAAAACCCGGATGTTTCTTCTAATGTTAATATTCTGATTAAAAATCAAAGTCCTTTACCTATTTTCAAAGGTTTCAACAACGTATTCCAAGTACAAATTTACTTATATATTAGATTTAATAAGTGTTATTAAAATGCATCTGCTAAATCACATTCTTACATTACAACAGGCTCTTATTAGATTTAGAATTCTTGTTTAAGGTCATGACATTAGTTTTTAAACTTTCTTGCTCGAGGAATACTATAAATGCAATTTTCTTGGATAGATCAAGCTGCCTAACTTGGGCAGAATATTTCACTATAGCCCAGGGTGGAAATGTGAGTTCTTTCATAGCAGTAAACCTAATTATCTTTTATTTTTATTCTTCCTATCAAAAGGGCACATTCATACCTTTAAAAAGAGCTTATTAAAATAGACTTCTTGCATTTACATATTTCAGTAATACTATACATAATGTGAAAAAGCCAACAATGTTACTGTAGCTCCTGTTAAAATTATTAACTTCTTTCATAAGAAAAACTGTCAAAAATATTTCATTTAGGGTGAAAAGCTTTGACCCCCCTTGTCTCCCACTAGGCATCTTTATTTTATGGCAATGAATATTTGCATTCCCGCCAATCAACGAGTACTTACTGACCACCTTCAGGTCACATTCACCCATATAATGGGACAGCAAAGAAAGTAGGAATAAATGAAATTTAAGACCATTTTCAAACCTTATTAAATCAAGAGCTTCAGAATACTTTCCTAATCAATTAATGGATAGGTTTGATTATTTGAGTTTTTCTACTTCCAGAAGAGTCTAAAGATAGAGGGCCCAATATGAAAAATGGCATATGGGGTAGGGCAAAAATAAGATATTATCATCCGGGAAATTAGCTTGTTTTCAGTATTTAAAATAAGACAACATATATGTATGGGAAATAAAGTAATAACATTATTGACTTACTGTTAAAACATAATAGCTCATATAATAAACTCAGAGACAAATAAATGTTCTTACAGAAATAGCTCTCAGGAGTTGTCCATCACCATACTATCTAAATTTAACCAAGGAAATAATATGTCAATCAAAGGAATAGAATAGTAAACATCTGGCCAGCACTGGAAGTACAAAAAAAAATGAAATAATTCTGGAAACATGTTTTGCCCTGTTAAGCCCCATCTAAAGAACATTAGACAATAAACTTTATTTAAGTACTTATGATCCCATTAGCCAGCTAATACCTCTGTGGACTTAGCTAAGCTCTGTGGAACTAGCTGAACTCCTTCCAACCACAAAATACACATACTTCTCATGCTCACATGGAAGATTCAACAAGAGAGACCACATTTTGGAACATAAAACATAGCTTAACAAATTTGAAAGCACAGAAACCATACATTTTTATTAAATTCTGTTTCTGATTCAACTAGCTAAACTAAGTTCTGTGGTTTGTAACTAGACCACTATAAGAAACTCTGCTTACCTACAACTTCTAACCAGTATTTGGCTTTATACGCGGTCTCTGTTTAAACAGAGAATATGCTTGTCAATAAGCATTGAAAGGTTCATGTACCAGTTATAAATTAACAGTATTTTCTATTAGGACAAAGGTCACCCTACAACAATTCCCCACAGCAATGTGGCATAGTTACAAAGAGGCCAGCTTGATTTAGCAAAACAAACTTGAGTTTGTATCCAGACTCTGGGTTTTATCCTTGATTTGTCCTTCTTAGTTGTACTGCCTTAGGAAAGTTACAAAGACTCTCTAAATCTCTACTCACCTATAAATACAATAAAAACATTCATTGCCTCTGGAAGACATTATTACTTGCCTACACATCAGTCAGTTCCTCTTATTCTTGTTTAGCACAATTCTAGTTTTATTCAGGTATCAGGTAGCAAGGTCCCACACCAGGTGATATCTCTTGATTGTTGTTAATCCTATTCCCACTTGTAAGTTAGTAATGGGCTTATTGTTTGATATGTGATTCATTTAGTTCAAAGGAACCTCATAGGACAGATTCTAGAGATTTCTGGAAAATATTTCATTCCTTGAAAAGGACAGAGTGAGAGAGAGCATGAGCAAGATCAAGAGTGAGAAGCTTTCTTTCCTCTTGCCTTTGAGGACAGTTATGTGAGGGTATGATTCTTCGAGTTCTAGCAACCACCTTATCAATATGTAGAATGGAAAGACCAGCGGAATGACAGACCCACAGAGGTAGCACTATTAATTCACTAAACCATCTTCAGAACCACCTTCCTCCAGATCCTCCATTCCTTGACAAAAATCAATCCTTAATGTTAAATCCAATTTCAGCTGAGTTTTTGCAGCTAACACCATTATTATTGAAACGTTGCTCTGTGGGTTATTTGTAAGGACTGAATAAGGGACCCTTTTTAAACAAATGACAGATAACTTACTCCCCTACTCTAACCCATCCCATCGCTTCCCATCTCACTCAGAGTTAAACCCAAATACCTTACAACATTCACGGTTCGTTCTCCACTCTCCAATCCCGTCATTAAATCTGACCTAATCTCTTTCTACTTTTCTCCTTGCTCCCTATGCTTCACTCCTTCTGGCTTCCTTGCTGTTCCTCCCACAACCCAGGAAAGCTTCTTCCTAAGGATCTTTTCCTTAAGACTTTCCTCTACATTGACTGATCTTCCTCCAGATCATACACTTGAGTATCTCCCATCCATCCCTCTAATGAGACCTCATGTTCTCAATGGTACCTTCCTGACCACTCTGTCAGTACACTTGACCCCCTTAGATAATTCCCCAGTTCTATTTTCCCCATAGCACATTTTGTCTTTTTCATAGTGGATAATTTATTTATTTATTGGAATTATTACATACAATGTAAATATATGCAGAAGCTACATGAGGGCAGGATTTTTTATCTCCCTTGTTTAGTGATGTATCTCAAGCCCCAAAAGCAGTGCCTGACATATAGTTAGTAGGTGCTTAATAAATATATGTTCAATTAATGATGAATACATGAATATATTCAAATGCCTGGCACATCCTAGCTACCCCAAGAAATCTTCCCATAATCGCTGTGCACGTCGTTCTTTGTCCTTGCCTACCTTGTGGTCCAGGCATGTGGTAAGATCCGTCTGGCTGCTTTTCATGGTCCTGCTCTTTTTCTCCCTTTAATTTATATTTTCTTCACATTTTTTCTATATACAGTACTGCCACACTTCCTATGGTTTCTTCTTCTGATTTTCTCATTGTATACACATTATCTTTCTTGTTCATTCAGCAAATATTTATTGTGTGCCTACTACGTGGCAGGTATTGTACTAATTTTTAGACTTTCAAAGAACAATAAAACAGAGTTTAAGCTTACAGCTATTCTGTTCTGTTTTCTCTCACATGCCAATGTGGTTAAAAAATGTATTTATGATTTTCTGTGACAAATTCATGAAGGTTTTTATACAACATGCCCAGGTCCAGGGTGAAAGGTGTGTGATGGTTACTGGTCAAGAAAACAAGTAGATTAAGCATGCTCAACAACAAACCATGGAAAGAAAGGTCAAGAGAACTGCAGCATGAATTACTGTACAAATGGGAGTTCAGTGCTCTGCTACTAAAAAGATAGTAGGACAGGGGTCTTTTTAGAGCATTACAGAAGTTGTGCTAGGAGTAAAGGAGAGTACACACATTACAAATGTGTAGAACACAACATATTTTAGTCACAGATAAATGTATTTTTAATAAATCTATTTTCCCAAAGAGTTGTAAAATATGTTATATATTTTATATTTATAAAATTATTGAATTATCAAAAACATTTAAAAACTCTTCTTTAAAGAGTTATCCCATTATATTCTTTCCTTTGGCAAAGATATTTTCAGACAATTTTTTAATGCAAAAATTTCCAATTCTCAATAGCTGTCATAATGCCAAGTGAAGAAGTTATTCATCCATGAAAGCTTTCTTTGTTAAAATACAGATCGCATTATTTATACAATCTGAATGTTTAATGAATGCATACAAATTCAAATGTCAATGTAGATAAACTAAAATTACATTTCTATCAAGGAAGAAAGGCTTTTCAACAAAGAATAAGACTTTTGTTTTAAGGTGAAAAAGTTAAAGGATGAATTCTAAATTGTTTTCTAAGAATTAAATGACAGAGAAGTGTACGTAAAGGCTTCCTTAAAGGTTATCTTAAAAGCAAATATGACAGTTCTGCACTTAATATTTATACCTACTTTATTTTTTGTTTTGCTTTGTTTTATTTTTTTATTATACTTTTAGTCCTAGGGTATATGTGCACAACGTGCAGCTTTGTTACATATGAATACATGTGCCGTGTTGGTTTGCTGCACCCATTAAGCAGCTATGCCAAGCACATCGCCTGTGGGTTAGCCCTGCTCTTCAAGGAACAGTACCTCTGCTGCTGTACACTGCCACTTCAATAAAAGTTACTAACACCACCAAAAAAAAAAAAAAAAAGAAAAAAGAAGAAAAAGAAATTGCCTTCCTTTTACAGTTAAATAACTCTCTCAGCCTGCTTCCTGCCCGTAGGAAGTTGGGGGCTTGGAAGGTTTTCTTCATTAAAAAAAAAAAAAAAAAAAAAAAGCAAATATGAAACTATACCTTTAAACAATGAATAATGGTGTAGCCATTTCATCTTATAGTTTCTAGGATGAATTAAAATAACATATTTTATCCTATATTATGAAGAAAAGTGGTAAAAATCTTTCTCAAATTACTATAAGGATAATAAATATAATTTAAGAATTTTGTCTATGCATCCAGACTAAAATGGCATAGAGACATAAGCCCTTATCAATAAAAAAAACTCTTGAGCAGAATTGCCATTCATAGAAGGATTTGACCATAACAAAAGATTCTGTGAAGCTATTTTTTCAACTATATATAAAACTTTTCTCACATAAAATCATACACCCAGATTATTTTTTATTTCAAGATATTTATTTATTTACAGGTCAGATGAGGGGCTATAACAAACAGAAAATTATTTGATTCTCTCAGTTCCTTCCTGTCACAGCAGTGCAAGGAAGGACTTTTCGTAGAATGATTTTCAAAAGATTTCCCAGATAAAATAAAGTCACAAGGAAGGAGATTTAGATTCATTGCCTACATAGGCGCTTGCCAGCAAGGTTATTCTATTTGCAGACAAAGCAAATTTGTATAAACGATGTATATTATTGAGAACCTAACTGATGAAACAGTTTTCCCCCTCAGGCCTTTTCTAAATGCTCCCCTTTCACAAAAATCTTTATGACTAAGATATTTTCTGTGAAATAGTCGACAAAGATTTTGGCAGTATTAAAACTGAGATTTTTTTTCCCTTTGTGTAAGGCATATAGAGAGAACAAGTTTGAGGGACAAGGAGTCAGTATCTTAGTTTGGGCTACTAGAACAGAGTATGATGAGCTGGAAGGGGTTATCAACAGCAGAAATTTATTTCTCATTGTTCTGGAGGATGGAAATTTGAGACTGTGGTGCCAGCATGATCAAATTCTGGTGAGGGCTGTCTTCTAGGCTGCAGACTGCTGACGTCTCTTTGTACCCTCACATGGTAGAAAGAGGGGAAAGAGAGCTCTCTAGGGTCCCTTTTACCAGGGTATGATGCCATTCACAATTGGCTCTACCCAAAGGCCACATGACTCTAAGTAAATGCCCTAATACTGTCATATCAGTGCTTAGGATTTAACCTGCTCAGTGATTTCAGGAAAATCATTAATCATCATTGAACATATAAATCTCAACTGCTATAGGTCCTGGAGAAGCTATTCAATTGTCCCCATGAGAAACTGCTCAAGTAGAAATCAGTGTATACAATTTGGGACATTTGCACTTGTTAATTTCAATTTGAAGTCAGTATAAAGATGCTTTCAAATGTAAGATATGATATAAATTAAAATGATATAAGAAATAAAAGGTAATTATTTAACTCATATAACCAAGAATGGTAAGGTCAGTTCTAGGTCTGAGGGTTTAAATGATGCTGCAAGGGGACTGGGCTCTTCTTTGCTCTATAAGGTTTCATCCAGAAAAAGTGGCCCTACATAACACCACAACAGAGAGTTATGAACTTTTGCCCAGTTCCAAAACCTAATCCAGTTTACAAACCCAAGTCTCCTCAATAAGAAGTCAAGATTTCCTTGAGAAAAACATATACTATAAAACTTTGCTCTAGTTTTTTCCAGAGAGACCTGCAGCCACTTACCAGAAAGGACTATACATTGGAGAAGAGAATATAGGACGAAAGTGGATACTGGCTCAAAATTAATCTCCAAGGATCAAAATTTTACTTCAATCCATCAGAAATTCCCCTCTCTGTTAAGTATAAAACAAGACCATACTTCTTGAAGAAGAAAAATGTTTTGAGCTACCATCAAAGACTGAAGAGGCGAAGGTATGGTGTCTCCTATCACATCATGATTCAATTCTCCTATTTCAACCGTACAGAAGAGTGATGAGTCTTGAGTTATGACAGTGGCTTACTATAAGGACATAAATTCAAATTAACATTTATAGAAAACTGCATCCAACAACAGCAAAATACATTTTTTCCTGTTTACATGGAATAATCACAAAGATAAAAGATGTCATGAGTCATGAAAAAAATTGTACTAAATATGAAAGAATAAAAATGATGATGCATAGAAGTGTTTATAGTTTGTATTTCTGTGGGATCAGTGGTGATATCCCCTTTATCAATTTTTATTGGGTCTATTTGATTCTTCTCTCTTATTCTTTATTAGTCTGGCTAGTGGTCTACCTATTTTGTTGATCTTTTCAAAAAACCAGCTCCTGGATTCACTGATTTTTTGAAGGGCTTTTTTGTGTCTCTATCACCTTCAGTTCTGCTCTGATCTTAGTTATTTCTTGTCTTCTGCTAGCTTTTGAATTTGTTTGCTCTTGCTTATCTAGTTCTTTTGATTGTGATAGTGTGTCAATTTTAGATCTTTCCCGCATTCTCCTGTGGCATTTAGTGCTATAAATTTCCCTCTAAACACTGCTTTAGCAGTAGCCCAGAGATTCTAGTATATTGTATCTTTGTTCTGGTTGGTTTCAAAGAACTTATTTTTTTCTACCTTAATTTCGTTATTAACTCAGCACTCACTCAGGAGCAGGTTGTTCAGTTTCCATGTAGTTGTGCAGTTTTTAGTAAGTTTCTTAATCCTGAGTTCTAATTTGATTGCACTGTGGTCTGAGAGATTGTTTGTTACGATTTCCATTCTTTTGCATTTGCTGAGGAGTGTTTTACTTCCAACTATGTGGTGAATTGTAGAATACATGCAATGTGGCACTGAGAAGAATGTATATTCTGCTGATTTGAGGTGGAGAGTTCTGTAGATGTCTATTAGGACTGCTTGGTCCAGAGCTGAGTTCAAGTCCTGAACATCTTTGTTAATTTTCTGTCTTGTTGATCTGTCTCATATATTGCTCATGGATAGGAAGAATCAATATTATGAAAATGGCCATACTGTCCAAAGTAATTTATAGATTCAATGCTATCCCCATCAAGCTACCACTAACTTTCTTCACAGAATTAGTAAAAACTACTTTAAATTTCATATGGAACCAACAAAAAAAAAGCACATATAGCCAAGACAATCCTAAGCAAAAAGAACAAAGCTGGAGGCATCACACTACCTGACGTCAGACTATACTACAAGCCTACAGTAACCAAAAGAGCATGGTACTGGTACCAAAACAGATACATAAGCTAATGGAACAGAACAGAGGCCTCAGAAATAACGCCACACATCTACAACCATCTGATCTTTGACAAACCTGACAAAAACAAGTAATCGGGAAAGGATTCCTTATTTCATAAATGGTGTTGGGAAAAATGGCTAGCCATATGCAGAAAACTGAAACTAGACCACTTCCTTACACCTTATACAAAAATTAACTCAAGATGGATTAAAGACTTAAACATAAGACCTAAAACCATAAAAACCCTAGAAGAAAACCATTCAGGACATAGGCATGGGCAAAGACTTCATGACTAAAACACCAAAAGCAATGGCAACAAAAGCCAAAATTGATAAATGGGATCTAATTAAACTAAAGAGCTTGTGCACAGCAAAAGAAGCTATCATCAGAGTAAACAGGCAACCTACAGAATGAGAGAGAATTTTTGCAATCTATCCATCTGACAAAGGGCTAATATCCAGAATCTACAAGGAACTCCAAGAAATTTACAAGATAAAACAAGCAACCCCATCAAAAAGTGGGTGAAGGATAGGAACAGACACTTCCCAAAAGAAGACACTTATGTAGCCACCAAACATATTAAAAAAAGCTCATCATCACTGGTCATTAGAGAAATGCACATCAAAACCACAATGAGATATGATCTCATGCCAGGTAGAATGGCGATCATTAAACAGTCAGGAAACAACAGATGCTAGAGAGGATGTGGAGAAGTAGAAATGCTTTTACACTGTTGATGGGAGTGTAAATTAGTTCAACCATTGTGGAAGACAGTGTGGCAATTCCTCAAGGATCTAGAACCAGAAATACCATTTGAGCCAGCAATCCCATTACTGGGTATACACCCAAAGGATTATAAATCATTCTACTATAAAGGCACATGCACACGTATGTTTACTGCAGCACTGTTCACAATAGCAAAGACTTGGAACCAACCCAAATGCCCATTTATTTAGATATAAAAAAAGACGCAAATAAATAAATGGAGATATAGTCTGCATACCTGGATTAGAAGTTTCAAAGTTATTAAGATTTAAATTCTTCCCAAAATAGTCTACATATTTATTGAAATCCCAATCAAAATCCCAGCAAATTATTTTGCAGATAATCACAAACTGACTTCAAAATTTATATTGAAGACTGAAGACCTATAATAGCCTAACACAATCCTGAAGAAGATTAACAAAGTTAGAAGACTCACACAATACAATTTTAGCACTTACTATAAAACTACAGTAATCGGGATATTACTCTATTTGCAGAATAGATACCTAGATCACTGGAACAAAATTTTAAAAACCAGAAATACACTCACACAAATATAGTCAACTCATCTATGAATAAGAGCAAAAGCAATTTAAAGGAGAAAAGATAATCTTTGCAAAAATGATGTTAGAGCTATTATGTACTATATGCAAAAAAAATGAAACTAAACACAGACCTCCTACCTTACACAAATATTAGCTCAAAATAAATCAAAGACCTAAATGTGAAATGTAAAGCTATAAAACTTCTAGAAAAAAATCTATGTGACCTTTGTTCAGTAATGGATGTTTAGATAAAACACCAAATCCAAGACCTGTGAAAGAAAAAAAATAATAAGTTGGATTTTCTTAAAATTAAAACATTTTTGTTTTGTGAAAGATATGGTTAAAAGAATGAAAAGACAAGCCACATACTAGGAGAAAATATTTACATAACACATATTGATGAAAAACTCCTGTTGAAAATGCACAATGACTTAAATTTCAATATTAGGAAAACAATCCAATTTAAAAATAGATGAAGTTTCTAAAAAGACAAATCAACAAAAATGATATATAAATGACAAATATGAGAGAATTTATAACAGCATTTGTAATATTAAAACTATAATGAGATACAACTATACCCTTCTTAGAATGATTAACAAACAAACAAAAAACAACCTGACAATTCTGCTGAGGATATGGAGCAACAGAAACTCTCTCATTCATTGCTGGTGGAAATGCAAAATGACACAACTACTTTGAAAGATATTTTGTAGCCTTTTTCAAAACTAAACATAGTCTTATCATATAATGCAGTAACTGCAATTACACTCCTAGTCATTGATCTAACAAATTTGAAACCTTATGTCCATACAAAGACCTTCAGGTAAATGTTTATAATAGTTTTCTTTATAATTTTCACATGCTAGAAGCAATGAAGTTGTCTTTCAACAGGCAAATGAAGAAACAAACCATGAAATATTAATCAGCAATAAAAAATGAGTTATCAAGCTACTCAACAACTTCGATGTATCATAAATGTGTATTGATAGGTTGAAGAAGCCCATCTAAAAAGGCTACATACTTTATGATTTTGACTAAATGATGTGTGAAAAGACCAAAACTATAGCAAAAGTAAAACTAATTGAGAGTTTTCCAGGAGTTTGCAGGGAAGTGAAGTAGGATGAAACAGTGAAGCATGGGGAGATTTTTAGTGTAGTGAAAATATCCTGTATGATACTGTAATTGTGGATATATAACATTATGTCTTTGTCAAACACATAGAATATATGAATTAAAAAATAATCATTTAGGAGGTTGCAGGATACAAGAATGGAATTCAGAATGTGACAAAACAATCTAACAGAATTGCGTATGTATGAAACAACCTAAATAAAGGAAGTAGGGCAAAAAGAAGTGGCAAAAGTGGAGTCTGTAGGACTTAAGTTCAAAGAAACTATACATAGACAGTACTATTGATAAAGTTATTTCCCATGAGGATGAAGTTAATAATTCTGATACTGCTATACATGTACACTGGATTTGAATAATTAAGCTTATAGATGGCAGATGGTAAGAGCTAGGTTCTCACTGTTGGACTGAGAGTTTACAGGTTAAGGGGAAGAGGCTAGAATGACCTGCATGGTAATGGATTAACATTAGACACAGTATGAACTCATGTGTAGTCTAGCATAGATACAAATGGTTGTATAAAGAAATAATCATAAACATATATATATATATATATATATATATATAAGCATTGTGTATACATCTACATTTTTATGCTCTGTCAGCTGAAAAGCCTAGAAGCAACTACACACAATAGCAAGGAGCACACCTAGCGCTTAGATCTTAGATTCCAATAGCATTCTTCAATAACACAGAGTCAGAGCTTTTTGGGGGAACCACCTGAATGTAGTACTAGCGTCAGAAAATATTCGAGGTAACTCTGGATCAACTTGTAGTGCCAGGGAGTGATAAAAAATAAATAAATAGGATGAAGAAAAACAAAAAAGGAAGAAAGGAAACGATGATTGGAATATGTCAAAGAGACATGGAGTCAACTTAAAGGGCTACCAATGGCTGAAGCTGGAACAATTTGAAAAAACAAATTAAACAAAGGAGTATTGAACTACAACTACAACTCAAAATATACAATAATATGTATGAGCCTATAATAATATAAATAGTTGGTCGAATCACTAAATAAGGGGATGAGAAAAAACAAATATCTCATGAAGAATTCCAAATAGTTTAATGCAGTTATCTTGTAACTGCCCACCTCTTCATTGTGTGCTGAGTAACTGTTGGCTAAAGAGTATATGATATGGAAGGAGGGAGTGAAGAGAGCAACCTTAGATGGAGAAACCAAACAAAAATGACCTCATTGCTACCCAAGGGTAGCATGAATAGTGATAAGTCACATGGATAGTATGTTCCTTGACTGTAATATGATGATAATAGCACTTTAGCTCTGTAGTTTTTCTCCGAAGATCACATAAACCCAGTATAATCAAGAGCAACATCAGGAAAAAAAAATTGAAGGTCATTCTACAGAATGCCCAACCACTAGTCATCTGTTAAGGTCATTTAAAGAAAAGAAAGTCTGAAAAACTGTAAACAGTCAAATGGCTAAAGAGGCATGACAACTAGATCTATGCAAGACACCACATTACTAGACTACTAGAACTACAAATGGACATTAAGTAAACATAAAGAAATCTGAATAAAGTATGACCTTATAAAGTAATACTAACAAAACATATTAACATTGGTGCATTGTTAACATATACATCATATAAATGTGACATGCTAATAATAGCAAACATTGAGTGTGTAGGATAATGCAACTCTATAGTTCTTCAGGAAATATATTTTCTAAAAAATAAAGTTTACTAAGAAATAGAATTTTAAAAAATAAGCAGCAGTCTAAAATTCTTTTCCATTAGAAGCTGCATTTTAAACAATGTAAGTGAAAATTGACAGCAGTTTTATAAATTGCTTATAGAAAAGGAAATTCTCACACTGTGGTCCTATCAAAGTCTTCTTGACAGCAAAATAAACCTTAATGACATGACAAAAGTTCCTTTATTGAGGTGTTAGTGACACAGAAATAAACCACATTTGAGTCCTAACTTCTTAGCTTCTCTATATTAAACTTTTAATATTCTTTCTGCTGTCATATTATTTATGAAGACACTCGTTTGGTACTCTTTAAAATTACCGAACATCTTAATTTATGAGTTGTTATTAACTTTTGCCATTAGTCAAAAAAAGATTTGTCTTGGATTCTCTAGGAATGACAATGACTTGGTTTAGGTTTATTCACAATATATTCAAATGAGCAAAGATCGGGAAAATACTTCACATTATCAAATCCAAATATTCCAAACATACGGAGGAACATACAAAGAGAAGAAAGCTTAGTGAGGAGAAAGTTCAAGGAGCATCATGGTCGATTGCACAGAAAAATGTGGCCAAATATTATACTGGCTTCCCAAGTTCACTATAATTTGCTGCAGAAATGGCAGCTAAAAAGGCAATATGAGAAGACCTGAAAAAAGTATCAATATTTTCTGGAGAAGCAAATGAGGATATATATTGCATATGCAGTGAGTACATTATATCTAATTTTGTGCATAAAATATTCTATGCTATATCCTAAAGAGAAATATTTTGAGACTAATGTAATTACATTCTACCAAACTAAAATCATTCATACCTGATCACTGATACTGAGTTAAATTGAATTAAAACAAATTAGCTAAGATAGGAAGTTTTTTTCATATTGTTTGTTTAGTTTAGGTTCAAAATGTCTTTTGGCCTACAGAAAAGCCTCTTAGTCACTTTGAAATTAATGCCTAATCAATCAATTTCTCCCAGAATGTTTGCAAAAGGCCCATAAGTGAGTTGATACACATTAAATCATTAGAATAAAACTCAAGGGTTTTTTTTTCTTTTAGATAACTACTTGTTTTTATAATAGTAAAAAAAAATCCGTAAAAGTTACATTAAATCCAAGTAATCTTTATGAAGAAGAAGAAAAAGGTTACTTTACCAATGTTACATAAAATTTCAGAGTTTCAAATGAAAGAAACCCAGAGACGTATTTGATGAATTCTTTTGTTCAAATTCAGGCCTAATCATGTGTCTCATAAAGAAGGCTTATCAGCAAGATGTTCAAAAGAAAGTATCGACTTGCTCACATAAAGCCTTAAATCTCCAACCAGGAAATCTGAAAAGACTGAATAAGGATTTTGTCTTTTGGCGAAATGAAGGAATAATAACCTTGGGAAACTGAATACTTTCATTATGGATTACTGAAAAGACTTCTAAGATCCTTGTTCATCTTCTTCAAATAAAGTATATCTACAACTACGAAACGTTATTTTATCTGAAGCCTATGAATAAAAATGTTACCCAAATTATTCCAGATGTAATTTAGTATTTATTTTAAACAAAACTACACTTCGTCCCCATACACATTTTCTTAGCATCAGTATGAGTTATTTCTAAAAGATTGCTTAGTGAGGAATGCTGTTGAATTTGTCTTGTTTCTTTCTTTCTCTCTCTTCACCATCCTTTCACTTGCCTTTTCAACCTCATGCTTATTAGAAACATAGTGTTTATTCTTGATGATTTGGTCTGCTTGTAAACAAATTTTGTGGCAATTTATTTATATTTATTTCAGATAGAAATTTTTGTCAGGTTAAATTGCAAATTATAGGCTGAATAAAGCCATGGTGAATTTTTAGATAGCCAATAGCCTAAACTCTTTCACAGTCTAAAATCCTCACTCTTAGCAATTTGTTCGTGGAACCAGTCCGTAGAAAGCTGCCGTCAAGATGGGAATATACCACTTTGCTCTCAGTTCTTCTACAATATAACTATTCATCAAGTGATTCCTTTCCAGTACTTTACTGTGAACACTAGTGGAGAAGTAAAGCATTCAGATTATGGGTCTCTGTTTCAGAAATTTAGGCTTGCATATAACACCATGAGGAATTCCAGGAACTAAAGAAGTTAATGAGAAAACAGAAAAGGAAGGAGGCACAGAGTAAACAGAAGAGCTAAATTCTAAGAAAACTCAGGGGCCACAGGCAACTTCAAAATTTTTAAAGTTCCAAAGTTAAATTGTTAATTAAAGAAAGAAAACATGCAAGAAATAATTTTGGTATGGATGACCCAATAAGGTAGAAACGTGGAGCAAAAACTAATGCCAAATGAATGAAATTAAACAGATATACTAAATAAAATGTTTTTCTGTGTCCCGATTTGACACAGTAAGAAATAAAATAATTTTCACTAAGTTTGTAGGGTTTATGGAATTTATGAAATTCACTTGTTGAGATCCCTAAAGATGACCTCAAAGAATTAGACAATTGCCATTCAGGGAACTGGAGATATATTCAGACACCTGGTGTCACTACCAGTTGTGAAGGTCTCCTGATAGTATACTAAGATGCTGTGGTTGAAGAATGAGTTGACATCACCAAAAAAGTCTATCTCAAAGCTGAATTTATCAGCCTGTAAGTCATAAAAGAGCTCACCATGCCAGAGCAACTTTGGAGAGCTTCTCTGGGTGAAGAGTAAGAGAGCCAAGATAAAGCCTCTGAGTATGACTTTTGATTAGTTAAAAAGAGAACTGAAAGTCTCTTTCGGTAATTGTCCGTTTTTTTAATAATTATTTTTGTTTTGGAGACAGGGTGCCACTCTGTTGCCCAGGCTGGAGTGCAGTGGTGCGATCTCAGCTCACCGAGATCTCCGCCTCCTAGGCTCAAGTGATCCACCTGCTTCAGCCTCCCAGGTAACTGGGACTACATGTGCATGCCACCATTAATTTTTGCATTTTTTGTAGAGATAGGTTTTCACCATGTTGCCTGGGCTGGTCTTGAACTCCTGAGCTCAAGCAATCCACCCACCTCAGCCTCTCAAAGTGCTGGGATTACAGGCGTGAGCCACTGTGGCCAGCCAGGGATTTGTCATTATCCAAGTGTGGTGTCATTGGTTTATGCTCCAACCATAGACTCGGTTCCCAACAAAGCCTGAAAACGGGTTTGTATTTTGTTTTCTCAATGTTCTATGGATACAGAAAAAAAAATTAAAATGGCAAGAGCAGAATCTTTAAAATACAGGTGTGAATTGTAATTTAGCTCCTAGTTTTATTGGGATACTATGTGGAAGTGATTCCACAATTAATTTTTAACAAGCAAAGTAGAGCAGAGTTAATGGTAATAAAGGTATAAATTCTCCAATTGTAATCTAATTTAAAATTCACAGCAGCCCTAATGTTTGAGGTATCCTGTTTTAACACTAAAGAGACCAATTCTTATAGAACATAGACCTTCCCATCCCCACCCCCCTAAAAAAATCCTTCTTAGCTCCCTGGAAATTGAGAGAATGTAGGTTTATGCAATAATAAACTCTTTTTCCTCTACTGCATACTAATAAAGTAATTATTCTCCTCTCATCCTTTATGTTAGGCCTTAGGAGTATTTCTCTTTCTTTGGTCAGAGACATTTGTGGTGAAAAAAAGACATATCATTAAAAAATTGTTTATTTTATTGTCAAAAGTGGTTTAAAGTATTGTTTTGCTTCCTTCACTCAGCTACCAGCTCCAATCTGAACATTTTACTACCACTCTCACAGCTACCTCTGACAGTTTTTCTAGGCTGTGATCACTTTTCTTTACCTAAGGATTGCAGAACTGCAATTGCTCAAAAATTCAGGAAGACATTTTTCAGTTGTTTTTGGTAATGGTTTCTTACTAACTTTTACCTTATGTTGATGTGATATACTTTTAAATATCATACTTTTTTCCCCGGCTTACTTAAATTGCTTACTCTAACATTTTGTCCCAGGCAAGGGTTGTTCATTTTAAATGTATTACACATTGTTTAGAACAGTTGTGAAAAAAAGTAGAAATTATATCTTATTTCTACTTACTTTGAAACTTCAGGATTTGAGTATACATACTTTATTATTGTTTTTGCCAAGCATTATTCCAAGCCTCAAATAGAATATAGTCAATATCTAGCCATTTTCCTACTTTGTCATGCCTCTTTCCTACAAAGCCTCTTCTCAATTTTCCAAAATAAGCACACTGTAAAAACCTTGCAGAAATATCACCATTTAACACTTTCATAGCAAAATGCCTCTTTACTTTTCCATATCCTAATTTTATAGAAGGTATATCTGCCAAAGCAATATTTTTGGTCAATTTTTATATTGACCAAAAAATGTAAATTTTTATTCCTCAAACTCAATACAATATTTTTAATTAAGAAGGGAAAAAATCTGGAAGTACATTCCAAATGGAGTTATTAGAATGTCAAATCAGGTGAAGAGATTTTCAAAAAGTGCCAATAAAGGGACTATGCATCAAGTATGTCATGTAAAAATTACCTCTAATTCCAAATTTTATTAATTATTGGGTGATCAGGATGTCATGTTTTATGTTTTTATATTTTAATATGATGAAGTGTTATTATTTCTGTGCATTTCTCTATATTTTAGTTGCATTTTAGAAAATTTGTTGGGGTGTGAGTTTTCATGAAATGAGTTACAATTTTTCCTGCTTAAAATAATGAGAAATAGGCTTTTGGTTAGTGTTTCCATGCAGAACATCTAACTCTGGAGAAGAAATTTCTGGCATTCAATGGAGATAATCATAATTAGTTGAAAACTATTTTAGGTCACAAGAGTATCAATGTCCTGGTGAAATTGCCATGGGAGACCATTACGTTTACTCTCTTCTATGACTACCAGTTCTAAGCTTGTAAATGATATCATTGCCATTGTTACTTAAACTTGAGATCAAGCAAAGGGACTCCCTAATTTCTTCTAATCAGTATGTATAGTTATCATCTGCAGTTTCTGTCTGATTATTATTCATTCACTGCATTTCTAAAAGAATGTGCTGATTTTCCTTGGAAAAACTATTCTCCATCACTCTCAGTCTGGGGTGTAGGGAAATGGGCCTATATATCATCTCTGATTCCAACGATGGGCATATGATTTACAAGTTTTCAATCAAACTACTTCATGATCCCAATCACAGTGGTTGGCTTCCAGATGAGCATGTGACCCAAGCAAGATCAATAAGAACTTTAGTTAGCACTTTTGCTTGAATCATTGGAAAACAGCTGGTTGGTTTTTTGTTTTGTTAAGGTAATAGGCTGTAAGTCCAATTGTTTTGAAAGCCATTTTGCCACCATATGAAAAAGCTGGCATGAAAACACAAAAAAGGAAGGGCAAGTGATGAAGAAGGACTGAGTCCTAATGACATCATCTGAGTCCACCTATCCATGCCTTTCTAAAGCCCAGATGTTCTTTTAGATATAAGTCTAATTTTTTGTTGTTGTTGCTTAATATACTTGCATAAGAATACTGGCTATTGCAGAATACCTTTTGGGTTAAATCAAAACGTATTTGCATTCTTCCTCTCTCACTGGATTATACACTAAACATCATAATTAGGGCTGCCACTTTATGGATTAAATGAATAAACAAAAAAAGAGAAGAAAAAATAAAACTATCAGTTGCCTTCCCTTGAGCTCCTACTGGTGATCCTAAGAAAAAAAAAATGCTCCAAGGACCTTTTCATAGTAATTAACAGTGCATTCTGTGAAGCAAGACATTCTGAGATCAAATCCTACTATACTATTATTAGCTCTATAGCCTTAAGAAGGTTACTCTGTTCCTCAATTTTTTTCATTTATAAAATTTGGGCAATCTTTTGTAAGGTTGTTGTAAGAATTAAATGAGATGATACGTAATGTATTTAACATAGTGCCAGATAGATGGTAAACGCTCAATAGATGCCAATATCTGAGTATTATTTTTATTTAATTTTGTATTATTATAAATTCAGTTATATATAATTATAATATAGTACAATTATAATGCACAGGGAGCCAAAGAATGCTCCCTCCTAAATCTCTCATGGTTGGAATCTTCTTCCTTGCATATTTGTCCCCCATCAAAAAACCTGTGTTCACTAGAGCAGATAAACTTCTAAAAGGTCAATTATATCAAGCTTTGACATTTATTGGATACCACTATGTTCAAATTTCTGCTTGCAAACTAGGAATATAGCATGTAACAATTTAAATATGATTGCATCTCTCATGGAATGCACATTCTGGAAACTGCACAAAAAAAGTCGAACTAAAGTTCTTATTTATAATTTGAGAAGTGCTCAACTATGAGGTCGTATTTGAGAGTACTCTGGAGGGTCAAAAGGGCTTTCTGTAAGGGGTGATTTTGAGTTGAAACTTTAAGAAAACTAAAGAAAGGAACACACTAGTATAGGAAAATGCTCAGGTAAATGACTAGATTTGAGAAGAATGGTGGCAAGTTGGAAGAGTGAGAAAAGACTATTTTATCTTAAGTACAGACAACAAATGAAAGCACAGCAAAAATAGGAGATTGGGAAATCAGAAGAAAGCAATCTGTATAGTTTAGAGCATATAAAGGAGTTTTGTTTCTGTTACTGTTTTAGTATTCCAGGAGAATTTGGAATTCATTGAAGGGTCATTTTATACATTAAAAATAATCATTTTGGCAGACTGTACCTAAAAGAGATAAAAGAAAGGAAAAAAATGAAAGTGGAGGAAAGAGATTCAAACCTATTTCCATAGTCTTTGTAAAATATTGGGAGGTAAGTAAATTTAAGACATATTTAGATTAGAGAGCAGGATGCCCAGTTTCTGAGCAGAAGAAACATTCGTTAGCTCCAGCTATGCAAGAGAGAATTACATATGAGTGATGTTGAGAAAAGATTTTTGTTCAGAATTGTGCACCGTGCCACACCGTGGAAAGGAAAGCAAGCACAAAACTGGGCCAAATCTACATGGTCTGTTTGTGCAGAAGACAGGTCAAGCTGTTGAATTTTTTTTTTTTTTTTTTTATAGGTAATTTTTTTTTATTGTGAATGCTGAAAAAAATACCTTTTATTTGTCACACAAATTAGAACTATACACAAGTATAAGAACTCATGTTCACATTTTTCCCCCAAGCAGTGCAGTACATCATGTTTTTGGTGTGGTGCCAGAATATGATATTGTAAAAATCTGAACATTTTTCTCCTACTACAGCAGTTTAAAATGGTCTTGTAATTTAATGGTTTTTAATAAGTATAACAGTAATAATTATTCCTATATATAATACAATATTTTAGTCACAATGGATAACAAAGTAGCAATACTTAATGTAATGTGTTACTTTTTCAGCATTATTTAAATTTTTCTGTAGGGGCTGAATTAGTTATAGAGAGCTTGGCATGAAAATGCAGAGGCATTTAGAGTACATTTAATAGACTTGAATTCTAGAGCTCTCGCCTCTTCTGCCTTTCTGTCACTGTTCTCTGCTTCACAAAGATATCCTCTAGAGTAAAATATTTTGTAATTTGTATGAGCAGCACTACCAATGATATTAGGCTTTGCAAAGCCTCTGGAAGGTTTTAATTAGCTTGATTCAAACTCAGGAATGAATGACACTCTGCCTTCAGACTTAGCAAGAGAACTTGCCATTTTGTTCAGTGTCCTTTCCTTTTCAACATCTTCATCTAAATGGTCAATAATTATGTTTATAATCAAACTCATGATAACTTTTGCAAAGTGTTGAAATATCCAATTCCTAGAAATGAGGAATGGATAGGGCAGTCATTTATGATTAAAAACTAGATAAAGCAGTAACCAGACATCAAAATATTTCTTGTTTTTGCTTAAAAACAATTATTTAGTATTCTTAGGGGGTTTTATTTTTTTTTTTTTTTATTTTTTTTTTATTATACTCTAAGTTTTAGGGTACATGTGCACATTGTGCAGGTTAGTTACATATGTATACATGTGCCATGCTGGTGCGCTGCACCCACTAATGTGTCATCTAGCATTAGGTATATCTCCCAATGCTATCCCTCCCCCCTCCCCCGACCCCACCACAGTCCCCAGAGTGTGATATTCCCCTTCCTGTGTCCATGTGATCTCATTGTTCAATTCCCACCTATGAGTGAGAATATGCGGTGTTTGGTTTTTTGTTCTTGCGATAGTTTACTGAGAATGATGGTTTCCAATTTCATCCATGTCCCTACAAAGGATATGAACTCATCATTTTTTATGGCTGCATAGTATTCCATGGTGTATATGTGCCACATTTTCTTAATCCAGTCTATCATTGTTGGACATTTGGGTTGGTTCCAAGTCTTTGCTATTGTGAATAGTGCCGCAATAAACATACGTGTGCATGTGTCTTTATAGCAGCATGATTTATACTCATTTGGGTATATACCCAGTAATGGGATGGCTGGGTCAAATGGTATTTCTAGTTCTAGATCCCTGAGGAATCGCCACACTGACTTCCACAATGGTTGAACTAGTTTACAGTCCCACCAACAGTGTAAAAGTGTTCCTATTTCTCCGCATCCTCTCCAGCACCTGTTGTTTCCTGACTTTTTAATGATTGCCATTCTAACTGGTGTGAGATGATATCTCATAGTGGTTTTGATTTGCATTTCTCTGATGGCCAGTGATGATGAGCATTTCTTCATGTGTTTTTTGGCTGCATAAATGTCTTCTTTTGAGAAGTGTCTGTTCATGTCCTTCGCCCACTTTTTGATGGGGTTGTTTGTTTTTTTCTTGTAAATTTGTTTGAGTTCATTGTAGATTCTGGATATTAGCCCTTTGTCAGATGAGTAGGTTGCGAAAATTTTCTCCCATGTTGTAGGTTGCCTGTTCACTCTGATGGTAGTTTCTTTTGCTGTGCAGAAGCTCTTTAGTTTAATTAGATCCCATTTGTCAATTTTGTCTTTTGTTGCCATTGCTTTTGGTGTTTTGGACATGAAGTCCTTGCCCACGCCTATGTCCTGAATGGTAATGCCTAGGTTTTCTTCTAGGGTTTTTATGGTTTTAGGTTTAACGTTTAAATCTTTAATCCATCTTGAATTGATTTTTGTATAAGGTGTAAGGAAGGGATCCAGTTTCAGCTTTCTACATATGGCTAGCCAGTTTTCCCAGCACCATTTATTAAATAGGGAATCCTTTCCCCATTGCTTGTTTTTCTCAGGTTTGTCAAAGATCAGATAGTTGTAGATATGCGGCATTATTTCTGAGGGCTCTGTTCTGTTCCATTGATCTATATCTCTGTTTTGGTACCAGTACCATGCTGTTTTGGTTACTGTAGCCTTGTAGTATAGTTTGAAGTCAGGTAGTGTGATGCCTCCAGCTTTGTTCTTTTGGCTTAGGATTGACTTGGCAATGCGGGCTCTTTTTTGGTTCCATATGAACTTTAAAGTAGTTTTTTCCAATTCTGTGAAGAAAGTCATTGGTAGCTTGATGGGGATGGCATTGAATCTGTAAATTACCTTGGGCAGTATGGCCATTTTCACGATATTGATTCTTCCTACCCATGAGCATGGAATGTTCTTCCATTTGTTTGTCTCCTCTTTTATTTCCTTGAGCAGTGGTTTGTAGTTCTCCTTGAAGAGGTCCTTCACATCCCTTGTAAGTTGGATTCCTAGGTATTTTATTCTCTTTGAAGCAATTGTGAATGGGAGTTCACCCATGATTTGGCTCTCTGTTTGTCTGTTGTTGGTGTATAAGAATGCTTGTGATTTTTGTACATTGATTTTGTATCCTGAACTGGTACCATTCCTTCTGAAACTATTCCAATCAATAGAAAAAGAGGGAATCCTCCCTAACTCATTTTATGAGGCCAGCATCATTCTGATACCAAAGCCGGGCAGAGACACAACCAAAAAAGAGAATTTTAGACCAATATCCTTGATGAACATTGATGCAAAAATCCTCAATAAAATACTGGCAAACCGAATCCAGCAGCACATCAAAAAGCTTATCCACCATGATCAAGTGGGCTTCATCCCTGGGATGCAAGGCTGGTTCAATATACGCAAATCAATAAATGTAATCCAGCATATAAACAGAGCCAAAGACAAAAACCACATGATTATCTCAATAGATGCAGAAAAAGCCTTTGACAAAATTCAACAATCCTTCATGCTAAAAACTCTCAATAAATTAGGTATTGATGGGACGTATTTCAAAATAATAAGAGCTATCTATGACAAACCCACAGCCAATATCATACTGAATGGGCAAAAACTGGAAGCATTCCCTTTGAAAACCGGCACAAGGCAGGGATGCCCTCTCTCACCGCTCCTATTCAACATAGTGTTGGAAGTTCTGGCCAGGGCAATCAGGCAGGAGAAGGAAATAAAGGGTATTCAATTAGGAAAAGAGGAAGTCAAATTGTCCCTGTTTGCAGACGACATGATTGTATATCTAGAAAACCCCATCGTCTCAGCCCAAAATCTCCTTAAGCTGACAAGCTGTTGAATTTTCTACACAGATGCCTATAAGAACAAAGGCATCACCTTGGGGGAGGATACACTGAGGGAGGATTTGGAGAATCCCAAGCAGTACATCCCTGGAGCAAAAATGACCTCTGCTGGCATTAAGAAGACAGAGACGATAGACTTGATAGCTTATCTCACAAAAGCTACTAATGAGTCATAATTGACCACTTAATAAAACAGAAATATCTCATGATTATTTTTTATGTGTATCTCAATTCAATTGATCTCATACACCAGAATTCAGATCATGAATGATTGAAAGAATATTTTTTCTGTTTTTATTTTTATTTTATTTTATTATTATTATTATTACACTTTAAGTTTTAGGGTACATGTGCACAATGTGCAGGTTAGTTACATATGTATACATGTGCCATGGTGGTGTGCTGCACCCACTAACTCGTCATTTAGCATTAGGTATATCTCCTAATGCTATCCCTCCCCCCTCCCCCTACCCCACAACAGTCCCCAGAGTGTGATGTTCCCCTTCCTGTGTCCATGTGTTCTCATTGTTCAATTCCCATCTATAAGTGAGAACCTGCGGTGTTTGGTTTTTTGTCCTTGCGGTAGTTTACTGAGAATGATGATTTCCAATTTCATCCATGTCCCTACAAAGGACATGAACTCATCATTTTTTATGGCTGCATAGTATTCCATGGTGTATATGTGCCACATTTTCTTAATCCAGTCTATCATTGTTGGACATTTGGGTTGGTTCCAAGTCTTTGCTACTGTGAATAGTGCCACAATAAACATACGTGTGCATGTGTCTTTATAGCAGCATGATTTATAGTCCTTTGGGTATATACCCAGTAATGGGATGGCTGGGTCAAATGGCATTTCCAGTTCTGGATCCCTGAGGAATCGCCACACTGACTTCCACAATGGTTGAACTAGTTTACAATCCCACCAACAGTGGAAAAGTGTTCCTATTTCTCCACATCCTCTCTAGCACCTGTTGTTTCCTGACTTTTTAATGATTGCCATTCTAACTGGTGTGAGATGGTATCTCATAGTGGTTTTGATTTGCATTTCTCTGATGGCCAGTGATGATGAGCATTTTTTCATGTGTCTTTTGGTTGCATAAATGTCTTCTTTTGAGAAGTGTCTGTTCATATCCTTTGCCCACTTTTTGATGGGGTTGTTTGTTTTTTTCTTGTAAATTTGTTTGAGTTCTTTGTAGGCTCTGGATATTAGCCCTTTGTCAGATGAGTAGGTTGCGAAAATTTTCTCCCATTTTGTAGGTTGCCTGTTCACTCTGATGGTAGTTTCTTTTGCTGTGCAGAAGCTCTTTCGTTTAATTAGATCCCATTTGTCAATTTTGGCTTTTGTTGCCATTGCTTTTGGTGTTTTAGACATGAAGTCCTTGCCCATGCCTATGTCCTGAATGGTAATGCCTAGGTTTTCTTCTAGGGTTTTTATGGTTTTAGGTCTAACATTTAAGTCTTTAATCCATCTTGAATTGATTTTGGTATAAGGTGTAAGGAAGGGATCCAGTTTCAGCTTTCTACATATGGCTAGCCAGTTTTCCCAGCACCATTTATTAAATAGGGAATCCTTTCCCCATTGCTTGTTTTTCTCAGGTTTGTCAAAGATCAGATAGTTGTAGATATGCGGCATTATTTCTGAGGGCTCTGTTCTGTTCCATTGATCTATATCTCTGTTTTGGTACCAGTACCATGCTGTTTTGGTTACTGCAGCCTTGTAGTATAGTTTGAAGTCAGGTAGTGTGATGCCTCAGGCTTTGTTCTTTTGGCTTAGGATTGACTTGGCGATGCGGGCTCTTTTTTGGTTCCATATGAACTTTAAAGTAGTTTTTTCCAATTCTGTGAAGAAAGTCATTGGTAGCTTGATGGGGATGGCATTGAATCTGTAAATTACCTTGGGCAGTATGGCCATTTTCACGATATTGAGTCTTCCTACCCATGAGCATGGAATGTTCTTCCATTTGTTTGTATCCTCTTTTATTTCATTAAGCAGTGGTTTGTAGTTCTCCTTGAAGAGGTCCTTCACGCCCCTTGTAAGTTGGATTCCTAAGTATTTTATTCTCTTTGAAGCAATTGTGAATAGGAGTTCACTCATGATTTGGCTCTCTGTTTGTCTGTTCTTGGCAATAGATGCAGAAAACGCCTTTGACAAAATTCAACAACCTTCATGCTAAAAACTCTCAATAAATTAGGTATTGATGGGACGTATCTCAAAATAATAAGAGCTATCTATGACAAACCCACAGCCAATATCATAATTAATGGGCAAAAACTGGAAGCATTCCCTTTGAAAACTGGCACAAGGCAGGGATGCCCTCTCTCACCACTCCTATTCAACATAGTGTTGGAAGTTCTGGCCAGGGCAATTAGGCAGGAGAAGGAAATAAAGGGTATTCAATTAGGAAAAGAGGAAGTCAAATTGTCCCTGTTTGCAGACGACATGATTGTATATCTAGAAAACCCCATTGTCTCAGCCCAAAATCTCCTTAAGCTGATAAGCAACTTCAGCAAAGTCTCAGGATACAAAATCAATTGAAAGAATATTTTCATTGAAAAGTCCTGAATTAACTACGACTGGCTTGTGGGTAAATGAATATGGTAGGTTTTTTGAATTTTCATAGGAATTCTACTTCAGAAAAGGCTACTACTGTTTTCCCCTCTCCAGATATGATTAGACTTGATTAGTAAGGTTCAACTGTTCACAAAGATGGTGAATGCCATCCCAACACCTATTGGAAATTGGTTTTATATTTAGATTTATATAACTCCTTATATGAATATATTTAAATAAATGGGAAACACCTCCACTGTCTCAGAATGAAACAAGACTTACCTGTGTTATAATTTGTGTTGAGTCGCTTGTTAAAGGCAAGGGCTGAAGATATGGTAACAATGTCTACTTTATATTTTTGGTCCTAACTATGCCAATCTAATTAGAATTCCCTGTATCAAAAAAATGCTATCTTTCAATTATTGAGAGGCATTTTAGTGTGACTTAATGTCATACCAAATAAAGAATATTTAACACTTCTCACATTTTATCAATGATCTATAAGATCAGATGCTTTTAAAAGTTAGTGGGAAAAGAAATAGTAGCAAGTTATACTTTTGTAATCTTTGATATCTAAGTGAGACTAAATTATAATTTAGAATTGTCTTTAAACAGCTATTCAAATACATTTAAAACTGTAGTATTACTGTGTATGTGTAATTGGTAATGGTGTTTTTTCCAACTCATTAGAAGAATTAAAGTAGAGGAGATATACACAAATTTTTAAAATATGTGTGATTACAAGACTTAAGGTAATTCAAAACAAAATCACAGACTTTTTAAAAAAGACATATTTAGGAGGAGAAACAGAGAGAAGTATATAGATTCATGATACATTTAGGAAGTAGAAGCTACCAGCCTTAATAATTGTGTTGTGGGAACTAGCAGAGAAAAAAAAATGAATGTTTCAAGCATGCTTACAGGTATCTATATTTTTACAACTAGGTGAATGGTGTTCCCATTCAATAAGTGAGATAAGAACCTTGAGATAAGAACACTGAGATAAGAACATTTTATTAAAAGGAAAAAGTCTTCCCTTTCAGGAAAGAAAGGTGGTAAAAAATAGCAAGGGAAGGCTCTTTCTTTGATGATCAGCAAAAAAAAAATTACACACAAAAGTGTATTTTTCAAAACATCAGAGGAAAATTTGAAAATAAATTCCCTAAATTTTTATTTAAAGAAGTTAGGAAAGAATAGCAAAATAAAGATAAGAAACGAGAAGTAAATAATTACCTAAGAATATAAATCAATAAAATACAATGCAGATATACATAAAAGAAATCAACAGATTCTAAAATAAGTAATTTGAAGTTAATAAGAAAATGTATAAACCCAAGAAAAACTAAAGGAAAAAATACAAATTGCCAATCTCAGGAATAAAAATGTAACATTATTACAAATCCTTAGGGATGAAAAAGATAAAATACTTAGAACAAATGTGTAACAATAAATTTGATACTTTTGATGAAATGGAAAAGGTCAAGGTATTATATCAGACACAAGAAAAATGCTAAGTGTTGTATCTGACACAAAAATAAATTAAGGTCTAAATAATCCTAGGTCTGTGCAAATGTTAATAGATAAATAGAAACTTTCCCAAAAATAAAAGCCTAGGACCAGATTGTGAATTATTGGAAATCTTTCAGGAAGAAATAAAACTATTCTTACACAAGCATTTTCAGAAAATACATTACAAACGGAATATTTTCCAATTCATTTCATAGGATTAGCATAAGACTGATTCTAAATGGCTAGCACACTACAAGAAACAGCATAGGCCAATATCCCTCAGGAACATATTTGCCAAAATGTTCAACATAATAGTTTTAAAATAATCCAATAAAAAAAAGAATATGACTAAGTGGAGCTTATTTCATGAATATAAGGTTGGTTTTAATTATGAAAATGCATCATTGTATTATACTACATTAAGAGAATAAAAGGGATCAATAAGGCCATGGCATTGTTATGATCAGAAAAAACCAACAAGAAATAAATTGAACTTCCTTATCTAATAAAGGGCACCACAAAAAACTACATCTAACATGACATTTATTGATGAAATAACAAACATTCCCCACTGGGAATTTGACTGTCATCTCATATTGGTAGAGTGGGAGCCATGTGAATAAGTGAGATTATTAGACAGAATATAAACTGAGAAAGGAAGAGAGCCTAAGATGATTTTTGAGGAATTTCAACACTAAGCTGTAGAAAGAAAAAAGACTGAAAATACCACCCAGAAATGCAGAACAATATACATGAGACCATAATGTCATATATTCCAAGGAAAGAAAGTGTTTCAAGAAGGAGAGCAGTCCGGGCACAGTGGCTAACGCCTGTAATCCCAGCACTTTGGGAGCCAAGGTAGATGGATCACCTGAGGTCAGGAGTTCAAGACCAGCCTAACTAACATGGTGAAACCCTATCTCTACTAAAAATACAAAACATTAGCTGGGCATGGTGGTGGGCACCTGTAATCCCAGCTACTCGGGAGGCTGAGGCAGGAGAATCACTTAAACCCAGGAGGTGGAGGTTGTGGTGAGGTGAGATCATGCCATTGCACTCCAGCCTGGGTGACAAGAGCAAAATTCAAAATTCCATTAAAAAAAAAAAAGGAAGAAGAAGAAGGAGAGCATAGGAGAGCATAGGAGAGCATGAGCATGATCTTTATTATTATTTTCTTCTCCCCCACTGCCAGAAACCAAGTTTAGGCCTGTATAAGTCATCTCTTGCTGTGTAACAAACCAAAAAATATCTTTATTATACAATGATTAAGTATTTACTTTGACCATTGACCATTCACCAGTGAGTTAGTTGGGGTTCAGCTGATTTAGACCGGCTTTTTAGCTGGATAGCAGTAATCCGAAGGTCCCATCTGGGTCTGCTTCATTGATCTCTTACTCTCTTTGAGAATGTTGTGTTTTCTTGTTTGTTTGTTTTCTCTCATGTAAACAGCAGAGATGCAAAAGGGCAAACAAATATATGATTTACCAAAGCAAATCACATGACTGGGCCCAAAGCCAAGAGGTGAGGTGCATTTTTACTGGAGGGCACTGCAAGGTCAACTATCAAAAGGCAGATCTGGAGAGGGATAATAGTGATAGTTGTACAACAGTGTGAATATACTTAATGCCATTGACCTGTACACCTAAAAATGGTCAAAATGTTAACTTTCATGATGTATATTTTACTACATACCAAAAAATAAGTCAACATTGACAGTAAGCAGGAAATTCCATCCTTTGCAGCTATTTAAACTAAGGACAAAACCTTTCTTAGATGCCAACATCAGTGTATGAGCAGGTACCTAGTTTCACAAAATAGCTTTGCAAGGGTGGAGGAAAAGTACCTACATATAAAAGCAAGAAGCCAGTAAATTAGATCATGGAGAATCTTGAACCTGTGAAAGAAAATGAAATAAAATTTTACTAAATAGCAGTTGGAGAGGTCATGAGAGGAAAGATAAACCACAAAATGTTTCCATAGACTTGAATAAACAACTGAAGTCACTGTTCATCATCTTTCAACATCTCTCAGTTGGGGGTAACCTCATCAACTAACCAGTAAGAACAGTTTTGCAATTTAGGATTTTTGCCAAGCCCATGAACTGCCTCTGAAAACACTTTTGTGGAAATCCCCTATGAAAAACATCTCCTACACTTGCCTTAGAAGTCCTAAGAGGTTGAGACTGGATCCAAATATCACTGCCTGGAGGACCCAGCTGGGAAACCAGAAAAGAATCATGCTGGCCGGGCACGCTGGCTCACGCTTATAATCCCAGCACTTTGGGAGGCCAAGGTGGGTGGATCACGAGGTCAGGAGATCGAGACCATCCTGGCTAACATGGTGAAACCCCGTCTCTACTAAAAAAATACAAAAAAAAAAAAATTATCCGGGCGTGGTGGCGGGGACCTGTAGTCCCAGCTGCTCGAGAGGCTGAGGCAGGAGAATGGCGTGAACCCGGGAGGCGGAGCTTGCAGTGAGCCAAGATCATGCCACTGCACTCCAACCTGGGCATCAGAGTGAGACTCTGTCTCAAAAAAAAAAAAAAAAAAAAGGAATCATGCTGCCCCTCATCTGTCATGTCACCACACTCCTCTTACATCATCACTGTACATCTCTACATCATCTTGGCTACTCTAATGTCATCACAATGGCTCCAAGGCATCACAGCTTCTCTTTCAGCTTTTTGTAGCTGTAAGGATTACCTAAACAGGATTGCCACATCTTTCTAGAACCCTCTGAGAATCCAGTGAAAAGCTCTATGCTTGCTCCCTGAGAAAAGCATACAGCATTGTGCAACAAGTTCTGGGTGACCGCACAAGTGAAAGTTAAGAGCCGACGCATTAAAGTAGCTGAAATGGGGGACCTCTAGAAGGTTAAAGGACCAAAGGAAGTTTGAGCACCAGCCTGTACCCCATCCACCCTTGCCCAAGCCAACCATGGCTGCCCAAGCAGTCCTAATGGTGACTTCTGCGGGCCCTAGACATTTTCCCTTAGTGGGCCCCTTCCTCCATATAAAAATTTTACTTTACAACTGATTGGTGTAATGAGGAATATACCAATATTATCTGCTAAAACATTTTTTTCAACCTAAAATAAATAGCACAGGGCATAGGTATTGGAGGGAGTGGGAAATTGTGCCAGTAACTGAATCTACCAAAAGGCCCTATTATCTGGGCTATTTTGTTAGTGTCATCTAAAGTAAGACTACAACCAGAGGCTTTTAATTACACTGTGCTTGTCTGAAAATCCCTAAATTGCCTCCAGTAGTCACAGATACATTTTGAGGGATTTGTTATGCAGTAGTCACCATGCCTGGTGCCACATTAGGTTGCCACCATGGGCATAGCTGATAAAGTCAGCAATGGCCATCCATCCTAAAGATAGTGTGAAATGATCCAAGAGGCTGACAGTCTGTTTAACAGAAGCACTCTGTACTGGATAATGACTGATTAATTCAACCAAATTAATTGTCTTGTGAGAGTTTTAATTTGAGATGGAAAGAGGGGCTGGATCATACCCATGCAGATTAATAAAATTGTTATTAGGTCTTCAGACCTTCTCTCAAGAAAAAATGTAACTACTGTTACAATCTTAACAGCAGTGAATGACACTTCAGGTCTCCATGTGGGTTGGCTGTGCTGTTACTGAGAATTTTTCCTGTCCTTAGGTACATGTCTTAACCAAACTCATACTTCTCCAATCTATCTTCTAATTTTCTGCTAGATTAATTTTTCTTAAATTAAATGTTTTATCACTCACAGGACAAAATACACACTCTTTCTATATTTTAAAGAAAAGGAACCTCAGATTATTGTGACCCTTAAAGAATTTCCTGAACAACATACAGATTATAATGTGATGTTATTTATAAAATATCTCTAGTTTATAAACTTGAAAATCAACATGCAATTCTATCAGGCTGAAAAATCTATTATAGACTTTAGTACAAAGTGGATTGTTTTTTAATTTTCCCCGTTAGGTAAGATCATGTACTCAAGTAATACATTATTGTAAAGGATCATGCACTGGTTACACTTCAATTTGAGCTCACAATAAATTTATTTTTAACATAAATAAACATTAAGAATTTAAATTTAAATGTATTGTAGATGATAAATTTGTACAGAACAGTCAAAAGTAAGATATGGTACTGACAGAAAAAAGAAAAGTAAATATTGTTCTTTGATTGTAAAGCTACCAGGCCTGACCAAAACTTCATCCCTTTTTCAGTACATGTAAACAGCATTCCTTTTAGAAGTATCTGTGATTGACTAAACTGGCATGAAAACTATTATGTTACTGCATATACATATGTGTGTGTGTGTGTGTGTGTGTGTGTGTGTGTCTGTATGCAGAAACTTTAAACAAATACTAGCACTTGTAAGTTGACATTCTCTTACAGTTTTGTAGGACTTTATGAATGATTCATGATTTTGTGCCCACATATTTTTTATTATTAATATAACTTGATTATTTAATTATTATGTTACCTATTACTTTGACAATAAAAACAAAATAGGCCCATTTAGAGAAATGTCTTTTATGAAAATTTGAAATGGGTCATTGGATTCTTATTTACAGTGGTGTCATTTAAACTTACGTTTCAATCTTTTTAATTAAAAAGAAAGCAGCCCTATCTGCTATATGACAAATCAAGACAGTTATCAGCTTTGTATTTATTCTATCTCTATTTGATGCTAAAGGTAATGTGTTACTGACTCAAGTATCCCTTACAGTATTTCCTAATTTTTCTTCTAAAAGTATTTCAACCTCCTTGGTTTAGTCCGAGCTTCTTATCAAGGTATTCTATCAAACTCTTCATAAGCAGGCAAAAGCCTTTCTTTCCAGGCACAACAATAAATCTTTTATTGCAACAAATTTTCTGGCACGATGCAAAATATAAAAATTCGATATTTCCACCTTTTTCCTTCTTTCTGAAAGTGCCTCTCTTCAGTTGTCAAAAATAATTTCAAAGTCTCATTTTTAATATTCAAATATCCCAATCTCTGTGGTGACTTCCCTGAATATTATCTAACACATTGCTTGCTTAGAGTTCCCATGCTGAGAATCATTAGCTATGGAGTCATCATGTTCAGTTGTGCAGTTTGTACACTGCACAAAAGTAGCGAAGGGCAAGAAAGATAACATAAATCCAACCTGTATTCCATTCGCCAAGCCTGTATCCTGGCATCGGCCTGAATCCTCCAGGGGAAAAAAGGGGGAGGATGAGGTCACCTCTTTTATATTTCAAAATACCATCAGTTTTCTAAACCATTTAGTGATAGGACTATTTCTGTTTGGAGGAAGAGCTTGTTCTAATTGATGCACTCAGAGAGTAGTTCCTTCTAATTCACACTCAGTTCTTAGACTAGCTGCAACCCTCACTAACTATAGTATCTCATAGTTACCTCTATATACAACATTTTTCTTGGGCAAATTGTGACATGAGGAAAAACTAGATACTTATTGAACTGTAAATAAATATTTACCCAGTAACTACCCTAGAATCTAGCACATAGAAGATTCTCAGTAAGTGGCAGGTATTCAATGCATTATTCCTCCAGAGGACAAAACTGGGGAGAAGCTTGTATCAAATTTGAGATCCAGAAATGAAACTCTACTATCAGCATTCTTAGCATATTTAGTTGGTTATGATTTAAAATTACTTATCATTATTTTCAAATTGATTATTATATCAATTCATATAAATGGCTAGGATGCCTTTGAATTCAGAAAATATCTACTCCAAAATAAAATTGATTTGTTTTAATTATATATACAGAATTCATGGGATAAAATTTCCTTATTAATTTCTTCACAGGGAGGACAAATGCCTCATTAATTTTAAACATATCAATCTAAGAACACATCAAATAGAATAATGACTGACATTATCAGAAACATAATACACTGCATACCAAAATCAAATTGCTTGTTATTCACCCAGAACAAATACACACCTTTATTTGTGCTTTGTAAGCCTCAAGAGGAGAAATTCAATTGGTATTTAAACTAAAATGGAGGCTGAGAGATAGGCTAGGAGATATTATGTGGTGAGACTACCATTCTATTATTAACAATAATACCTTAATGTGTCATAGTAATGTGTACTATATATGTAAGGATCTCTCTTGTAAAAATACTCTTTTATATTAGGAAATTGTTTAATACAGATATGTCTTTATATCTAACTCCTAGTTTGAGTCAATACCAATGTAAAATGCAGTTCATACACTACAGATGGATTCTGCTTTATCTGAAAATGTGTAACTGTTTTCCCACTGTTGGTTTCTGTGATTTTGTCTGTGTTAATGGGGTTTTAACCATGACTGCACTTACTTATTCATTTCAATACTCACGAATCTTGAGCACCAAGGGAAATGTTAGGACATTAGCAAACAGAACCCATGGGGAATTTTTATGTATAGGGAAATCCACATTCGAATATTTTTAAGACTGTTAGCTGCAGCTTTGTTTATTAGAGAGAAAGTAAAAGGAATTAATGATGCTGACATACATTTCACTTCCCCTACTTTTCCAAACAAAACTTATAAAAGTCACTATGTTTATTATACCTGGTTCAATCCAGGTGTAAAATACGTCTTTACTCCAAAATTAGTTCAGATTTTTAGGTTTGAAGAAGGGAATGCCTTTTTTTTTTTGCTTAAGTCCATTTATTTATTAAGCAAAATTACTTGGAATCTATTATAACTGATACTGTGTTGTGTGCAATAGCACAAAGATTATTCAGACACACCTTGTGCCTCTTACAGGACACAAAGCTGAGTAAAAATCAGCTTTAGAGTCCCTACTCTAAAGAGTTTACAGTCCAGTAGGGAAGACAGGCATATAAAAATAATTATCACAAATATTGTAAGCGGAGCAATCATAACATGCACAATATATTTCAGGACCTTGGAGAGCCTGGAAGCTTTAGGAAGGTCTTTCCAAGGAAAGTGGTGCTTGTGATTTCTCACTAACAGTTATACAAGTCAATGGGTGAGGAAGTAGCATGGAAGTCCATTTCATAGAATACGGCAATGAATTATCATTGGGGGAAAATGAGGCCAGAGAGGACACAGAGCTCACATCAGGAAGGGATCAGGTATTCAGCAGGTGACTGGCATGATCAATGTGTGAATGAATGGAGGGCAGACATGAAGGGGCACAAGACCAAAAGCAGAGAAACCAGTTGGAGGACTTGAGTAATTTGTTTAAGAGAGAGACAATGAGGGTCTGACCACGTTGGAGTGGTAAAGACAAAGAAGAGAACACATATGCAGGTCAATTATCTGGATGTTTTGGTTTATTGGAGTGAAAAAAAAGGAGGTGAGAAGATGGGAAAGGGAATAGATAATGAGAAAAATTGAACAGAAACTCAGTTATAGAAATGTCAATAGCTGACTATTTTAAACAATCTAGTCTGTTTAAAATAGTTTAAAATAGCTGTGCCTTACTCCCTCTGGGTGAATTATCCATTACAAACTGTGGACACTCGCTTTTGCCCTGTGACTTGTTTTAGCCAATGAAATGGGAACAGAAGTGAAATGGCCACTTCTAAGAAGAAATTTTAAGAAAAATTGCAAGGTTCTTCTGGGTTCTATTTTACCTCAAATATAATAAGATCAACAATGTCTCAGATAGGGGCTATTCCTTTAGCCAATGTTTCACATGAGGGCTCTGACTGAAGACAATGTATGGAGCACAGTCTTGCAGCAGAGCTGCTGCTGGCCCAAAATGCACATGTAGCATAAGAAAGAAAGAACCATTTGTGGTCATAAACCGTTGCCATTTGTGGGATGTTTATTTTTAAGCATCTTTTGTCTCATTAATTCAACAGCTAACCTAATATTAGTCTAAGAATAGGTAACTGCCTAAATAACTTATTGAGGTGTAAATGAGGTGAATTTGATGGGAGCTTCGAGTACATAAGTGGTGATAAAAGGAGCCAAATTGTAAATCATCATGAGACATATACAAAGTATAGTAGCTAATTTAACTCAAGTAACTGCAATAATTTTTTTTTTTTTTTTTTGCCTTGAATCCAAAGAGTAAGCTTAGGATCCAAAAAGAAAGGGTTTTATTTTCCGTTATAGCACTGGAGTTTAATGAGCAGCAGCAAAGTGGCTAAAGGACAGCAAAAACCTACAGTAGGTCTTCTGAGAAATGTTGAACTGTCTTAAAGAAGATTCTGCAACTTGGATAAAGGCAGAACACAAAGCCCAGGTGGATACCCATTAATGGTGAAAATATGCTTAAGTAATTTCATTTCAAGAGGCTGCACCTGCAATCCACTGAACATTTACATATATACATATATCCGAATATTCCCCAAAATACAACTAAAGATACTCTGGCATTTTTAAACTGCCAAATGGCAGAAGCTACATTGCAGTAAATGAAATGAGAGGTGTCCATAGAGAATGAATAAATGTAAAAATCATTGAATATACACTTGACCCTTGAAAACCAAAGGTTTGAACTGTGCAGGTCTATTTATATGTGGATTTTTTTTTCAACCTAACATGCATGGAAAATGAAATATTCATGGGATATGAAGCTAGCATATTTAGAAGGCTGACTTTTTCTATAGGTGGTTCCACAGGACAGAATTCTGTGGGATTTTAGTATGCGGGGAATTTGGTGATTAAGGGGTGGTCTTGGAATCAATCTGCCATGTGTACTCAGGGATTGTATCCTTTCAAGGACAGTTTCCACTTCTTTCTGCTTCATACTTCTGTGTAGTAGCAATAAACATTTATCCAAGATAGAATGGAGACTTTTTTGATATTTGAAAATTAATAAAATATATGTTACCTATACCTTTGCTTAGGAGGCTACCTGAAGATGGTGCTTTAAAAAAAAGAATTAAGTTTGCAACGAACATATGCATGCATGCATCTTTATAATAGAAAGATTTATATTCTTTTGGGTATATACCCAGTAATGGGATTGCTGGGTTGAATGGTATTTCTGTGTTAGGTCTTTGAGGAATCACCACACTGTCTTACACAATGGTTGAACTAATTTACACTTCCACCAACAATGTATAAGTGTTCCTTTTCCTCCACAGCCTCGTCAGCACCTATTATTTTTTGACTTTTTAAAAATAGCTATTCTGACAGGTGTGAGATGGTATCTCATTATGGTTTTGATTTGCCTTTCTCTAATCATCAGTGATGTTGAGCTTTTTTTCATATGATTGTTGGCTGCATGTATTTCCTCTTTTGCAAAGTGTCTATTGCACCATTATTCACAAAAGCAAAGACATGGAATCAACTTAAATACCCATTAATGATAGACTGGATAAAGAAAATGTGGTACACATACACCATGGAAAACTATGCAGCTATAAAAAAATGAAATCATTTCCTTTGCAGGAACATGGGTGGAGCCAGAGGCCATTATCCTTAGCAAACTAATGCAGGAACAACAACAAAAAATACTGCATACTCTCACTTGTAAGTGGGAGCAAAATAATGAGAACACATGGACACATAGAGGACAACAACAGATACACCCTATTAGAGGGTGGAAGGTGGGAGGAGAGAGTGGATCAGGAAAAATAACTAATGGGTACTAGACTTAATACCTGGGTGATGAAATAATCTATACAACAAACTCCCATGACACAAGTTCATCTATGTAACAAACCTGCACATGCGCCTTTGAACCTAAAATAAAAGTTAAAAAAAAAAAAAGAACTGGACTGAAAATGAGGAAGATGTGGAAGCCAGAAGAAAACAAAAATTAAAAACTATCCAGTAAAGCAGTGAGGGAAATGAATAGGAGCTATGTGACAGTACTATAGTGTTGGTTGTAGCAGAAGGGACTGAGAGCTTGGGAGGAAAGGGTTCTGGTTAGGATTTCTAACTTAGTAGAGAGATGTAAGAAAAATCACAGTATAGAATAAACACAAATAGGGTAAGGAAAAATAAAGGCAATTAAAATTAAGAAAAATACAAATAAGGAATTAAATTCATGATACATTACCTGGTTCTGCAAGCAAATAATATTTACATAGCAACAAAATATTAACATAGCTTACTTATTTTCTTTTTATAATTTTGAGAATTTAAAACATATATAGAAGTACAAATATAACAAACACACATTGCTGCACCACAAATTTTGCCGTATCTATCTCCAAGTGTTCTATTGTATGAAAAAAATTTTATGGAAGAAATTGAAATACTCATTGATCCTTATATTGCCTTTCCTCATTTTGAGAAACTGCTACTACCATAAATCTATGTATCTTTTGAAAGTTTATAGTTTATATAAATATTTGTTTATAGATTTTTAAAACTGTTACATACACATACTTATTCTTTACCAATGCAAGCTTTTCACCTTTAATGCTGTGTGTGTGCCTGTGTATGCATTTGAGTGAAAAGTCTTGCATTCTACAAGATGGCAGTCTGTGCAAATACCACTCCAAAAAAATAGGGCTTATGGGGAAAACAGACCTGGGAGAAACAACTGAAAATCCATACAACTTTATAATCAGAGCACCAACAAAAGCAATAATTTTAATTTAAAAAATTAGCTCAATTAAAAATATTCCCAGTTATTACTTTAAAATAAAAAGTAGCTTGATAAAAGAGGATGCAAGAGAAGTTTGAGGCTGCTGAGTTAAGAGAGACAAGGGCAAAATGAAAAAAAATGAACAAAGATTAGAAAATACTGCACCATCAGCTTTGCAAAGACAGAACAGGTGGCCAAATTAGGCCAAGAGAAGACCACAGAGAGGAAGAATATCAGAAAAAAGTACTACACTATATTGATTTCTATGTAGTTGGCTCTGGCTGTATTAGTAGACTTCGAATCAGCCACTGTCAAATGCTGGCACAAAATGTCAACATGTTGGGGGAAGCAGCACTAATGAATTGCTGCAACATACTGTTTTCTTAGTCACCAGTTATATATGTGCTAATTGGCATGACAAGAAACATGAATTGCAGCTGAACATACTACATACAGTATTATTATGTCTGTATGTCATTTGCATAAAAACATCACACTGCAAAATAACCACCACTCACTTCACTTACCTTTTTTGCTCAACAATATGTTCTTGAGATTTATTCACAGTCATAGATATATAGTTAATTCATTCCTTTCAACTACTGAGTATTATCCATTCATCTGAATTGTTCTGACAGTCTCTATTTTAATATGTGAATTTAAACTTCTGCATTTATAATTATAAATATATTTCTAATTATTTACAATAATTTGGCCTTTATTACACTCTTTCTGATCCCTTTTTTTAATTTTCCTGGATGTACATGATTTTGTTTTAACGGTTTAGTAATATGTATATAGTTTCTATTCTTTCATATTTGCTCCACTCTCTTCATGGTTTATAAATAATGTCTAAAATTAATCATTGCTCATCCCCTACCAGCAAAAGATAAGGAACCTTAACATAATGGAACTTTTCCTTAATCTCCTCTACACATTATTTCATTTTATTCTTATCTAGAATTTTCTATTCTAATCTAAATTTGTTCATATTACTACTGCATTTACTCTCACAGTAAGTAAATATTTAGGTTTGACATTTATTCTATTATTTTATTTGCAGGCTGTTGTTTTATGCTTTTTACCAAAATCATGTAGCTTTTTTTCAGGGATGGTCTATGGAAGTAAACTCCTACAGCCTTTGTATATCTTTATTTTACTGTCACTTCTGAATAATGATTTAATTGGGAATATAATTCTAGGTTGAGAGTCATTTTCCTTCAGCTCTTTCTTTTCATGTATGTATTTCTGTGGATGAGAAGCCTTCTGTCAACTTAATCTTCCTTCCTTTATAAGTTATCTTCATATTTACTTATTTCTTTTAAGATTTTCTTATCATTGATGTTACACAATTTCTTTCACTGTGTGTAAATTTATTATTTATCCTATTCAGATCTCAGTAAACATTTTCAATCTAGAGTTAAACATTTGTTTCTGGAAACAAGAAATTATTTCTTCAATTATTTATTTTCCCTCATCCTAAAAAGTACTTTTGAAAAATGCCTAGTAAGCATACATTTATCAGTCTCTTTTCTGATCTTAACTTCTCTTTCATATGTTGCATTTCTTTGTACTGTTTCTGTATGGTTTGCTTTGTTATACAATTAAATATACCATTTCTCTTTAAATAAGTGTAGTTTACCATTCATCTCTTATATTGGTCACCCTCTTGTCCTGTAAGCAAAGAGTATATTTTTTATTTCCCAGACTTATTTAATTTCCTTCACCCATCTGCAGACCCTTGTTTGGTAACTTTCTGTTATTGTTGCAGGGACATTTTATCTCTTTAAGAACTACATACATATTAATTCTAATGTCTTTTAAATATAGTTTCACCCTGCAACCTTTAATTATCATGTCTAGTTTCTATGCAGACTTTTGCATTATATATATATACACATAGACATACATATATATGTGTATATATACACAGACATACATATATGTGTGTGTATATATACACATACACATACATATATGTGTGTGTATATATACACATACACATACATATGTGTGTGTATATGTACACATACACATACATATATGTGTGTGTATATATACACACACACATACATATATATGTGTGTGTATATATATATACCTTTCATTTTGTCAGCAAGCTCAACATATTTGAGGCTTTATCATGAAAGTGTTTTCTGGTATGCAGTTTCCATTTGCCTGGGTCCATCTCTCCAGGTGGAACCAGTAATCATACATTGGTTGGTAATTCTGTGCCAGCATTGGCCAAGTTTCCCGTTCTAAATGGCTGCCTCTCTTTCTTCCTCAACTCTTGGGAGGTTGTGAGAACCTCCAGCCCTATTTCTTTTTTGACCAAGCTTTGAGTTTTTTTTCTCCTTATTCTTGAACTTAGTCTCTTCTTCTGATGGGCCATATGGTCACTTCTTATTTAAAATGGTATTTTTTTCTCTTTTTCTGGCTTGTTGAGATGATTCTCTTGGTTTTATGCACACCTGTGCATTTTGAACTGATATGTGCTTGTGTACGTATGTATGAGTATAAACATCTTTTTATGCATTCACAAGAGAGAGAGGGAGGATTAAGTTTCTTTTCACTCTGCTATCTTAAGAAAAAACTATAGTTAATTGATTTCTAACTTTTAATTTAGAAACCCCAACTTCTGGCACTTTCTACAAACCTCATTATTCTTTCTTTTGTTCACTCATTCCCCACTTAAAAAACAAAAGTCCTGAAGTTGAGAACATTGTTTACTGATGTCTACCTACCTTGTAAGAAAAAGTACTTAAACACACTTAGGTTCTCAAAAGCTGTGCCAAATGAAGAAATATATAAATTAAATCACCATAAACAAATTATGGTTATAAAGAATAATGTAAATGTCATCCACCCTGGCATTATAAAAGTATAAATCCAGAGACTGGGAAGAAAGGAGAGTCAAACAATAAGGAAAATAGCAGATGCATTAGTATCCTCATCATATAAATCAAGGATCAAAGCTGCTGGCTACAGTTAAAGGAGAGGGAAAATCACAAGTATAGTCCTTCATGTTGACAATTAATCAACAGAGGAAAAATTTTATATCATGGTATAGTGGTGGCATTAGGAGGATAGTAGATATTTCCCAAGTCAGCTAAGTTGTCTTCTATTATAATAAGAAGTTAATATATAAAAATCAAGAAAGTATATTATTAATAGAAATGGAGACAGCAACCTGAAGAAACAGTTCAAAGAAACTATTGCTTAGACTATAGCTCACAGTGCTTCAGGTGAATGCAACTAGTAATTGGAAGTAGTGAGACTATGGACTAACGCTTTCATTGTAAGCCCTTCGAAATACTTGATTCATTTTTAATATGTGCATATTTTATTTTGATAAAAATAAAGCAATGTTGTTAGATATAAGGATGGAGCAGGAGAGACTGTGGAAGAAAAACAAAATGAAAAAATAAAAGGAAGAAAGAGTCTGGAGTATCTGGTTTTGTATTCCTTTTTGTTTTGATTTTCATGGTTGATATTCATTTAAAAACCTGAACATTTTTATTTGTGATATGCAGGGTTAAGCAGCCTAATGATCATGAGGAAAACATCAACCAAGCAAGTATAGAAGTAAGCATCGTTTGCTCTTATAAGAAGGAGAGAAAATTCATGGAACGATTAAACAGTTAAAAAGCACAAAGAACACCATTATATTTTGTACATTAGTAGGCCAACAACAAAACAGTAATATTGATTCTTTCCCAACAGAAACCAAAGATCAATCTCTTGCCCTAGAATAAATAGATTTATTTCCAACAGAAAGTAAGAATTAATTCTTGCATACAACATTTTCTTGACGGGTAAACTATCCTTTATTTTCCTCAAGTCTCATGATCAATGGCTATAAATTTACTAAACGCAGAGGCAGAAGAAGTTTACTAAAAGCAGCTTTGAAGACGAAGAGAGATAACAAGCCTGTGAAGACTGCTCCTCTGACTCCCATACATCACACTAGAGAAGGAAACGTTGTGGTGACAACAGTCAACTAGAAGATGAACACTAAGGCCTGGTGATTCATCATCATCATCAATCCATTGGAAAAGTCTGTTCTGGAACTCTCTGGCTGTATTTGTTCTGATTCATCTAAATACCGAGGTGGTAGGTATTCACTGTAATCATCTTCAAAATTGATTTCATTATTGAAAGCTTTAGCAGTATCGTGAATATTTAATGACACTAGAGAAAAAAATAGGCTTTAAAATATATCTCAAAATTGCCAATGAAAATGCTCAGATTGCAAACAACAGTTTCTAAGGTGAAAAGTGTTATTGAATAAATGCAGAGACAGCTGTTTTCGGAAAATGACATTTTCGCCATTCCCGAGTGAGACATGTTCTTACACATCACAATATTAATAGTCACGTTGTGTTACTTGATTTAGTGCAACATAATACAGTGTGACTAATGCAGGCCGATGGTACAGATTCATGTAAGAGGAAAATCCATCACCTAGGAAATGTGGAACAAAGATTCACTTTTCTGAAAACAAAGGTTAAATAAATCAAAGTTTTCTGAAGAAGGAAAAGTCATGCAAAAGAGAGTTTTATTCCAAAACTCATTTCAATCACCTTTGCAGTGATCCCTGGATACATTAGAGAAGGGAATAGGCATCAAACATGAAAGCCTTTAAGCTGTTTGAACTAAGCTGTACTTAGTGCTTCTACAATATTTTCCTCTGTAGTACCGATCTTCTAAAGCAATAGCTCCTTCACCAATCTTACCATGCATTGCCCAGATGACTGCTACACATGCCCAGCTGACAAAGTGTAGTGTCCTTTCTCCATCAGCATCTCTAAAAATATACTAGGCTATTGAGGAGATAACACAAAACCACTTTTAAAGTCCACCTTTTACGGCCTACTAAAGAGATAGAAATATGGAGGGAAAAAGGGTCACTACAAGCCTATGGTTGCTTTTTGGTTATGTTTATTTATCTGTATTCTTTCCTTGTCAAGAATATATATGCATCCTTTTCTATCTAATAATATGCATTGGACAGGTAACAATATACAAAAATTGGACCTCTCAGTAAATATTTTGAAACAGGAAGGATTTTTATTTTACTTCTCAGGAAGCTGCATTAAGAAATGTAAGAGGAAAATGTCCTGCATGGGTATTTGGACTTTACTATCAGCACCAAAGTCGTTATATTCTAACAAAATGAGGTCATTTTAATATCGTCACTTCAGGTATTGCTCAATGAATGTCTTCTTTATTTCCTTTATCTCAACGCTGCAATATTGCCAATTAACTCAGAGAATATTTTAAGTCCAAATGCTAAGTGTTAGAAGCTTTTAAAATTTTTTCCTAATTAGACTATATGCCCTTAAGCTTATTTTTCACAATTATTGAGCATTTACTTTTTTGCTTATTACTTTATACATATTATGCTATTTGACGCAGCAAGACTGAAAGATGTGTACTATTATTTCAGTTTTCCATATGAAGAGGTCTGGTAGAGTTGGTATTTTAGTACAAATTTGTCTGGCTTCAAAAATACACTTTTGCATCACCTACAATAGAGTGCTTCCAACATTAGAAATATTCAATAAATAGTCATAGACTTTAAAAGTTGAAAGCGACTAAGGTCTTCATTTACTTCAATGCCCAAACAAGCTACAAAACATCTATATAACATTTTGACAACTGGTGATCCAGGCACAGTGGAGGATTTCATTGTCAGAATCTTATTTATTCAAGGTTATCTGTACTACTTACTGGTGGGCAATTCTAACCAACAGAAAGTTCTTCAAACTAAACAGAATTAAGCCTCCCCAGACAATGTCTAATGACATTTGCAAGTTAAGTTCAATGCAGTCACTGAGAGTAAACTAATTTATTTATATATATATATATATATTTATTTATTTATTTATTTATTTATTTTTGAGAAGGAGTCTCACTCTGTCACCCAGACTAGAGTGCAGTGGCACGATCTCAGCTCACTGCAACCTCCACCTCCCGGGTTCAAGTGATTCTCCTGCCTCAGCGAGCCAGGTAGCTGGAATTACAGGTGCACACCACCACGACTGGCTAATTTTTGTATTTTTAATAGAAATAGGGTTTCGCCATGTTGGCCAGGCTCATCTCGATCTCCTGACCTCAAGTGATCTGCCTGCCTCGGCCTCCCAAAGTGCTGGGATTACAGGTGAGAACCACCGCACCCAGCCAGATAGTAAATTAATTTAAACAAGCACTGCCTGTGCTAGATAGATTGTTACACTGGCAGCTTCTAATGAACCACAGCTCCCAGTATTCACGTTCTTGTATAGTCTCCTCTCACACAAAATCTCAGCTTGGTCATGTTACTTGATTTAGCCAAAGGATTAGTGACAAGCATGATGCAACTGGAGGGTTAGCAAATTGAGGCTTATTCTCTTGGAAGCCAGGGGCCATGGTGTAAAGAACCTGAGCTCGTCACTGAATGAAGAGAGGTCATGTAGCAAGACACCTTGGAGGATAAGAGGTAGTCTTGGACACTGTAGCCTTAGCCAAACTCCCAGCTGATTGCAGCCTTATGAGCGATCACAGCTGTATCATGAGAAATAATTTGTTTTCATTTGTCACTACTAAGTTTGAAGATGGTTTTTTACACAGCAATAGATAATTGGTACACTGCCTTTAAAGGCTCTTACATCTATTAAAGGAGAGATATCTGCAAGTAACTAAAACACACATACATGAAAGAACAAAAACATATATATTATGACAATAAAATTAGCTTTGCCTTTATCAAGGCATCTATCCCAACTTCTGTCATGAGAAGATTTTCAGATCTTTTGACTCCCTTAGATGGTGTACCCAGAGTGTGTTATTGTATCAGTTGCATATATAAGTGGTTCATTTAATAAAATGATCTTGTTAAAGAGAATGTTGATGCTAATAAGAGTATCTATCACTTCTTGAATACTTATTAGGTACCAGGCAGATTTATTTAAATTCCTTTAATAGCTTCCTATCCATGTACTATTATTTTGTCTAGATTTTAGTTCCAAAAACTGGGGCACAGAGTTATTTTGTGAGTTTGCACAAGATTATATAGCTATGATTGGCAACCACAAATTCAAACCTAGGTACATCTGGCACTGAAATTTGTATCTTTATCCACTATATTCTCCACAGATCCACCTCAGGTAGTACTTTGAGGATACACAGTGAAGTAACCTCAAAACATATACATAAGTAAAATGAATTGTCCTCTGTGAGTTAAAATATGAAATCAATACCTAACGTATGATATAAAAAGTAAGCAAAGATATATTAAGGAGACAAGATGAATTTCAGGCTTGAGCAAAATATGGTTGATAATTAATGTCATTAAATACACCTAAGGACAGAGTGGAAGCGATTTAAAGAACAGACATATTTAGAAACTGAAAAAGAGGTGTCAAAGAAAAGCAGTGGCAGAGGTAATTTAGAAACTATTCCAGGGGAAGGTATCCTGACAGCTGTATGTTCAATTGATGTTGTAGGTATTTTTCCATGGGGAGATTGATTCATAAGGTGAAACAGAATGATTCAAATATTGATTTGATCCATTCAGCTAATTTTCTTTGTTCTTCAGACACCGTTCTGATTATAATTTGACTTTTCATGACCCATGGCAGATCTGTAATTTGGTGTCCCAGTTTCTGTACTTCAGTCTAATTAAATCTAAAACACTAAGATAACCTTGGCTGACTCCATCAAGGTGATATTGCGCTGTGGTCTCTGGGTATTCAGCCAGTCTTGCCATAGAAATTTGACCTCTTTAAATGTCAAATTTGTCTTTAAATTAAAAGGTATTAGTCTAGTCAGTGCTTGTCTCATCTATACCCACATTTGAGGAAATCTCTAGCCACTGCCCCTGTTGAATGAGCAGGGAACTACATACCCCTAGCCTTATTCCTTGCTGAATGAAATGAGGTTGCACAAATCACCTACATATAATAAAGTATGATATAGAGAGGAAGTGTCTGGGCTCTAACAGCTAGCTACCTCTGGGATTCAAATACGAGCTCTGCACAAAGTAGTTGTGAATTTTTTTTTTTCACTTTATTGCCATTTGCAGATACTGTGCTGTTTTGTTCTGGTTTTACAAATTGAATGTTTGTGGTGAACCTGCATCAAGCAAGTCCATTGGCATGATCTTCCCAGAAGTATGTGCTCACTTCGTGTTTCTGAGTTACATATTGGTAATCCTCATAATATTTAAAATGTTTTTATCATTATTATATTTGTTATGGTGATCTGTGATCAGTGGTCTTTTTTCATTTATGAATCATTTATCACATACTGTTTTCTCTTTTTTTAACTTTTATTTGAGGTTCAGGTATACATGTGCAGGTTTGTTATATAAATTGCCTGTTGCATGGTTTTGGTGTACAGATCATTTCATCATTCAGATAATAAGCATAGTATCAGATAAGTAGTTTTTCAGTCTTCAACCCCCTACCACCCTCCAACTTTAAGTAGACACTGGTGTCTGTTATTCCTTTCTTTGTGTCTATACATTCTCATTGTTTAGCTCCTACTTATAAATGAGGACAGGCAGTATTTGGTTTTCTGATCCTGTGTTAGTTTGCCTAGGATAATTGCCTCCAGCTCCATCCATGTTGCAGAAAGGGACATGATTTCATTATTTTTTAGGGCTGCGTAATATACCATGGTGTATATGTACCACAATTATTTTTTCCAGCCTACCATTAATTGGCATTTATGGCCTTTGCTGTTGTGAAGGGTGCTCAATGAACATGCATAGTCATGTGTCTTTATGGTAGAATGATTTATATTCCTTTAGGTGTATACCCAATAATGGGATTGCTGGGTAGAGTATTAATTGTTTTAAGTTCTTTGAGAAATCACCACAGTAATCTTGTGTGATCAGTGACTGAACTAATGACCAAGCTAATTTACATGCCCACAACGACTGAACTAAATTACATTCTCACCAGCAGTGTATAAGCACTCCCTTTTTTGCTGCAACCTCACCAGCATCTGTTGTTTTTGACTTTTTTAATAATAGCCATTCTGACTGGTGTGATATAGTATCTCATTGGGATTTTGATTTCCATTTCTTTAATAATTAGTGATATAGAGCATTTTTTCATACATGTTGGCCATGTATATGTCTTCTTTTGAAAACTGTCTGTTCTTCTCCTTTGCCCACTTTTTCATGGAGTTGTTTTTTTGTTCACTTATTAATTTGTTTAAGTTCCTCATAGATCCTGTATATTAGACCTTTGTTGGATGCATTCATTTGCAAACATTTTCTCCCATACTGTAGGGTGTCTGTTTACTCTGTTGATGGTTTCTTTTACTGTGCAGAATTTGTTAGTCCCATTTATCAATTTTTTGTTTTGTTGCAATTGTTTTTGGAGTCTTCATCATGAAATCTTTGCCAGGGCCTATGCCCAGAATGGTATTTCCTAGGTTATCTTACCAGTTTTTATAGTTCAAGGTTTTATATTTAAGTCTTACATCCATCTTGAATTGATTTTTGTATATGGTATAAGGAAGAGGTCCAGTTTCAATCTTCCGCATATTGCTAGCCAGTTATCCTAGCACCATATATTGAATAGGGAATTTTTCCCCATTGCTTGCTTTTGTTGACTTTGTCAAAGATCAGATGGTGGTAGATGTGTGGCTTTATTTCTGGACTCTTTATTCTTTTCTATTTTTCTATATGTCTGTTTGTATACCAGTACCATGCTGTTTTGGTTACTGTAGCCTTATAATACAATTTGAAGTCAGGAACGTGATACCTCCAGCTTTGTTCTTTTTGCTTAGGATTGCCTTGTCTATTTGGGCTCTTTTTGGCTCCACATGATTTTTAAGCAGTTTTATCTAATTTTGTGAAGAATGTCATTGGCAGTGCGATAGGAATAGCATTGAATCTATAAATTGCTTTGGACAGTACGGCCATTTTAACAATATTGTTTCTTCCAATCCATGAGCATGAAATGTTTTTTCATTTGTCATTCTGATTTCTGTGAGCAGTGTTTTGTAATTTGTTATAGAGATCTTTCACCTCCCTGGTTAGCTGTATTCCTAGGTGTTTCATCTTTCTGTGACTTATTTTAAATGGGATTGCATTATTGATTTGGCTCTCAGCTTGGAACTCATTGGTGTATAGGAATGCTACTGATTTTTGTACATTGGCTTTGTATCCTGAAACTTTGCTGAAGTTGTAAGTCATCAGATTCTCCAAGGTTGAAATGAAATTAAAAAATGTTAAAGGGAGCTAGAAAGAAGAGGCAGATCATGTACAAAGGTAACCCCATCGGGCTAACAGTGGACCTTTCAGCAGAAACCCTAAAAGGGGGGGGGTCTATATTCAGCATTCTTAAACAAAAGAAATTTCAGCCAAAATTTTCATATCCAGTTGTGAATTTTTTATTTTCTTTATTTATTTATTTATTTTGAGACAGTCTCACTCTGTTACCCAAGCTGAAGTGCAGTGGTATGATCTCAGCTCACTCCTGACCTCAAGTGATCTGCCCACCTCAGCCTTCCAAAGTGTGGGATTACAGGTATCAGCCACTGCTGCCAGCCCCAGTTGTGAATTTCTACAAGTCACTAAACCATGCCCTAGTTTTCATGTCTACAAAACAGAAGTAATAACAGAATGCCTAGCACAAAGAACTGTAAACTTTAAATGAGTCAATACACATAAAACATTTAGAATAGTGCATGGCAGGTACTAAGCACTCAATGTTAGTAGTGATTATAGTGATGATGATGATGACGTTGATAATGATGGTATCTGGTTCATCTTGCTCAAAAAGATGAACTGAGCTGTAAAGAATATGTCTTTTATCATTTACAAAAGAGACATAGAAAAGATCCACCAGTTTCTGATCTGAACTGTCAAGCTTACTGTTTCATGAGTAGAATGAGAAAGCAGACAAAGGTGGTCAAGGAGATGAAAATAAATCACACAAATAGAGACAAGCAAAACTGAAAGAAACCATGAAACTCCTGAAGCATGAATAAAGTATCCTTCATTCCAGATTTTCAGTTTTTGGTTAGTTCTAGTGCTTCTGACGTAAAACTTAATTTGTTTCTTGTTATTAGATGATTATGAAATTGCCACTTGTGTCCTTACTGTACACAATGCCCTTCTCCCCACAGCCATTTAGCTGGCTTTCTCATTCTTGCATCTGCAAAATGTACTTTTTGAAATGTGTATCATTGAATTTTTTTTAGCTACTCCAGTCTTTTCCATCCTGTTCTGCTTCTCTTGGCATTCATCATTTGAATCTGCCAAATCAGTAATGTGAACAGTGTTATAATTGGAAATATAAAATGATCTGAAATCCATAGGAAATTAGATTGAAGTGAATATAGGAAATACAATCACCTCCCAGACACAGAATGGATTTTTAAGGGCTCAGTAAGATATGCCCCAACCCCCACCAGGACCTAAACCAGAAGCATTTAATTGCTTAGGGTTATCATTTCATTAACACAAATTCTTGACATTCATATCCAACAGCTGATCCTCAGCTTTCTGTTTATTTCTCTCTTTTTGTCGGCTCCTGTCTGTTCTCTGCGTCTCCGTCTTATCTCCTTTGTTTTTGTTTTTCCTTAGCTTCCGTCAAAGCTATCACTTCTAAAGCACTGAATTTTAAGCTCCCTCCTCAAATCTCTAAGGAGTCTGTGCACACTTTCTGAAAAAAAAAATAAACTGTATATCATACAGCTTAGACTCTAATGGTTAAAATTTTATTAATGGGAGCAGATTGACGGTATATTGGCACTTTAATTAAAGAGGGTTATGGAATGGCATTTTAAATAGCAACGCCATTTTCTAAATTGACATAGCTCCATTATAAGGAAAAATTATTAAATTGAACCTCAAGTCAAACAGTTTCTCTTCCAGTAAGATAGGACATTTTAGTGTAAATTTTTAATCTGCTAACAAAATATTCACTACAAAATAAAAGGATTTTCCCTATTTTATTATTTTTGCCTCGAATCTTAATACTAGAGAGGCTCTAAAATTAGTTCCAGATACTTCAAAAAATAAATTCTAAGTGCTGCATGACTTAGAAGGAAGCAGAAATACATTTCTGGACAAATCTAGTGGAATAGCTACAAACTACATGTTTCTAAAAATAGTTGTTTCCATTTCTCTTGACAGATACATCATACCTTTCCTATGATCTCTCTTGCATCTTAGAAAGGAGCCTCGGGTCATTGAATCTTAGCACTAGAGAAAATTGCTTGAGATTTACTTAGAGTCAAACGATTTGGTCTGGTAAAGTTAGACCCACAGTGCTGGCCTTTAGTTAACAATCTGAGGCATTTTTCAACCATACCTTGCATTATTTGCAAATCAGCTCCAATATCTTATACTACTCATACAAAGTTCTTGACTCAAAAATCTTAGGATGTGGAAGTTTCATTATGATTTTGGCAAGGACATTATGCTATTTTTAAGATAATGAAAAAATCCTCTCCTTTGTCATTTTTAAGATTGGTGTCCTAAAACAAATCTAGGAACATATTTTTTACAGAAAACTTTTGAATTTTGGGTTTATTGAAAAAAATAATTTTGTTTTGCTTGGTTTTCAAATTATAAAACAATTCAAATATGTATACAATAGTAGAGAATAACATAATACATATATGTTTACTAAATATCCAGCTGTATTAAGTTTTAAGACTTCAGTATCTGTACTTCAGCTTATTTTTAAGATAAAACGCAGAGGTGAACCTTCTGTGTATTACTCTGATCCATTTCTCTCTTTCTCTGAAGTAGCTACTATCATACTTCTCTCATTTATCATTTTCATGAATATTTTATTTGTTTACTGAATGTTCATGTATCTACAGGAAATATATAGTGCTTATATGGTAATAAATATAATAATCTAAACATAAGCATGTTGAAACTTTCTTGCAACTTGTTTTATCTTGTTGGTAAGTGTAGCTCTAGTTCATTTGTATAAAAGACTGTCATTTCCCATTTCACAAACATGTTGCTGTTTATTTCTTCTACTATTGATAAACATTCTGATTGTCCTCAATTTTTTTACAAATGACTCTATAATGAATGTTTTTATCACACCTCCTTCTGCATTTGTGTGGATTTCTCTGTGGTATGTACTTAGTAAAATAATATTTAGGTTATTTGGGGTGTTTTCTCTTCAAAATGGCTATACCAATTTTAGACTCTATGTATACTTAGAGTCCATCAGAATGTACAGAAATTCTCATTTGTCTACATCTTCAACTACACATGCTATTCCCAGGTTTGTAATTATTTGTGCAACTAACATACATATATAATAGTTTGTTTATTTTAATTTTGATTTCCCTGATTACAATAGAGGGAGAATTACTGCATTAGTTTCTCTATTATAATAACTTACCATGAACTTAGTGTCTTAAAACAACAATGCAACTTTGTTCCCTCACACTTATAGAGGTCAAAAGTCTAAAATGGGTTAGCTAGGCTGCATTCCTTCTGGAAACCAGGACAACTTTGCCTTTTCAGCTTCTAGAGTTTGCCTGCATCCCTTGGCTCACAACTCCTTCTCCACATTCCTCCAACCTCTGGCTTTCATCATCACATACCCAACTACTTTCTTATCCTCTGCATCCCTCTTATATGGGGGCCTAGTGATTACATCGTACCCACTCAGATGATCCCAGGTCATCTTCCCATTTCATTATTCACTTTTATAGAGTCCCTTCTACCATGTAAGATAGCAGTTACAGGTTCCAGGAATTGGACGCAAACAGCTTTGGAGGGGGCCTTTATTTAGCCTACCAGAAATAGGATTGACAATTTGGAATTTCCTCTAAAAGACTTCATATTTATATCAATATACCTATTCTTTGCCTAAGTTGTCTTTTGCCTAGGTGATTTGTGAAAGATTTTGTTTTTGAGGGAAAATTTTATGAATAGTGTCAATTATAGACACTAAAAATGTCTTCTATTCTGTGATATGTGTTTTTACTTTTGGTTTTGTGCAATTTTAAATTTTTTACTGTTTTTAATTTTTATTCTTTGTGGGTACATAGTAGATGCGTATGTTTATGGGGTAGATGAGATATTTTGGTATAACCATGCAATGCATAATAATCACAACCTGGAAAATTTGATATTCATCCCCTCAAACATTTTTCCTTGTGTTAAAAACAATCTCATTGTACTTGTTTAGTTATTTTAAAAAAATGTAGAATTAAATTATTAAATATAGTCACATCTTTGTGCTATGAAATACTAGGTCTTATTTATTCTATTTTATTTTTGTACTTATTAACCATCCACACCTCCCCCACCTCCCCTGTACTCCCCTTCCCTGCCTCTGGTAATCATCCTTCTACTCTCACTCTTCATGAATTCAACTGTTTTCTATACTCATAGAGATACCACCTTAATGGTCCTGGATAAGATCCAGAAGAATTCTTTGGATGACCAGACAGTGACACTTGTTATTTTATCTTACTTTCTCCCAAACAAACAGAGTCTCTCTCTCTGTGTGCTAAGCCACCTGGAACTGAGGATGTGGTGATGCAAGCACCCCTGAGGCTGCCACGACTGGCACTGTGCTAGGTCAGACCTGAAGCTAGCACAACAGTAAGCCTTGTCCAAGGCCCTTCCCTTCAGGGCGGCAAGCTCCCCCAGACCCTGGGAGTGTCCAGAGATGCTGTCTGGGACCCAGAGACTGCAGTAAAAAACATGAACAATTTACCTGATGTTCTATTCTAGTGTGGCTAACCTGGCACTCAAACCACAATACAAAGTCCTTTCTGCTCTTCCCTCCACTTCCTATAGGCAGAAAAGCCTCTTCCTGTGGCCCCCACCACCTCCAGTCCACAGTGAATTCTACCAGACCACCACCAACGTTCACATAAAGCCCGCGGACTCTTCCATCAGATTTTGGTGAATGCTGCCAAAACTGGGACTGACCCTTCAGGGCATTGGGCTGCTATTTGGCCCAGGGAAGGTCTGGAAATTTACCTAAGAGACCGGGCCTGGACTCAGGGACCCCAAAAGCCTGCTAATTTCTCTACCCTACTGTGGTCAAGCTGGTACCAAAGGTGCAAGAAAAAGTCCCCTTTACTTTTCCTTCCACTTTTCTCCAACAGAAAGAGTCTTTGACCATACCCAGCACAACTGGGATTGTGCTGGGTCACCCTAAACCCAGCAGATGTAAGAGCCCAAGGCCCACAGTGTACTCCCTGGGAATTGCTGCTGGTTTTTCAGGGCCAAAGCGCTCTTCAGTCAGCAGGTGATGACTCCTGTTAGAACTGGTTCCTTCCCTTCAAGGCAGTGGGCCAGGATGTATGTAGAAATGTGTAGTCTGGAAGCTAGGGCCTCACCAATCTGCCTGGTGCCCTATACTACTGTGGCTGAGCTGACATCCAAGATGTAAGACAAAGTTCTCTTTACTCTTTGCTCTCCTCTTTTTAAGCAGTGGGAAGGAGTCACTTTCATTTCTGTGAGCTGCACTGCCTTGGGTTGTGGGAGGGATGGCACAAGCACTCCCTTAGCTATCCCCAGCTGGTAACTTCCTAGGTCACATGCCACCCTAGTCAACTGGCTCTGAGCCCAGCCCAACACTAGGAGTTGCCTAGGAATTGCAGGTTTTGTGTCCTACACTGGCTTTCAAGTTTACTTTGGACCCCAGAGCTCTTTAGCCCATAGTGGCAAGGCTTGCCAAGAAATCAAGTTCTGACTGCTGGGACTGGCAATTCCTCTCTGACTAGAGCTCGTGTTACTGCTTCCTCCATGTGTGGATGCTGACTGAGCCCAGGACAGCATTATTCTCCTCTGTGACCAGGGAAGCACTGAGTTCAATATAAAGACCCCCAGAAGCTGGGCCCTGCCTCCCCAAAATGCACAGATTCTCTTTCTGTGCTGCACAGCTGCTGCCAGGGTATGGGGGAGGGGTGGCATCAGTAATTCAAAACTGTCTCTCCTGCCCTCCTCAATGCCTCTTTTAAGGATATGAAGTTAAAACAAGATGCTGTGGTTGCTCACTTGGTTTTTGGCTCTAGTGATAGTGTCTCTCTTTGTGCAGATATTGTTAAAATTTGATGTTCCAGTTGGGTAGATAAATGGTGTAGGCTTCTATTCTACCACCTTGCTTTGCCCTCCCCCGCAGTTTTTAATTTTATTCACTACCCCCTAGTTATTAATTTTATAGTCACCTTCTCCTTAAGAGTATGTTCCTTTCTTATTTTTAAAAATTAGTCACACCCCTTTAAAGGTTTTAATGTTCTAGTTTCACATTTGTATTCATCCGTTCTCATGCCGCTAATAAAGGCATACCCAAGACTGGGTAATTTATGAAGAAAAGGAGGTTTAATGGACTTAGTTCCACTTGGCTGGGGAGGCCTCACAATCATGGCAGAAGGTGAAGGAGGAGCAAAGCCTTACATGGTGACAGACAAGAGAGCATGTGCAGGAGAACTCTCCTTTATAAAACCATCAGATCTTGTAAGACTTATTTACTATCACGAGAACAACATGGGAAAGACCCACCCTTATGATTCAATTACCTCCCACCGGGTCCCTCCCATGACACGTGAGAATTATAGGAGTTACAATTCAAGATGAGATTTAGGTGGGGACACAGCCAAACCATATCAACATTTAAGTCTTTACTGTTCCTAAATTAATTTTTCTGTATAATATGAATGAGAGTAATTTTTTTCCATTTGAATAAATTGTTCCAGCATTATTTATGGAATAATCCAGTCTTACACAGATAACAATGCTGCTTGATTTACATATATTCATAAAATTCCATACTGTTCCCAATGGTCTGTTTGTCTTTTCCTGCATTGAGAATACAGTATCTTAATCATTGCAGCTTTAAACTCATTCTTGACCTCCAGTAGAACAACTCCTTCCACCTCATTATTCAAAATTGTGCTGACTCTTCTTGGTTCTTTCTTCACTCTTTCATATAAAGTTAGATGTCAGCTTCCTGGTTCCTTAAAAATTCCTGTTGGATTTTATTTTATTTATTTATTTATTTATTTATTTTTTTTGAGACAGAGTCTTGCTCTGTCACCAGGCTGAAGTGCAGTGGCGTGATCTCAGCTCACTGCAACCTCCGCCTCCCAGGTTCAAGCAATTCCCCTGCCTCAGCCTCCCAAGTAGCTGGGATTACAGGCACACACCACCACGCCTGGCTAATTTTTAGTATTTTAGTAGAGACAGGGTTTCACCATGTCGGCCAAGATGGTCTCGATCTCCTGACCTCGTGATCCACCCGCCTCGGCCTCCCAAAGTGCTGCGATTACAGGCGTGAGCCACAGTGCCCGGCCTCTGTTGGAATTTTAACTGGGATTGCATTGAATTTATAGACAATTTTGAGGAAGTATCAACATCACTCTGTTATTGTAACTTAATTCATGAACACTCTCTCTACATATACATACACACACTGGTTGTTTTTTTCTTTTTATATTTTCAATGTTTTATAATTTTCTCCAGAATGATTTTGCTGCTTTTGTTTGTTTGTTTGTTTGAGACAGAGTCTCAAACCGCTCTGTCGCCCAGGTTGGAGTGCAGTGGTGTGATCTCTGCTCACTGCAGGCTTCACCTCCCGGGTTGACGCAATTCTCCTGCCTCAGCCTCCCGAGTAGCTGGCACTACAGGCGCCTGCCACCATGCCCGGCTAATTTTTTGTATTTTCAGTAGAGATGGGGTTTCACCGTGTTAGCCAGGATAGTCTCAATCTCCTGACCTCATGATCCACCCACCTCGGCCTCCCAAAGTGCTGGGATTACAGGCTGCCCCTCTTTAATTAAAAATAAGAGGTAACATTGTTTTTGTTCCATTGAGACTGGAATTTTTATTTTCTGTTTACTTTTTCTTATTATTATTGGTGCCTGAAAAACCCTTTTAATAATTTGTCCATAGATGCTATTTTAAGTTCTACATAGATAAGCATGTCTTCAAATAGTTATTGTTTTCTTTCCAATTCTTACCTCTCATATCTTTTCTTGACTCTACTAAGGACTTCATAGTTTTTAACTGTAAGCACAATCTCATCATCTTCCTGACTCTAAGGAAACCTCTAAAATTTAATAATCGATTGGTATTGTTTGCCAAGTTCCCTTTTTCTTTTTTATTTATTTTTTGTTCTTTTTTATTTTTCTAGTTCCCTTTTTCTTTTTTTTTTTTTTTTTCAGAAAACTAACTTTAAGATTTATTTTTCTAACTTTTTTTCAAGAGGGAAAACAACACACTCCTTGGGGAAAGGTGAGGGGTTGAAAAGACAGGCCCTGGGTAAAAATTCTTATGCCAGCACCTGGAGTTGACAGGCCTGCCTAGGAGAGAACACAGGCACTGCCACACCACCACAGGGAACAGCTGCTGTCTGGGGTCAGCAGACCAGTTCACACGCCACACAAGGTTGCTATAGATCCAAGTCATAAAAATCTTCCAGCTCCTCATGAAACAAGTCGCTCTCATCTTCAGAGTCTGTTAGTTCATCGTCCCCAACTGCAGCCAAAAGCATAAGCAACAACTCACCCAGCTCAAAGGTGACAACCTCTTCTTCATCGTTGTCAAAGGGGCTGCTGTTCTCTCTTTCCTCAATGAGTTCCCAGAAGTGGTTCCTTCATTGGGCCGGGTATCTGCTTGATGTTCCCACCTTCTGTCTCTGTGGCTCCTCTCTACGGCCATCAGGGTACACATGCTTATAAAAACCGTTCCCTCCAAACGGGCAGCTCCCATGTCCTTCATCAAAATACCTGCACGCCTTGTTGCTCATTGCCTCCTTGTATTTCAGAATGAGTTTCTGCTTCTCTTCTTTCTCCTCCACACAGTACTCACTTGGAACGACAAAGTTAGATGTGATCCGACATTCTGGGCAGGACTTTATGATCTTGCTCTCAAACTGCTTAGCACTCCTCCACTTGCGAATGCACTTAAGACAGTAGGTGTGGTTGCAGTTGGAGAGGATCCCGAAGCGGTGCTGTCTGGGGTTGGCTTTCTCATAGATCATCTCCATGCAGCTCTCACACACCATTTCCTCGCTGCGCTGCACAGCAAATGAGAGCTCCCTGTCTTTCTCATGGGCCTCAAAGCATGATTTTATATGCTGTGATCTCTGGGCAGCATCCATCAGATGCAGGACCTGCAGCCACACATGTCACACGAATCTCCATATACACACAAGTTCTCCCGATATCGGCACTCTCCCACTGCAGCATAGGGGCACAGCTGCTTCTTTGTTTCCACGGCAGTTTGCTCTTTCTCTGATTCTTCCTTGGTCACTGAGCCCTGCAGGGGTGCTTCAGTGCAGGAAGGCGCAGTGCGGCCACAGTAGGGTTGCCCAGGAACAAACTCAACAGCATTCACCCAGCCCTCTGAACCTGCTCCTACAGTTACAAAGTTTGAATTTCTTGACTCAGCTTCACCCGTATTCATTTCAACAAGTGGTCCGACTATCCATGAGAGACTTGAGGAAGCAGCAAGGGATGACTTTGTAGTTAGCTCTGTAGCAGTTGCTTCTTTCTGTTTCAATGGCTTGCTATGTTCATATCTGCAGCAGTCTCCATAAATACAGTACCCTGGCTGCAAACTCTTGTACACTACATTATACGGACTGTCAGAGAGGTCATGCAACTTGCAACAGTTATCTCCTTCCTTATAAACCCCATGCATAAAATACCTGCAGGTGACCTGTTTAGTCCAGCTGCCGCCGCTGCCATCGCTGCCGCGGCCCCCTCGCCTGCCCCCTGGGGACAGAATGGTGACTGTGGGGATCCTGGTAGGGGAGGCCGCTGCTGCCGCCGCCGCCGCTGCCGCCACTGCCGCCCCTGATGTTGTGGCTGTTGGTCTGAGAGCTGCAGCCTCCGCCATTACTGTTTATCCCACACAGAAAAGGCCCCGGAACTTCCGGGATCACATAGTTCCGGTCCAGCTGCTGGGAGAGGACTGAGAGGCCCGGCGAAGGGAGGGGTAGGACACTGAGGCACCCGCTCAGTCCCTGCCTGCTCCACGTCTAGTTCCCCTTTGCTAAGTGCAAGTTTGCTAAAGGTTTTTATCCTGTATGGTAAACTTCATCAAATGCGTTTTCTGCATCCATCAAGATGTTTATTTCCTAATCTTCTTCAACCTATTAATGTAACATCTTTAACTATAACCCATCCATAAATTCCTAAGATAAACACCTACATAGTATGATCTATGTAGTATATTTCCTTTGAAAACTGCTGAATTCATTTGCCAATATTTTCTACAGAAATCATAGGAGAATTTAGTCTATAGTATTTTTTTCTGATCTGTATTTTATATGAAGATCACATTTGTCTACATTCTCTATTTTTAAAATATTTTTATATAAGATCAGGATTATCTGTTCTTAGAATGACTGGTAGAAAATATTTTGTAACACGGGTTCGTATTAAGATAGCTAGGAAGGATAGATGGATGATAGGCTTGAGCAGAGGGATTTTGATTAATAATTCATTTCTTCAATGTTTGATGATTTATTGACATTTCATGTATTCTTGAATCAATTTTTGTAATATTTTTCTACAAAATATCAATTTTACCTAGGTTTTCAAATGTTCGTACTATTCTCATTCTTTTTTAACCTGTACTATATCTGTAATTATATCCCTCTTCTTTGTGCTTCACAGTTTTATACCTCAATCTTTTTAATGGCTTATTAAAAATTTTTTTGTTTAGTTTTCCTTTTTATAGACTGCTTTTATAGAACAGTTTTTGTTCCTGTTTAACCCTATATTTCTGTTTTTTTTTGTTTTGCTAATCTCTACTCTCACTTTTATTGTTTCCTTTAAGCTACTTTCCTTAGGCTTATTCTATTGCTTTTCCCCAGCTTCTTAAATTGCATGTGTAACATATATCTTCACTCTTTCATGTCTTTTCTTTGCTGGAACTCATACATTTTGGCATATAGCAATTACCTTTAAGTTCAGTTCTAAATACTTTTAAATTTTCATTGAGATGTAAACAAAAAGCTGCTAAGAAGTGCAGTTTGTCCCCAAACATATAGTTTTGTTTGTTGTAAAATCGCATTTCATCAATAAATCCTGATTTCACTTTTTTTCTGATGAGAGTATGTGGAGAGTTATTTAAACATGTTTTACAAACTAATATGTAGTCAATTTTTGTAACTGTTGCATAGTACTTGGGAAGATATTTTTTACATGTGTTAGGTATATGTTCTAATAACTAACTGATATGGTTAGGCTTTGTGCCCCTACCCAAATCTCATCTTGAATTGTAATCCCATAATCCCCATAATACCCATGCGCGTGTCTAGGGAGAGACCAGGTGGAGGTAACTGAATCATGGAAGGCAGTTTCCCCCATGCTGTTCTCATGATATGAGTTCTCACAGATCTGATGGTTTTATAAGGGGCTCTTACCCTTTCGCATGGCACTTCTCCTTCCTGCTTCTTTGTGAAGAAGGTGCTTGCTTCCTCTTTGCCTTCCATGGCGATTGTAAGTTTCCTGAGGCCTCCCCAGCCTTGCTGAACTGTGAGTCAATTAAACCTCTTTCCTTTATAAATTACACAGTCTCAAGCAATTCTTTATAGCATATGAAAACAGACTAAAACACTAACTCATAGTTGTATTTTGCTAATTTGGCAACTAAAGTATTCTAGTCTTGCAACAGCTTTTCTTTCTTGTTTCATCAAATGGTTTTTGATAAATTTGTACTAAAACCTCTCCTTTTTCTTCTTTTAATTTTACATCTTTTCTGAGTGGCTACTGAGAATTTTATAAATTTTTATAACAAGGTATCTAATAATATTAAATATCTCTTTCTCCTAAATATCATAAAGGTTTTAGTAAACTTTACCCAATCAAATACAACCATTATTTTATGGTTTAAGTTTTATTTTTACTCTTTTTAAGCATAAAATGGTGTATTGTTGTTCATTTAAATTTAAGTAACATACTTCATCATTTTGGGTGATTGTGTTATTACTTTATTACATACCTTGCCTCTGAGTTTTCTTTTCCCATGCTGATGCTAAAATAATCCTTAAACATTCTGTGAAGGTCTAGAGATGGTATACTCTTTTAATATTTACAAGTCTGAAAAGTAACTTTATTTCACCTTCACTCTCAAATAATAATTTAGCTGGGCATATTATTAAGGGGTGATCGCCATTTTTCCTAAACATATTGACTATATATCTTCACTCTTTTTTCAGTCTTATACTGTCCCTGCTGAGAAATTTGATAAATTTTTTACTCCCATACAGGTAATCTGTCACTTTGCTCTCATAGCTTTTAAAATTCTAGAAGGTTACCTTTCCTTTCCCCCACGTGTCTACCATCAACTATAAAAATCAACTATAAAGGGAATTTTGATGGAGGGAAACAGACTACAAGATTCAAACTTTTATACTTGTATTTAATAATAAGATCCAACCTGAGTCAAAACATCCCAATTTACTTAATAAATAATTATGGAGTATTATATTTGCCAGACAAGCAGCTAGGTATAGGATATACTATGTCTGACATGGTTTATCAAGATACATGGAGGCAGAGGCATAGGCACACAGCAATTACATTTTATGGTCCTGAATGGCAAGGTTAGCATACACCATTCGTTTCTTTAATATTGTTTTGTTGAATAATTCTTATCTTCAATTTAAACATTTTTGACTTATTTATATTATGTGATAAGGTTTACCACGAAAGCTCTGACTTAATTTGGCCTAAGAAAAAATTGATGTATGTATGAATAAATCCAAGAGTCCCTGTAACTTATTTATTTATTTTGCAGCTTTATTAAGGTATAATTGACAAATACTATTATAAATATCTATGATATACAACATGATGTTTTGATATGTGTATACACTTTGAAATGATTACCATAATCTTGCTAAACTAACATATCCATCACCTCACATAGTTATCTTTGTTTGTGTGTGTGTGTGTGTGTGTGTGTGTATGTGGTGAAAACATTTAAGATACACTCTTAGCAAATTTCAAGTGTCTAATACACTATTATTAACTATAGTCACCATATTGTACATTAGATCTCTAGAATTTATTCATCCTATCTAACTAATCTTAACTAATTTTGAAACAAAATGTCCCCGTTTCTTCAACTCCCTTGCCCCTGACAACCAACATTCCACTCTGCTTCTATGCTTCCCCACATGTAAGTAAGATCATGCAGTATTTGCCTTTCTTGCCTGGCTTGTTTTACTTAGCATTATGTCCTCTAGAATCACCCACCTTGTCACAAATGTCGGGATTTTTTTCTCTTTTAAGGTTGAATATTATTCCATTATTCATATGTATCACCTTTTCTTTATCTACTTGTTAATGAACACTTAGGTCGTTTCCATATCTTGGCTATTCTTAATAGTGCTGCCATAAACATGGGAGTACAGATATCTCTTTGATGTACAGATTTTATTCCCTTCTGGTATATATACAGTAGTGAAATTGCTGGATTATAGATATGATAGTTCTATTTTTAACATTTTTTTAGAAACCTCCATACTATTTTCTATAATAGCTATAAAAATTAACATTCCTAACAACAATGTACAAGGATTTCTATTTTTTTATATTCTGACCACATATGCTTTTGTCTGTCTTTTTGATAATAGTAATTCTAGCAGATGTGAGGTAAAATCTCATTATGGTTTTTTATTTTCATTTCCCTTATGATTAGTGATATTGAATGTTTTTTCATATACCTGTTGGCCATTTGTATGTCTTCTTTTGAGAAATGTCCAATCAGATTCTTTCTCCAGTTTTTAATTAGATTATTTTTTCTTCTTATTGAGTTGATTGAGTTTCTTATATACCTACTTATTAACCTGTCATCAGATTACAGTTTACAACATGGTTCTTCTTAAATTCTGTAGGTTGTTTCTTTATTCTCTCAATTGCTTCCTTTGTTGTCCAGAAGCTTTTTAGTTTGAGGCAATCTCATTTGTTTATTTTTGCTTTTGTTGTCTGTGCTTTGGGGATTATATTAAAAAATTATGGCACAGACCAATGTCAAGAGGCTTTTTCTTATATTTAAGTCTTTAATCAAATAGCATGGTGCTGACATTTAAAACACACACACATATAGACCAACTAAACAGATTAGAGACCCCAGAAATAAATCCATCTATTTATGATCGATTGATTTTCATTAAAAATGTCAAGAACACACAACAGGGAAAGGACAGTCTCTTCAATAAACTGTGTTGGGAAAACTGGATATCCACATGCAGAAGAATAAAATTGGACCTTTATCTCAAACTACACACAAAAATCAACACAAAATGGATTAAAAACTTAAACATAAGATGTGAAATGTAAGATTCAAAAACTACTAGAGGAAAGTATGCAGCCCGGATCTACTGGGGCAAGCCTGGATCCTAAATTCACTAGAATATGAGGCCTTGGGGGCTGGCCTGGTACCAGGGTTCACTGGGGCAGGTCTGGTGCTGGAGTCCACAGCAAAGTTAGGTGCTCACTTTAATCTTCTTTTCCCACACAAAGGGTATCTCTCTCTCTCTGTCTCCATGCTATACTGCCTGGGCTTAGGGGAGAGGTGACATACATAATGTGATACTATCTTTCCTAATCTCTTAATGCGTCTTATTTCTGTGCTCCATCCAGGTGCTGTAATAGCTCACCTGGATTTCTTAGTTCATGTGAAGGTATTTTTGTGCACAGATAGTTATTCAAATTGATGTTTCTATGAGGGGGCGAGTGCTGGAAGTTCTATCCACCATCTTGCTGACGTCTCCTATGAGGTGATTTTTTTTTTTAAAAAAAAAAAGCTCTCAAACAAACCAGCATTTTCTCTAAAATCATTCTGACTGATTATATTAAACACAGTTTAAGGTGAAGGCCCAGCCCATGAGCCACAGACACATAGAACTGCTCTCATATCTATGGAGCTGGGACCATAGAGCCAAATGATGCTGATGTAGCTCCAATTATCTTAGCCTCAGCTGTGTGTACTTAAGGAGGACATTTGACACAAATGAGGCAAATGAGGTTCTTATCTCCAAATGTGAATTCTAGTCCTAAACACTGCTTATCTCCTACTGCCAATTCTAACTGAAAGCATGTAAACTTGACACCTATGAAGAGGTCACATTTTTCCTTTATACAGAAAAGCAGAGAAAATTGGCCTATAGACACACAGAGAATCAAACATAGGAGATCATACAGCCTCTGAAAGAAAGCCCCAGAAGAAAATACTTGCCTTAGTTACTCTAGGACTTCCAGTAAATTGTCCCAGTCCCTCATCAGGTCAACAAACCATCTTGCCTTTCAGGTTGTGACAGAGCTCTTTAAGATATTTATGTATTTTATGTAATGCAATTTAAGTAGATGTCTGCTATTGTCAATCTGAAGGGGCATAAATATATGCCCATTTAGTCTACATAATTTTTCATAATAAAGTTCATTGATATTATTGATTTCCTAACAGCGCTATAATGCCTTGAGTTTATTCTGTATTTAGAGAACTCCATGCAAATTTCCCAAAGTGCTATATGAAGACACATCACTGAAGAAATATCTTCTACTCTCAGGGACGTTACAGTCTAATAAGTGATTGAATTAAATATGAAGAAAAACAAAATATTTTAAGAAGTATGTAAACTTTTCTCTGTAAGCATCAGCATTCCTAGTGCTCATATTTTCCTAAAAAATTTATTTGCCCAAATTAAATTAAAGATTCTAGCCAACTTAATACATTATTTGTGAGAGCTTTTTTGATGAAGAAGAAAATAAGATACATTTTTGTTAATTCAAAATAATGTCTCCTTTACTCTGAACATCATACTTCTGTCAAAAGCTATTTATTTATATGTACCCTCTTAGTTAGCAATAAGAATAATACCATGAGTAAATTACTTGGCAGACGAAGACTTTGAGACCCAGTAAGGTTAGGTGGGTCTCTAAAATAGGAGACCAAGTATAAAAAAGAAGACTTAAAATATTTTCAAGAAGTCCTTGAGATAATTTTTTCTTCTCTATATTTAAATAATAAAATGAATCACAACACAGAATATGTGGTATCTATTACATAATGTTTCCTCTTTTAAAAGTATGTATATTTTACTAAAACCTCGTGATTTATGACTGCAATAGTATATCAAAATTCACCTAGCAAGGAAGCTTCTAGAAATCACATAGAAGAGTTGCCAAAGCTTAAGCTTAATTTTTAATTTTCAATTTTAAGTTATTTTTGAAAAGTGTAAGTAGGAAAACATGTAAGTTTTTAAAAGCCATAGAATTCCTAAAATGATTAAATAGTATTAGGCCAGCCATTGGCAATAACCAAAGGCAAAGAAAGAGGTATGCTAATAGATTCATAAAGCAAACAGTAAAGTCAAAACATTTTATGAATCAGTATCTCTAGTCTCTACTAAGGAAGTATCAAAGAGTTAGGCTGGCAAAGAAATACAGAGAACAAGTAGATTTCCTAGAAATCTGGAAGCCTAAGACTTGGACAAGAAGAAGCAGGTCAGCCTGAAGGGGATCTTGAAAACAAGAAAAGGCTCCAGCAAAAAGAGAGAGAAACAAAGCAAAGAGCCAGAAGAATAAAAATGGACAGAAGCTGATAGAGCAGGTTTTGCATGAAGCATCTTTTCTCTGCTTATTAGGATCTTCCGAAGAAAAGAGCAAATGGCTTTCAGGCAAAGCTTGAGAAGCCAAAGGTTATTAATTCTCTGCTTTATAAGCTATACTCTCATCCTTTTCTTCAAAGGCCTAACATCTGTGTCACTTTTTTTAAATCTAAAGACTCTACAAATTCTGCAAAGGTGTCCAAACCAACTCATTAAGGATGAAATTATTTTGTGTGAGTAGAACTTCACTGTAGACTATCAAAGTAATGTGAAGGCAAGTGAAAAAAGTGTATACCTAGTGGCTTTTCTTTTTTTCCCATACTGGGGTGAGGAAACTTTTTTCAAATCCACAACCAACTGTGATCTAGCAGCTAATATTTGGTTTACGGTATGGTGGGAGAGATCCATTTTATAGACATTACTGTCTACTATAGGGAATACAGGATTATTTTTCTTCTTAGAAATGTCAGTTTCTCAGCTTCTTGAGGCTGCTTTGAATTCCCTTAGCTTCTGCAGTGATACTGGTGTTGTTTATTCTTCCTTAACAGGGAGGGAAAAGGGCAAGGACACACAATGGTCCCCAAGAGTCCTTGTAATTGTGTCTGCAAACAAAGACCAGTTTGCTCAGTTTCCTCACCTGGGTACCCTCCCACCAGGTCAGCTAGGAGTTAAACTAACTCCAAGCATTGTCCCTCCATATTGCCTTTACCAAAGTCAGACGGTCAGGGACTTGAGATCTCATGAGAATTGCTTCCTCAGATCACTGATATTGACATTAAATAACATATTTGCTCTTTTGAAAAGGGGGAATTTTTTATATTTCTTATTACCATCTGAAGATCTATTCCTAATCTTATACTTGAAAAGGATGTTTATTGTGCCAATTAGTCAGACAAGTTGTGAAGCTAAACATTTACCTTTGGTAATACATGACCTTCTTAAACTGGATTCCATGAGAAAATTAGCTCAGTTGGAGATTATTTGATTGGCTATTTTCTCAGTTTTCCAGTTTCACATACCACCATACCACATGCATAGGAGAAAAGAGAGTTCATGACATATAATAAGTGCATTGGGGCAATAGGGTTTAATTCTCCCACAGAATCCCTTTGGAGAAAGCCTGCATAAAGCCTCAATGTTCACATGATTTTCAAGAACTGTGAAGGACAGGAGATTTTATCCTACTTGCAAGCTAACAAATTCATTTGCCACAGTCATTTAGATGCTGGTATAAGACATGAGACTCCTGGATCAGAGGCATAGGACTTTACTACTCACAGCACAGCACAGCAGGCAGCATTGGTTTCATGTTTACATTGTGATCCTTCGCCCTGTAAGTTTCATGGGGATAATGGGGAGTAGTTCAAATGGGTGTACACGTTCTCTAGGTTCATGTAACTGCTAAAGAACCCTATGGTTCAAAACCCCTAATTTTTGAAAGGGTCTGCTAGCATATCTGCCCAATCTTTTACCCAGAGAAAAATATTGTCTTTACTATCTTGGCTAGGGAAAAATTCAGCCTTCTACTCCAGAGGGAGACAGTATCTCTGTCTTCTGAAGCTATTTGCTATATCAATCTCCTTGCAAAAAAAAAATAGTTCAGAGCAAAAGTCTTCAAGGCATCTTCACAAGACATGCAGAAACTCAAGCAACCCATGGAGAATTGTTGCCCAACAATGATCACCCTCTCAAAATCAAAGGTGTTTCAGTCCCATGGGTATGCTTCCCCCATTCTCTGATAAAAAAAAAAAGCTATATAAAAAGGAGTAACTATGAGTGAATATCAGTCATGGCAAACAGTCACTGTGCAGAAATTGTCTCTTAACTTGAAATAACTGAGAAACAAATTAATCTTGGTAAATCACATAGCAGACATATTCAGGTTGGATATAGATAGTGCACACTCTAAACTATGTGTATTTTTTTAACCTCTTACCAAGAACAGCCACCATACTACATGAATAAATGAGACATGAGATAGCCTTCGTAAGGCTACAGTGTTTAATTTCTTGATTTGGGAGCCTATGACACAGGATTGCAGCTGTGCTAGTCATCAAGCGTCTGAGAATTGTACACAGTTTTGGCAGCCTCTGCAGGCCAGCAGTGAAAGAAATCAAGTAAAATCTCTTGTTCCTAAAGGACCCCTGGCACAAAACTTGTCAGTTACACTGGGAGTCCTCAGAGAGAAATTTATTACAATTTCAGTTTCTGCCATAAAATTTTCTTTGTGGTATTTTCCTTTTTTGGTTAATGAGTGAGATGTCTGAGAGAATTCTGAAGCCTCGGCCATATGTCCCATAGTACAGTGGAAGACACAGGAGTTGACCCTCATCGCTAAAAGAATAAACAAATAAAACTAACACAAAAACTAACATATGAATATAGTCCTTGTATTGAACCCCCAAAAAATTTTTTTTAAAGACTTGAATTAAATCAATCAAAACTGATGAATGAAATTCTCTCATTATAACTTTGTTAACAAATCCATTTAAATGGCAAAAAGCAAACCTCAAATATGTACATATTCGAGAAATATATTTGTTGCTAACAGGCTGAACTACCTCACATATTCTCTTTAGAAAATGACAACATAGAGTCATTAAAAGTATCTCTAGTTAAAAATTAATGTACCTCCTCCAAGCTCCTGATATTGGCTATAATTAAATATCACATAGAAAAACAGCAGTTACTGCCCTTGTGAATCTATTAGTTTGAATCATTTTTTCATTCAGTATAAAATTTAATTGCCAAAATCAAGTTAAAATAACTCAAAGGGAGTATTAAGTTGATTCAGCCAACTCTTTTAAAATAAATATAATTCTATTTCTCTAATATTTAGGATTATCTTTATCATTTTAAAATTACTTCCCTCTTAGAGTTACTGTTTTGCTATCAGAAACATATATAGGTAGATAAAATCCAAAGATAAGTTGTTTTATGTTTACATAAATATATTATTGATAAATTTGTCAAATCTATAATTAAGTCATACCATTCAAATAGTATCAGGAAACAGTTAAGAACTAGAAAATAAATGAAAATGCTATACAGGCAGGTCATATATATCTGACCTAATCTATGCAATAAACCATACATAGCCATACATATGAGCACACACTCATTTTGGTTTATACACACTTCTAACAAATTTAAATATGTGGTTCTCAGGATTGCAAAAAGATGGAAAGATCAAAATAGTAATAGGGAAAATCATATTGCAATGCAGACAAGTGAAAATGAAATAAAATAGGCCAACAAGCACGTGAAAATTTTCTCAACATAATTAGCATCACAGAGAATTACCACATGACCCAACAATCACAATCCTTGCTATATGCTGAAGATAAATGAAAATAGTCCACACGAAACGCTATAAATGAATATTCATGGCAGAATTCTTCATAATAATTGAAAAATGGGAAGAAGCCAAATGCCCCATCAAATGTTGAACAGGTAAATAAAATGGGTACATCAACACAATGGAATATTATTTGGCAATAAAAAGAAACAAAGTACTGATTCATAGTACAATGTGGAAAAACCTTGAAAACATTATGCTATGTGAAAGAATGATGTCATAAAAGCCTACATATTTCTTGATTCCATGTATATAAATGTCTACAACAGGCAAAGCTACAGAGACAGAAAGTGGATTAGTGGTTGCTAAGGAAGGACTAGGGTAGTTGGGAGTAATCCAACTGACTGTTAAAAGGTTAGTACTAAAGATTTTCTTTTGGGGGTGGATAAAGTTGTTTTAAAATTGATTGAGTGTGCTGGACATGGTGACTCGTGCCTTTAATTGCAGCTAGTCAGAAGGCTGAGACCAGAGACTGGCCTAAGCAACAGCAGAGTGAGACCCTATCTCCACACACACACACAAAAAAAAATTGACTGAGGTCATAGTTGTGCATCTTTGTGACTATACTAAGCATCATTGAATTGTACACTTTTTAAGTGGGTGAATTGTATAGTATGTGAATTTATCCCAACAAAGCTGTTGCAAAATAAATAAATAAAAATAGATTACATTACAAACAACAACAAAGGACACCATTAAACTCTCTCTGTCCTTTGTCTAATAGAGTTTCCAAAGGCAGAGCATTTCTTCTGTAATTGTATATTTCTGTTAAAGAAAATAATAATTATTCTTTGTAAAATATTTCTAGCATCCCTTGTACAATTAATGTGATTTTTAAAAACACCACCTTAATCTCTGTAAGTGAATTGAAAAAATCTACACATTTCAAATAAGATATTTATAAATATCTCCTAAATAAAACCATATATACTCTACTTCCCAAGAATGTATAATAGAGTACATTATTAATTATACTGTCCCTCTAGCAATAAAAAACAATGTAAAAAAAGAAAAATGTTTGATGATGGTATCATGCACATTTTTGTAGATTCCATTGTAACTACTTTATTTGCTTCTCTAGGCTCTTCACTGAAAAGAATGCCAAATGCCTCTGGAAGTAATAAAGAGACTGAACTAATCTAAAATTGTTTGAAACACTCAAGTCATTTGGAACCAATATATGTTGTCGTTATCCCATTCCAGTCTATCCTCATTCCTGTCCATCCTCAATTACCGTAAGTAAATGATACAGTGTTAGGAAAACTAGCCCTAGCAATTTCTGTAACACAGTGTGCTTAATATGGTTCCCCATAAGCTCTATCCTTTAAACATTTGTTAACTCAGCTTCCCTAAGTCTTTCTTTTAAGTGATTGAAATGGAGCAGTAGACACAGCTACTGTGTATTAAAATGCACAGTGAAGTATGATTCTTCTTTTACCAATGGTTTGCATTATTTAAGGATTAGAAGCATGGAAAAAATTTGCATATTTTAGAGAATATTAAGTAACGATACATGTTTCTGAATAGATTGTAGATATAGCTGTAGGAAATAGCAACCTAAACCTAATATACACACCTACACACACACACACTCACAGACAGTATGCTCATACACACACACACATACACCGGTTGAAAAGAAGTAAGAATCTCAAAGGATGGGACCACCCCTGAAAACAAACCAGGCTGTTGTTCCCCAGGCTGGAGCACTGAAAGAATCTATGAAGTTTTCAGCCTGAAATAGCTAATGGCACCTGCAAACAGCTTAGAGCCTGAAAACTATCAAGCAGTTGTCTGTGCTCTAAGGATAAGACTCTAAAAAGGAGAATCAAAATCATTTGCTCAGAGAACTTTTCTTTTCATCAGAAGAAAACGACATTAAACAAATAAATACACAATACACCATACAAAATCTCTTAATAGTATGAAGAAATAAAGCAAGGAAAGAGAATGGAGAACAATGAAATGTATGTGTGTGTGTGTGTGTGTGTGTGTGCATATACACACACACTAATGTATATAGGGTGCACAAGAAAGACTACCAGGAAAAGGCATTATCAAAGTAGAAATCTAATTAAAATTAGAGAGTGAGAAATGCAACACTACGGAGGAAAAAGATTGAAGGCAGTGAGGAGTGCAAGTATAGTCTTGTTTTTCCATAAAACATCGATTTTTAATTTTGTAATTAACGTGACATAGCAAAATAAGAATGTTTTTATTTCTAACTTAAATATTTTAGTCAAAGTTGCATCAGAAATCAAATATTTCTTTGACCTTTTCCAAGACTTATTAACTACCATTATAGTTGTTAGTATTATATAGTAACACATTGCTTAAAATACATTATAAACCTTTTTTCTTTCTCTTTATATATGACATATAAAATTATGAATTTTGTAACATGATTCATATTTGAAAACATTTTAAATGGCATGACAACTTTCACAGAAAATGCCACTGGAATCACATAAAACGTTCAAATGCTTGAAATGTTTCAAATTTTTTAAAGTGCCAAGCACAATGCTTGACACATATTAGGTACTGCACTTTGTTCACTCATTCTCTCATTTATTCATGTACTTATTCTAAGAAATTCAGGATTAAGGAGAAATTGTACCATAACAAGAATTACAAGCACAATCTTTTATCAACACTTTGGCATTTTGACAAAGACTTTGGCAATGGAGTGTGGAGAAGATGAGAGGCTGATGATCAAGATTTCAAACTGCTTGGCTAAATTCTACCAAGTAAAGCCCTGGTTAAATACTCATTGCATTTCTAAGTCCAAAGCCTTCATGGCAGAAACAAGATTTGATTTCTTATGTAGAAAGGAAGGGAATTGTCACCAGAATGAAATCAGCAACGGAGAAAGTAGCTGAAGGTGAAATTAGTGAAATATCAAAAAAAAAATGAAGCTATGATTAAGATTTTGTGCTAAGTATAATGACAGAAGAATTTTAACAGCTTTTAGAGGACAACTGATACAAACTGAGCTTCACTTTTAAAAGATTACCCTGGCAATTTTGTGGAGAATAGACTCTAAGACAAGAGTGGAAAAAGGTAGGTCAGTTAGATGATTATCTGGGCACACGAGAAGGATAGCTTGAATTAGGATTCGGAGGTAGGATTGGCAAGAACAATCAGGCTGGGTGTCTATTTTGTATACTGATTCAAAATCATTTATTGATGAATTAGAAGTGGGTAAATGAAATAAATAAGAAATTACACCTTTTCTTCCATGGCTGATTGAGTGAAGGAGGGTGCTGTATACTGAAAAGGAAAAAACAAAGAAGAATGCATTCAAAGAACAGAGTTAATCAATCGTTCTTATTAGCAGACATTCAAGTAACAATGTTGAATAGGCAATTGGATACATGTCTGGGATCCAGAGCAAATGTTAGGATTCAGGACAGTTTTACAGGACATCAGTTCATGGTTGATACCTTTGTTAGGGTATAATCTAAGCTTCTATTACAAAAAGATCTAAAAATATAATGACAGAAGTTAATTTCACTTTCATATAAACATCCAGTGGCAAGGGGCTACCCATGTAACTCTTGAAATTAGCATATGTCTAGTGAGGCTCACTTGATTTGATTCACCAATCCTAGGCAAAGCTGTTGCTATTTTAGAGAGAAGGAAGTTCCTTTCCTGATTTGACCCAGAGTACATCTCTTTGTCTTTGAACCATAACCACTTTTCACATAGTGAGTCCCATTATCAAATTAGGTATCCTGTTGTTACAGCACTTGTGTGTTCAAACTTATACACCTATACAGTGCCAGGCTCTGTGGTAGACTCTGAATATACAATAAATAAAAGAGATTTGGTGCTTGCTTTAGAGAGAATGAAATCTACAAGGGAGACAGAATAACATCAAAAAGTGATTCAGTCTACAGGATAAATGCAATGTTTAATAAAGATACCTAGGGGAGAAATGCCCTTAAGCTCAACTTTCAGGTTTCAGCTTATAGACCCCTACCTGCTGGCTTACAAAATCCTTTGTTTTCCAAATTAAGACCTTCCTATCTATCCTATATCTGGTATTTTCCTTAAGTTCTACATTTCATCATTGAATACCACCCCATTTGGTCCAAGTGAGTTTCTTTCTTTTTCTCAGAATAGATGAAAAATTATCATCTTGTATTGAAGCTTGAACACTTAAGAAGCAAAAGGGTTATATCATAAGAGGCTTACAATCTGTGTAGCAAGCAATGTCTGTAGACTGAATAAATATTGTATCTTGTCTACATTTGGGGCTGAATATCAGCTTCCATAATGACTTATTGGAATATTGTTTGCTAAACACTTTCGTTTTTTTTTTCTCTTTCCAACTTTTATTTTAGGTTCAGAGGGTAAATGTGCAGATTTGTTATGTAAGTAAATTGCATGTCACAGGGGTTTGATGTATAGAGAATTATGTTACCCAGGTAATGAACATAGTACCTGATTGGTAGTTTTTCAATCCTCACCCTCCTCTTACCCTGTACCCTCAAGTAGGCCCCAGTGTCTGCTGTTGCCATGTTTATGTCCATGACTACCCAATGTTTAGCTTCCACTTATAAGTGAGAACATCCTGTATTTGCTTCTCTGTTTCCGTGTTAGTTTGCTAAGGATAATGGCCTCTAGCTCCATCCATGTTGCTGCCAAGGAAATGATTTCATTCTTTTTTGTGGCTGCACAGTATTTCATGGTGTATATGTATCACATTTTCTTTATTCAGTCCACTGAATATTTTGAATATAACCCCTGCCTATACACAGTACTTACAAAATCTATATGAATGCAATTGTAATTGTCACATGGAAGACCATGTTAAAGCATTAATAAATTCACTATAGCTTTTTGATAGCATGTAGTTGTTCAACAAAAGGGTACAAAAATGGCAAGTATTAATTTTCCTGTTTATATTTGTGTTTCTTATAATCTAATTCTTCCCATGGCAGCCAAAGTAAATATATTAAAAATAAATCCAAATCATGCATTCCACTCAGAAAACTCAACTGACTTCCCATTTCATTTTATAACCTGCAAGTTCCCACAAGATTTCTTCTTTTTCCTGCATTCCTCATCTCCTTCTGTTCTTTCTCTTGTTCACATGATTCTAGTCATATTGGACATAATGCAGTTCCTCAAGCTAAGTAAGTTTCAGTCTCTTGCAATCACTGTTCTCTCTAGAATGTTCTTCTCAAAGATATTTAGCTATCTTTCTCCCTCACATTCTCATTACCTTCTCAAATGTACAAGAAAATACTGTTGGAATCTCATCTAGACCCCTTTGACAGACTGCAGCACCATCCTCAGCTGCTGTTGGTGTTGACTGAACAAAACTTACACCTGACCCTCATTTATCCAGACCATTGATCTCAGCCAAAAGAAGGTGCCTTCCCTCTAGGTCATGCCACACCACCTCAGCAAGCAACCAGCTGACACAGGCTACCAAAAGCCCAGAGGCTACTTCAAGAAGGGACGGATTCTGTAGTACTATTGCTGCTCCAGAATTTCCTGTGGTTTACCTGAAAGTCTCCAGCCAATCCCACGTTCTTGCTGATCTTCCACCCAGCTCTCTCCTGTTTGCCTCACTTCCCTTGTGCCCATAGTCCTTTTCCTCAAATAAACCTTTTGAATATGAATGTCCATCCTAGGCTGTACTTCTAGGAAACAGACCTAAGAGTTGCCTTCCTTAACCACCACACACCCAAGAACTCCCTGTCTCTCTTATCTTACTTTACTTTTTACATAGCACTGATTGCCATATTGCATAATATGTTTTTAAAATTTATTTTTGTTTATTCACTTTTTCTTTTGTAAATGCCACGTGGTCAGGGACTTTTTTTGTTTGCTATATTCCCAAGCCTACAAAAGGACTTACTTATTATAGTTAATAAATACACATTGCTGAATGTATGAATAAATGAAATGAGACAATGAATATATTTTATCATTACTTCAAGATGCCTTGGCCAGGCGCAGTGGCTCATGCCTGTAATCCCAGCAATTTGGGAGGCCAAAGTGGGTGGATCACTTGAGGTCAGGAATTCAAGACCAGGCTGGCCAACATGGCGAAACCCCCGTCTCTACTAAAACTATAAAAAATTAGCCAGGCATGGTGTAATCCCAGCTAGGCTGAGCTAGGAGAATCACTTGAACCCAGGAGCAGGAGGTTGAGGTGAACCAAGATCATGCCACTGCACTCCAGCCTGAGTGACTGAGTGAGACTCTGTCTCAAAAAAAAAAAACCCAAAAAACCAAAAGTGATGCCTTCTTCTTGAAAACACTGGGAACCAATGACCTGAATTAATTTCATCTACAGTAGAGAATGACTCTGTTTGGAACCACCATGTGTTCTATGTTCTTTCAAACTACATCAACACTGGAATGCTGTGAGAATTGGTTCATTAGCATGTCCTTCACAAGCCTTCCAGACTTTAAACTCAAAGTCTTTATCTTGCTGTATTTTCATAGTCAAATTTCCCTCTGGATCTCTTAATTAGCCTACGTTTCTTAAATAAAAATTTATTTTTTCAATCAGTACTATTTTAAACTCAAATCTTAAAAGCTCATACTGAAAACAACTAACTGAAAATGTATATATTTTTACAATGAAAGCTATTAAATAAGGAATGCATTACAACTATAGAAGGGCCAGTGTGCACATTACTCATATTTAGTCAGAGACAATTCCTAGAAGGAGTCTAGAGAAGTTTCTGAAAATTGATTTTAAAATAAGGTAATAGTTTATTTTATTACACAGAAATTATTTGGCTGTAAAGCCAGCAAAGAAAAGGAACAGAGCCTACATCAGAGCTTTTACATGAAGGAAATACTGAAATTGGATACGACACATCAAAAATATTTAAATATGAAACTACAGAGACTCTGGCTGAGTTGCAGCCTCTCCAGTTCACATGCTCTCTAACAGAACTCAGTCTTGATGAGTGTTTGCAGAAAATTGTCTTCATTGTCAACCACACTCCACAAAATGATGGCTAATTTGACTTTTACAGATTTAAAAATTTGGAAAGCATTTGAGATTGCCTGCCAACTCCACAGAACTCTTTTCATTAATCAGTAAATAAAGTTTTATTTAATTTTTTCACAAAGAGAACTTTGTGGTCATGAACGCCTGCTGTCTGCTCCATTAAAAATAAAGAAGTCTTCTAAAGAGACTCTCTCAAACATATTCAAATACAGGACTTGGGAAGATATTTCATTCTAATTTAGGAGTACATAATTAATGTATTTCTTTGCAGCTAGCGTTTAATGTCATTGCTTTTATGGCTTATGATGTAGTTTGTTTCTTTTTATTTAACAGAAAGGTCAATGTGACTAATAATTAGAACTATGACTGAGAGAAGAAGACTGTAATTAGACTATTTTTCAGTGAATAATAAAGTGTCAGAAAAAAAGAAAGTGAAACCTTTGTGTCAGCAAAACTGGTTTACATAAGGACAGGAAAAGTGATTCTTTTATATAGATGCACACTTACGTGACCTTCCCATAATCTAACTTATTGATAATTTAATAATTATAAATATACATAAAGAGCATGGTCTAGATATTCAAAATAAAGCAATGGTTCTCAACCAAGAGTGATTTTGCCCATAAGAGATTTGGCCATTTCTGGAAACATTTTTGCTTGTTATGACTGGAGGAGTGCCACTAACTTTTAGAGGGTAAAGTCCAGGAAAGCTGCCAAACATCTTACAATACCCAGGCAGTGCCTCACAACAAAGAATTATCCAGTTGCAATGTCAATAGTGCCGATTTTGAGAAACTCAAAAGTTATAAAACCTTTTGATTTTGAAATTAATGAGTAAGCTTTGAAGTAGTCCAGAGTAATTGGAGCTCTGTGCTGAAATGTCTATCTATTGACATTATATTGTGAGATGCATTTTGTAACCATTGTAGATTAAATGGGAAAAAAAATGAAGGGTGCTATACTACTTATAACTGAGCATTCTGAGACAGTACTGAGATTCAGTACACTTAGATCTCATGTAAATGCCTATTGGGGCTATTCATTTATTGGGTAAGAGGCAGGTTAGAAGCACTCTACCGCAAACTCACTATGTAGCGAGTTTTAGGGGAATAAATAGTTTTGAAGATCTTCATATCTTCATTGATCCAGTGACATAGTCAGTGAGCAAATATTTGTTGAGGGCTTACTCTATGCTGGATACTGTTCATGCTTTGGCCAACATGGTTAACATGATCTCTGCATAGAATTCCCTTTTCTAATACTGGTTTCCTTTAGGAAAATGTTAGTTCTTTCATTCAAAGTTATTGTTTTTGTTTCTTTTGCATTCCTGTAACTATTTTCTGCAAATATTTGGGGCAAATTCAGGGTCATTGTATAAAAATTAAAAACTGATTTAGAGAAGGCTTACTTTTCACTTTTCTGGTTTCCAACACACCAGAAAGGCTGGAAAGCATTTATGCTGACCACCAGATATTTTCTTCCTCTGGAGAGCTCCTGGCTCAAAGACAGGCCAATGTCCCTATTACAGGCTGAATTGTGTCTACCCTATTCCCAAATTTATATGTGGAAGTCCTAATGTCAGAATGTGTACCTCAAAATGTGACTGCATTTGAAGATGGGGTCTTTGAAGAGGCAATTAAGCTTAAATGAGCTCATTGGGCATAGATTCCAATCCAATATTACTGCTGTCCTTATAAGAAGAGGAGATTAAACCACAGAAGCAGGCACAGAGGGAAGACTATGTGAGGACACACGGAGAAGGTGGCCATTTACAAGCAAAAGAAAGAGGGCTATAAAGAAATAATATTGCTGTGCCCTTGATCTCAGACTCTTAGCTTCCAGAATTGTGAGAAAATGACTTACTATTGATTAAGCTACCCAGTCTCTGGTACTGTATTATGGTAGCCTTACAAATAAATAACATTGGATGGGTACTGGATAAGCAGGTACTATGAAATTTTCTGCACTTCCCCCAGCTGAAAGTGTAAGCCTGGACAAGTTATCTAAATTATGTGAATCTCAGATGCTCTATCTGTAAAATGACAGTTAACTCAGTGATTTCATTACTTCTGAAGCTAAATTGCCACATTTTTAAGAAAAAAACAAATAATTAAAAATATTCTTTTACCACGTTTCAAACTTGTTTTTAATATCAAAAAAATGTAAATACATAGTCAAACCTCACCTTTTAGAAGTCAGTAATATCAAAAAATGTAGAGCAAATGACTTGAGGTTAATTACTTTTATAAGCTAACATAGTGGAAGATCTTTGAAAGTTTTACCAGTTTTAGAAGCCAATCATTTATACAGCAAATTATTAAAAATATTATTTTTACTAAGAAACATTGCCTCTGAAAATGTTACATGACCAATGAAAGAGTTGAAATTTCATAAATACTTTGTCAGATAGATTGACATAACTTGATTAAAACACGAAAATCTTTCAGGCATTTATATATCTCTGTTTTTCTTTGTTTAACTGCATCTTAATCTAGGTACTATTTATACAAGCTAAAAACAATTAGGTGAGTAACAGCTAATGAGTTTTCCTCAGCAGGACTTTGAATAACATATTAAAGAAAAGTGTTAAATAAAATGAATCCATAAAAGTAATAGGGTAACCAAAGGGAAGATTGCAAAAGGTGGCAAAAACTAATGGCACTTGAATTACTAGAGAACAATGACAAGGGACTATGTGAAGAACGTAATTGAAGAAAACAAGTATACTTTCAAATTGCCTTGCCCACAATAGCCAACACTCTAGCCATTAGCCTTAAGTATAACGAAAATAAAATATTTATCTGCATAATATTTTATATTTTAGTCATAAAATTAAAACTGAGCATCATATTTCAGATCTTGACTGTATCCAGGGGAGGGGAAACAATATGAAAAAAAAATCAAAAGGAAAAACCATTGGCCCAAAAAAACAAACCATCTGGTGAAGTCATGAATGACTGAGTTGAACAGCAGGGGAGCCTACTGTTAATCATTTTTGCAGGCAATTAAGAATTCTGTAGAGAATATATTAAAGAGTAGTATAAAAAAATACAGTGACCCAAATAAATTGCTTAAAGAAAAAAATCAAAATCAGTTAACAGATATTGTATTACTTTCAACTTGAATAATTTTAAAAATTACCAGGAAAAAACAAGTGTTTGCTTATTGCCATGATGGAGCTATGTCCTCCAAATTTTAAGACTCCTCCTCTTGATTATGTTGTTGATGACATTCCAAGAGAATGGGAAAATTTTCTATGGCCTACACTTAGTAAACACCAAGAGATAATTGTTATTAATGCTTCTTGAAACACAGGATAAAATCTATCCTTAGTTGTAGGCAACAAACTGTTTTGAAACTGAATACAATTAAACGTTCTTTGTAAATTAATCTTTTATGTCGCTAGCTGTCCTCACAAATTCAATCTTTCCTTCTTTTCTTTCTTCTTTGTTTTGTTGTGGTTTTTTAAAACAAAAACAAAAACAAAAAACAACAACAACAAAAAAACACCTTATTTTAGCTTACATGGAATTAGGATACACAACTAAACTACAGATTTGACTTTTCATCCTTCCTAGCAGACATGTGTGGCCAAGGGATTAAGTTTAGGTCAAAGAGGATGTGATCGCAAAAGACATGTGCAAGTACAGTGTCACTGCCTTGAAGATGAAGTTATTCTGAACTTCCTTTCTCCCGCCTCCAATCCATGTGGAAGAGGATCATACCCTACATAATGATGGAACATCAAGCAGAATATTATCCTATTCTAAACATGGATCCATGAATGACTCTCTGAAGTAGACCTATTCTACTGGTCTTGATCTCTCTCCTTTTGTGAAAATATGAGGAAACAGCCTTCAATTTCATGTAAAATAATTATTTTTGGTTCATTTGTTATAAAGATTTATCTTATAGCCTACCTAATATAAAAATTTGATCAGAGATGTGAGATACCTCAATAATAAATACTCAAAATATTTGTCATTGGCTTAACAATTAGGTGGATGAAGAGGAAGAAACAGATATTAAATTGTGAGACACTAATAACCTATTTATTCCACAAAATCAATAGGAAAAGAAATGTGACCTGTGAGAAATTGGAACTCCAGCAACATCTATGCTGATCTTACTGTTCTAGAAAACTGATTGGAAAACTCAGGATATTGGTGAGTGTTTATGGCTCCCTGCTTTTTTTAGAAAAGTCCTTCAGGGTAAAAAAAGCTCAGCTTCAGGGTAAAAAAGAGCTCAGCTTCAGGGTAAAAAAGGCCAGCTTGCAAGAAGAGATTGAAGGAAACAGGGCTTCCTTTATGGACACCTTTTCTGTATGCAGCATTTCATCTACTTTGACTGAGAGATGTGTGGCTTCACAGGACTAGAAAAATCAACTGCTTTTGTGCTTGAAATAGCAGAAGCTAAGTCTATCCTTCAGAGCCTTTCTTAAAATCCTCCCAGTAAGAATTTTTAGTCAAATAATGAGAGCAAACTAGGTTCGAAGTTCAGATTAACTTCCTAGTTAAAGTCTGTATTTTTAGATGACCTCTGTATTAGTCAGGGTTCTCTAGAAGGACAGAAATAGATATATATTTATATGGGAGTTTATTAAGTATTAACTTACAAGATCACAAGGTCCCACAATAGACTGTCTGCAAGCTGAGGAGTGAGGAGAGCCAGTCCAAGTCCCAGAACTGAAGAACTTAGAGTCTGATGTTCAAGGACAGGAAGCATCCAGCACAGCGCAGTAGAAAGATGTAGCCTGGGAAGCTAGGCCAGTCACTCCTTTTCATGTTTTTCTGCCTGCTTTATATTCGTTGGTGGCTGATTAGATCGTGCCCAGCAGATTAAGGGTGGATCTGCCTTCCCCCGCCCACTGACTCAAATGTTAAACTATTTTGGCAACACCTTCACAAACACACCCAGGATCACTGCTCTGTATCCTCAATCCAATCAAGTTGACACTCAATATTAACCATCACAACCTTAGACTAGCCAGTATTATATTGAAGGTGAGAGGGAGGGCTCAAGCACAGAAACAGCATGTAATAGAAAATCTCACAGGCTTAAAAACTATGAATAAAGGAATCTTTTAGTGTGGTGACTTTTACATAAATTTTATTAGACACAAGTAGGCTAGAATCTTAATGAGATTTGAAAAAGGAGACCTCATTGCAAAGAAGCCCCAAATCTGACCAACAAGAACCTACGATTGTCCCTAAAGCAGTGCTTATAGAGGGCATATTCTCAATGCATACTTTAGTTGTGGCAGAGAAAGGCAGCAGAAAGAATAAAAGCTTTCCCCAACCCAAAAGGGAAGAGCCATGTGACTTAAAGGACAATGGATCAGAGAGTTCCTCTCACAGATCAAGTCAAGAGCCCAGCTGAAGAATTTAGTCCAGTGCAAGAACAAGGGCCTTAAAATCATTGCATACCAGAGTTTTGTCATTTCTATAAAGCAGTTGTCTGCTCCTATTCTTCCTATTTTTAATAACAGGAGTTTATCACGGTTGTTCTTATGTTCCAGCTTCCCATTGCATATTAGGTGTCAGGGACATGCAGAATTTGTATATTAGTGTATGAGTTATCAGATTGCAAAGGTCAAAGTTCAAACTTGTCAGAGAGGAAAGTGCAACACTCACAACAGCCTCAATTTTTGTGAATAGGATAAAGGAACATTGACTAGCTGATTTTGAAAAAGAAACCATATGCTGACATGTGGGGAGAAGGTACTTATGGAGTGGTCAGAGGAGCTGACTGAGTCAGACAGTTCACCAGTATTTGTTGCCTAATTTTTCTTTTAAAAGACAGACTCTTTGGGATTTTCACTGGCCATCTCTTCACCCACCTTACAGACTATGCTTCCCAGTTTTTCTTGCAGCTAAGCAGTACATTGTGTCTAAGTTTGGCCAATAGGATGTGAGAAGTTTTGTGAGTACCTTCTGGATTTTCCCCTTTAAAACAAAGATGTTTGCCTTGGATTTCCTCTTCCTAGTTATTGCAGTTAGATGCTGGACATGGTGATCTCGCTTTGACAAAGTAGATGAGAACATCATAGAGGATAATGGAGCAATAGAATGAGTGAAACTAGGTCCCTGAATGACCTAGGAAGGCACAGCCACCCCAGCCAGCCTAGACTGTTCACTTCGGGATTGTTACCTTCGAGATGAATAAACTTAGGCTTCAAGTTTGTATCTTGGACTCCTTTATAGTAGCATCTTAGTCTACATCCTCACACAATGTATAAATTTAACCTAATAAGCTCATGACTACAAAGGACAGTTAGGATTGAGAAATAAAACCAAATTTATAAAGGCATGTATCTGAAAGAAAATAGTAAACTTTTACAGAACAGGCATGATGAAAGACTATTTTTAGTGGAAGCAAAGAAAGTATTAGATAGTTTCTGGAAGACCTGCTGTGATGAATGTTTTCCACACAGATGTTAGACTCAGGCACTTTATTTAATTTCAAAAGGTGCACCATATGTACCTCTGTCTCTATAAACGATCATATTTTATAATTATAAGACTCTTTAAATCATCTGTCAGACATATCCAGATGCCAAATAAGTCAAAACCTTCAGTGTTAAAATCACTACTCAAAAATAATTTATACACTTGGGAAATGAAAATTAATAATTCAGAAGGCATTTCTGAATGTGCTGTTATATGCCCAAGATGGTACAAAGTCTTCAGGACATGGACAAGGGTAAAACATTGTACCTACAATCAAAGATGTTCTAACCTTATTGAAAGTACAATAATCCACTTTAAACTATTTTTAAGTTGCTATTTAAAGTTAATGCTTCTAGCTATAATTTAACTGAAAATTATTAGTGTTTACATGTAATATACCAGTGTGTTAAAAACTAAATAACTAAGACATTGGTCCTCTCATAAAAGAACTTATAATGTGAGATGTGGGTGGGAAAGAGAAAGAAAAGATACAAATATAGTCTCTCACACAGACACATACAGATACACACAATTACACACATAAATAATACAAGGCAGATGTCAAAAAAAAAGAACAAATAAAATGTATCAATTCCACAGATAGTCTGGTAAATTATAAGCACCAAGATTCCTAACCATTGTGAAATGGTTAGGAATAGAGAACATTTACTTACCCATCCATTCAACTTATGTTGTTTAAAAGGCATTTATTATGTATCATGTATTATGTTCTAGGTACTAAGCTCCTGCCGCTGGCCACAAGAGTGTCCACTGAACAGCAGCTTAGTTCTGCAATGCAGCTATTCTGGCCAGGTGCTAGGGATGCCCAGGTCAGTGGGAATGCACAACCCTCCTCTCAAGGAGCTTACAGTTAAGAGAAGAGGTAGGGGTAAGAGAGAGAGCATTGCCCATCGAGAAGAGACAAAATAATGAACAAAGTCAAAGAAAATGACAAAGTTGAGGAAGGAAAGTAGCATAACAATATTCTGACAAATTAGGGGAAATATAGAAATACAATAGAACTCAGTGTCAAGCATTAGGAATAATATATTGTAAATAAAACTATAAATAATATTTGAGAAACTCATAATCTAACGGGAGAGGTAGAATTGGAAATAAACTATTATAAAATACTAAGATAAGTACTTTAATCAAAGACATGCAGTATCATGGGAGCAGAGGAGTCAGATGGCTTCTGCTTTAAGAGAATCAGGGGAGGGTGAACAAATTGTTTACTAAGTGTTGTACTTATTTTTGACTGAATGAATGAATAATTCATATTTATGGTCCTTCATTCTTCTCTGGTTGGCACCAAGATGTGTGAGAGAGAGAGAGAGAGAGAGAGAGAGAGAGAAATTCAAGACGTGTATTTAAAGTGATAAAGCATACAATAAAAAAGGAGCCAATAACTAGAAAAGGGCATCTACATTTAAACTTTCAGAATGAATTTGTTTTTGTCAGCCCTATGTGCTATCTTACTAACCAAAAATACCCAGATTAAAAATGTATTGTGCCCCAGATGTCAGATATCTTCTTATTCTCTAATTCCTATAGCAGCTTGCACTACATTTGTGTTGACTTTGGCTTACAATTCAATACTTCTTTGAGTGTTCCTGAAAGGATATATTCTTGCATAAGTAAAATTAATGATTAGTTTACTGATGATTCCATAAAAGACTCAGAGGAGGGCATTTACATCCTCTCCTCTACAGTAAAGAACCTAAAAATTAATATCAGTCTTTATGTATGTAAAATTTTCTTCCCAAACATTCTGCCATCATGAATTATATTGGCCCTTCCCTCACTCAGAGCCCAGCCTAGATGTTTCCCTCTCTCTGACCTTCTTTTCATTCTGTTATCCTTATTTCCTCTTGCCCCTTCTCAAGAGCCTGAAAGTTCGCTTCTATGTCTACTGCACAAGAGTTTAGCAATAGTATTTTTTTCTTGAGCATGTATTTGGGGTCTTACATTCCACCTTCATAGACTAAACAAAGTATATTTTCTCAAGAAATGCTGATAATTTCTCTTAAGAGAATTCCATTGACCAAGATGAAATTTTTCGTCTTACTGCATTATGAATCATCTCATGTTGTTTATTATTGTTTAACAGGGCCCATGTATTCTAATCAAAAAGTAGTAGACATTCTTTCACATACACAAGTTAAAAGTCCTGCTAGTACTATAAATGGATTAAAACAAACATAATAGAGGGTCCTCTGTTTCCTTCTGGCCTTTGATCTTTGTCTACTACCCCACATTGTGAACTTTGACCAAGTGAACAACCATAAGCCTTACAAAAACAGTTCTCAGAAAGTACTCTCCTTACATTTACTAAGATGGGATTGCACTAACAATTCCGAGCAAGAGGCATAAAAATGAGACTAAACTTCAGCTGAAAGTTTTGCAGGAATTAAAGACAAAAACTGTTAACCTGAGCCAAACCATAAGGACACATGCCCATCTCTTCTCCTTTCCCTATAAAACTCCAATCTGGTTTCAAATCAAGAAGCTACCTGATTTTTAGATGCTCCGGATATGCAACAACTGTATCCTATCTTTGAGTCACTTAAATTACATTATTTTGATAGCACAGAAATACAGTGATAAGCTGCACCAAAAACAACAACAACAACAACAACAAAAATTATTTATCATGTGATCAGTGGCTTACAGAGAAAAGTAAAAAAAACCTCCTTTTCTTCATTTCTACAATAGCAGATGGCTGGTCTTGTGAACAAGTCATTTGCTTGAAATATCTGAAGATGAGAAAAGTTGTACCAATTAAGTCAACCTCCTTCTTTTCATGTGAACTGCAATCTTCTCTATGGCCTACTTCCTGGTGCCAGCACATCCTGTTCTTCCATCCCCATTCCAGACATTACTGGCTTATGGCAAATTTTGGCTGCCTCCTAACTGTCATGTAGAGTCTAAATTTCTAGCCCCGCACCCAAGGGCCCTCTCTAGAATCACAGGAGAGATCTTCAGAACTTATTTTTATTTTATTCTCATTCTGTTAACATCTTTTTCCTGTTTCCTGTGAAACTTTCTCATTTGTCTGCAAAGGATAACCACCAGTTTCTCTTGGATCTCTTTGCTTACTTGTCATCAAAGTGAACTCTATACCATAATCACATTGTGAATTGCACTTAACAAAGATTTCCAAACCCCTATCCTCATAAACATTAATGAGGATCGAGCGCTATGAGGTTTAGAGTAGATTTATCCCCAAGGAAATTTTAAGACAAGAGAAGGTAAGGCAGAAATCACATCCCAGACAAAGGAACAGCACCAGCTAACAGACCAGCACTTAAAAGCCTGCAGCACCCTGCTTAAGAAGTACTCCACTTAGACTTTCCCTCCAAATATTCATAGTGATAAAGGGAGGATAAAGCAGGAAAAGCAAGATGTAGTCATATTTTGGAAGAATCATTATACAGGATTGAGACATTTTCTTATAATTGAATACATGATGATAAACCATGAATGTTTTGAAAAGTGGGTAATAAAATCAGGATCCTCATTTGAGAAGATTAATCTCGATGTCATGTACAGAAATGATTGGAAGAGAAAGGTTCAAGAAGAAAGCAGACCAATTAGAAGCTGTTGAAATTTTAAAAAGGAAAAAACCAAAGGAACATAAAAAATGTAAGGCCTTCAAAAGTTGACAACTTTGATGTTGAAAGAAAAGGAGAAATGGAATCAAAGATGATTCTGGATGTCGATCCTTAATAACAGAGAGTACGTCAGTGCTAGAGACAGTGATGAAGGAGGATGGGGGTAAAAGGCAATATATGATGAAATCATGGGCACTCATACTGGAATCTGAGACTATGGAGAAAAAGTGACTTTTGTATTTTTTCTGTAAACTGGCCTTTCTCCAGAGCCCCATCCATTCTTGGGAATAATTACATGTGCAAAACAGTTTAAAAATTAGTTTGAATCCAGTATCTCTTGGATAAAATATGTTCACATGATTAATCCCTGCTTCTGGGAGAGGAGTATGGCTTACTGCCTTTATGGCAAGAAAGAGGAAACACTGACTCCTCTGATTCTTATGGTGTCTTGCTCTTACTCCTAGGTGGTTCAACAGTGCCCTTTGTCCTCCTGGATTCTGATTGCTTTGCTCTCCTCTGATGCTCAAAGCCTATGACTAACACATCTCAAAGGCCATGGCCTGGCACAAACACTGCTGCTTGTGAAATTCATATCTCACTACCTTCACCACAAATCTTGCTGTAGAAACCTCAGAGGTCTACCTGCAACCCTTATTTGGCCCGGGTTGGGGTGCTCCTCCCTTCAATCCTTATTTGGGAATCACTTTATTTCATCAATAGTGACCTTCTTCTGGCAAGATCCTTAGGGAACCAAAGGTGCCTTAGAAAAGCTACACTTGGGACCACTTTTTTACCTTAACAGGCTACACTGACACATCTTGAAGTCATTCTGCACCAGTGTTTTTCAGAACCCCTGCAAGTATCTTCCTTCTTCTGAAGTCCGAAATGGAAAATAGGGGTCTCTCTCTGACTTTGCTAGTATTCTCTCTCTTTTTTCCCACATATCTCTTGTCCAGAGCCCAGAGAAAGGAAAATGTGCACCTATAATTAGTTTTTTCATTCTATGCTCTCTGTCTCTTTCTTCTTTCCAGAATCCACGGGACAAGACTTCACAGAGAGCAGAGTTATGCTCTTTAAATTATAGAGGAGCTCTGAATTGACTGCTCCAAGATGGATTATTTATTTGCAAATATGAGAAATATAAAAATAATGGAACTCCTCTCTAGAGAACAGCTAACAATCTGATTTATCATTATGGAGGCAAACCGCCAGAACCAACCTCAACCCCAGGAAGCCTTTCTTTCATCTTACTCATTTATCTTTCTCATTTTTATTGTTTGGGTGCTTTCTGTTTGCATTTCTACTGTAACAAATCCTAATCTTCCTCAGGCATATTGCTGCCTCAAGCAAACTAAGACAATGGTCTTGTACTGTGAAAGGCAAAATAAAAAGCACATCAATAATTTTTTAAAAACATTACCCCCACTGTACATGTTTAGTTTAAGCTACCTGCAGAACATTTAGGAAAGTAAATCCCCCTTCGTAACCTGGAGAGATTTGTTTTCCCTTTTTAACTTAAAGTCTAAGCAACATTCTAGTTTTTATTCAGCCTCTCATTATGATTAACCATCACTAATAGAGCTTGGCCATAAACCAGGAGGAGTTTTATATCTTTAAACTCAAATGGTTTAAAGAACACACAGGGTTTCTTGGAAAGTATGGTAAGAATTTAATATATCCGATCATAATTTCTGGGTACCACAAGTCCCAAGACAAACCCTTATTTAACAATGGTAATTATCCTGTAGTGCCAGCACTGTAAAAATCAGCGGAGAACAGAGACAAACAGGTCATCAGATCTGAAAAACTCCTAGAAAAGTCAAAGGAAGAACCACAGAAGAGAAATAAGATAATCAGATCACAGCCAAGAGTCAAATATTTCATAAATGCCAAGGTCAAAGCAAACATAGACCTAGGAAGAGATACAACAAAGTCAGAGCCAAAGGGTGCAGGAAGAAGACAGACACTGTACTGTTGATTGGGAAACATTTAGGCTGGCAAAAAGTTAAAAATTGCAAAAGGCTGGTAGGCACCAGGGTGAAATAGTTTTAGGAAGCCATGGGGATAAGATAAAACTTTAGAATTAAATTTCTAGGTTCCTTTTTCTCATAGGAATGGGTGCTAGGCTGGCCTGTGGGCAGTTGAGAGGCAATGATTATTTTTCTTGTGGCTGAGTTTACTTCTGGCATTTGCCCCACACAATAACTACATATTCTAGATCCTAACTGAATGAGTCAGGTTGGACTTTATAGAGAAAAAATTGAGATCCAAAGACAGAGAATCCAGAGTGCTACAAATGGGGGTTACTTTTGAGTTGGCAGTACTTTAAGGTGAAGGGAAAATAGAGATGGGATCAGAGTTCAGCAGAGAATATGGAAGCCTTGGGTGATTGTCTGGAACACTAAGTGGAAACTGGGAGATCCCTCTGGGTCTGATGATTCAAGATATATAGGTGAGTCAAAGAAAATGTAATGTGGACAGTGTTCAAGCTAGAGCAGTGTGAGTCAGGAATTCAGAGAGATTAACAAGACATCTGTAAGTGGCCTTAGGATAAGGAGACTATTACTAGTAAGCAGGTTATTATTTCATTTAGAATAATGAAAACAATTTATATCAAAAATGATAAAAGTTTGGCCAGGCGCGGTGGCTCACGCCTGTAATCCCAGAACTTTGGAAGGCCAAGTCAGGTGGATCATGAAGTCAAGAGATCGAGACAATCCTGTCCAACATGGGGAAACCCTGTCTCTACTAAATATACAAATATTAGCTGGGTGTGGTGGCACATGCCTGTAGTCCCAGCTACTCGGGAGGCTGAGGCAGGAGAATAGCTTGAACCTGGGAGGTGGAGGTTGCAGTGAGCCAGGATTGTGCCACTGCACTCCAGCCTGGTGACAGAGTAAGACTCCGTCTCAAAACAAACAACAACAAAAAAATGGTAAAAGTTCAAGTCCTATATGGTATGAGAACAGGACAGATTTCACTTATCTAGGCATTTTCAAATCTGTGTATTTCAACAACAGTAGCTCATTAAACTTCTTTTCCATGACAATCAATGTGAATTTAAATGTCATCAACACAGCTGTCCATGGCGGTGCATGCCTGTGGTCTCAGCTACTCAGAAAGCTGAGGCAAGAGAAGGATTACTAAGTCCAAGGTTTCAACGATGTAGTGCACCATGACCATGCCTGCAAATAGCCACTGCACTTCAGCTTAGGAAACACAAGAAGACCAAGTCTCAAAAAAAAAAAAAAAAAAAAATGCCAACAATAAGCAGTTAAAATCCCTCAAGTTAGCAGAAAGTTAAGTTCTTAATTGACACCTTTAAAGGGTTTGAAAGTATTTCAACATTTGTGTAAATACCGCTTTTTACTGAGTTACTCTCAAGGACATGAAGTCAGATACTTTCCTCCACATACCTGTTACTTTTTCTTTTCATAAGCCATCATTTTATATAAAATATAGAGTATTTAATGCCCCCTCATCTAATCAACACCTATCAGTATCTTCTTGATGTATAATATGACAAGCATTCAGTTCAGTGCTGTGAGGGATGTAAAGATATATGACATAGGGTCCTTCTCCTGAGGACTTTGGAAAAAATATACTTTTGACTGGGGATGGGAGAGGATTACAGGGTTATGTTGGAGAATTCCATTTCTTCTGGAAAAAGTGATGTTTGCTAGGACTAACAGCAGGTTTAACAGAAAAGCAAATCACACATCTTCAATAGTAGCAGTTAAAACTTCAAAGTACCAAAACTGTTTACGTTCACAGGAAAAAGAAGACTAAGAAAACTAATGATCTTCTATATGCAGTTCAAAAGGAGGCCTCTCAAATTACCAAGGTATCATGAGGTGAGGAGATATAAAGAGGACTTTATCATTTATCATACTTATCTTTCATGAAAGCTTTCATAAATCACAATAATTGTTATCTATTTTATTGTTTATGCAATGCCTACTCTTCCCATTTGACTGTGAGTCCCAGAAGGGTAGAGACCACATCTGCCTTGTTCATCCTTGCACAACCAAGCCTAAAAAAAATTGGAACATGGTAAATAGCCAAGAAATATTTATTGAATGAATAGAATTTGACCTAAATTTCAAGACTGTGAATACGACACGAAGGAGGCCCAGATGAACTCTCAAAGTCCACAGTCGCTGGGGATTGAGTTAAGAGCAATATCGTGTCTCATTAAGCTTGAGGTCATCCCATATTGAAAGATGCCAAGAGACCAGATTGGTTTCACAACCTCTAGAAGACCTTGATCCTTTCCTGATCACCCATGCCAGTGAGCACACAGGGATTTCCTGAAGGACCTTTGAAATAAAGAACATTTCATGGCAGAGGGTCACCCTTGACATTCCTGCCTCGTGACACTGTAATAAAGCCATTTAGCCAGGCAGCTTCAGAGAGAGGGCTCAGCCCAGACTATTTTCTATGCTGTGACAGATTCAGCTCCTCCATGGATCAGCATACTCAGGTCAGTGAACACTGCCCTTCAACCTGTTTGAAACATTTTCTAGTTCATTCTTGTTGGGGAATAATTGCATTCTTTCCATTTTAAATTAGTTTCCCTATTGTGCTTTAACGCTGAGTTTTTATGTAACATTCTAGTAAGATCTTCAGACACCCCAGCAGGGGGTTATATTACACATAAAATTGTTGCTTAAGTGACATGATTTTTGGACCCCTGCCATTTGGGTATAACTTCTCATTTTTGCCCTTCAAATGAACTGTATATAAATAGACTCAAAATAAACTCATTATGGAGATGGAAGTTGAACATATGTCTGAAATGTCACAGCATTCTTTGTAGCCACTGTAAGATTGTCTACAGATTACCATTTTTATTTTCAATAATAAAACTTTTACTTTGAAGCTAAGTTCTAGAGTTTAAAGCACAGCTCAACAAATTTTTGTTTGATACAGAAACACCATTTTTTAAAGTCTTATTTTCTGCCAGTGGAGTACCACTGGGAATTTTATAATAGTTAAATGACAAAAATTCATGTCACAACTCTGTTAACACAAATAGCTTTTTCAAGAGTTCAGCAACAATCTGGCTTTATTTGCCCATATTCAAGTGTCAAAGATAATATAAATCAAACATGTTCTAATGTATATGTGTAGAAAGTCCTCAGTATAAATGTGTTCAACAAATAATTGTAAATGGAATCAAACTTTTAGGAAAGAAGAGGAAAATTAAATGTTTGGAATAAAAAATTTGAGCTAAGACCATATAGGCTCCAAGTTCAGACTACTGATTAAGCTGTGAGCTATAAACTCATATTAAAAGATGGTTTGGGGTTTAAAGAAACTTACGTTACTCAGAATTGTCTATATTTTGCTTTGGTAACAAATATCACCAATATCACAGTGTCATAATAACAAAAGTTTATTTCTCACTCAGATAAAGGCCACTGTCCAGATGACTTTGATGTGTGGCATTTCCTTCTCAACACCAAGTTTCTGGCATCACTGGACCAGAAATAATCATGGAGACATCCACATCAGCTCCTCAGCAGCTAAGTCTCAAAGTAAGTCTTTTTGTTTTGTTTTGTTTTGTTTTTTGAGATGGAGTCTCGCTCTGTCACCCAGGCTGGAGTATAGTGGCTTGATCTTGGCTCACTGCAAGCTCCACCTCCCGGGTTCACACCATTCTCCTGCCTCAGCCTCCCAAGTAGCTGGGACTGCAGGCACCTGCCACCACGCCCAAGTAATACTTTTTTTGTATTTTTAGTAGAGACGGGGTTTCACCGTGTTAGCCAGGATGGTCTCGATCTCCTGACCTCGTGATCCACCCGCCTCGGCCTCCCAAAGTGCTGGGATTACAAGCGTGAGCCACCATGCCCAGCCCAAAGTAAGTCTTTTAATTCCCAGTCTTGGACCACTGTGCAAGACTAATCGCAAAGTCCCATGCAATGCAAAGGGGCTAGGAAATGTAGTTTCCCTAACTACAAAAAGGTGAAGAGAACTGGTGACATTGAATTCTAATAATAATAATGTTTACCTCAAAACTCCATCAAAATAAGACAAGTTTAACTTGAAACTGCACCTGTCTGTACTGGGTTGAATAATATTCCTCAAAATTTATGTCTACCAGGAACTTCAGTGTAGGATCTTTCTGGGAAATAAGGTCTTTGGAGATGTAGTTAGTTAAGATGAGGTCATACTGCTTTAGGATGGGCCCTAAACCCAAAGACTGGTGTCCTTAGAAGAAGGTCATATGAAGATTTAGAGAGGCACACAGGGAGGCTATCTGTGACAATGGAGATAGAGATTGAAGGGATGCATCTACAAGTAAAAGAATGCCATTGGTGGCCAGCAGCCACCAGAAACTGGACATGGAACAGATTCCCTTCAGATCATCCAGAAGAAGCCAGCCTTGTCAAAACCTTGATTTCAGAATTCTAGCTTCTAGAACTGTGAAAGCATAAATTTCTGCTACTTTAAGGCAAGAAGTTTGTGGTAATCTGTTATGGCAACCCTAAGAAATTAATATACCATCCCCTAAAAAAAAAAAAAAAAAAGTAGTAGGTAGACAGTTAATCACTTCTCACTTGTTCCTGACCTACAGACAAATGCAGAAACACAGTCACAGCAGCTCCCCGTAGGGGCTTGGCTTTGTTTTAACTCAGGATATTCATTTTGAAGGAATAGTCATAAAATACATTACGCTGAACTATTTAAACTCAACGGGGCATCATTTAATGTTCGACCAAAGGATCCATCTGCTTTCCTTAGGTTAATATTCTGTTAAAGTATTTGTTCTGGAACTCTGGAAATTTGTGAAGAATTTGAAGTCTCCAGGGAAGCTAAGAGCATTTAGAATGGAACTAATGGTCTGTACATTTCATTGTATTTTTACTGCTTCAGCAGCAATGTAGAGGTTAGGCATATTGAGTTGGGGTTAGAAACTAGGGTTAAACACTTAAAAGAATGTCAGGCATTCTGTGCCAAGGTCACCATTTAGCAATTTCACAAATAACTAAATGGAATGCCAAAAATAGGTTACAATAAAAATCAGGCCAATGAGAAGACAGAAGTGAAGAACTTAAATTATTTATTTATTTTAATGATATATCAGACATCTTGTAAGATACCATCTCTCTTCTGGAGAATACTTTATTCTCTACTCCAATTGCAGTCTTCCAGCAATAGATTAAATCATGCCATTTCCAGAATGTTTTTAGCCTGTTTTGTTTTCCTAAGATCACTCTCTACTGAATGTTTGCAATGAAGCAAAATAAACTACAAAACACTGCAATTTCTATTACATCAATTTATTGACATTAATATTTAGTTTCACTTTGCAAATGCAACCACCTTTGAAGCATGCTTATTGTTCTTTGCTGCATCTTATTTCAAGCTAATTTCTATCAATGTAGGTATCTGAGCTTTCGTGGCATATCTAGTTAGATGAAAGAAAAATCACTGAAGTGGCCTACTGCAACAATGAAATACATTCCGGCATTATCTGTGTTAACACTGCCATTTGTACCTCTAAGGGTCTAATTTACTTCAGCAATGTTCCATGAAGGGCATTGGCCAATGTAAAAAATCTGTATTGAGGATTATAGTCAAATATATAATTTTAACATATCCAAATGGATGTATGTGTAATTACTGAATCTATAATAACTAATACCATCATATCTTGAAAGATAGGATTTTCATGCTTATATCTCCAATAAATTGACATGGTTTTCCTTAAGAGTGAATTGATTTTATATTACCATAACTGGACTAAAATAGACTGAAATGTTCTTTGCGATGATTGCCATTAAGTGAAACAAGAATATTAAAATGAGTAGCTAGGCAAGAAAACAGACCTCTTATATCTCTGTAGAATATAGTACTTATTTGTTTTGGAATGTAAAGACCAGAATCAGTATCAATTTTCTTGATATAATTCACATACCTAGGTGATTTATGTTTTTCCAATTTGCAGAGAATACAATTGTTCTTCCATTTCTTCCAGTCTTTCAAGTGCAGCCTGGGTATTTTTTCATCATTTAATAGAGTCTAATTGTTTTTAACCCGCATGTCAATACTGTCCAAAAGTTTGTTAAAAAACATTCCTTCAGAATTTGGATCTGCTGAATTGAAGAGACCTGATTTCAGCTCCACCAGATGCAGATATGTGTTTTGTTTTCTGGTTATCACTGTCATACAGCTTAAAACATGTATGCTTTTCAGAATATAGTTGTCTAGGCAAACTGTCAGATGTATGAAATTCAATATTGGTATATGCAAACACCGCAAACTTTTCTTTAAGGAGTAGATGGGAGAATATGTTTATAATATTAGGAATCCTAGACTATATTTTCAAGTTATCTGAGCAGCTATGACCCTTAGGTGGAAGTGTTATATATAATACGTTAAAAACATTTTGCTTTCCTCGCTAACGATTTGTTCCTTTTCAATTCAAATTTGAATAATTTGTCATGTATTATTATTTCTGTTAAATGTATACTGTATTTAAGATGGATATATTTGGTGGCTGTATTTGTTCTGATATCTTATGATCTAAATTATGAGGTACCAAGATTGTTTCTCTGTTTATTTTTTCAAATTATGTTTAGAAATACTGTAATAAATATTCAGTAGTGATATAAAATTAAGAATTATATCAAATACAATATAAAAGCCATTACCTATGAACTGATCCATGCCTCATTTTGTATAAGTTTTATTCTGTGATCTCTTGTTCACTTAATATCTTGTTAAATGCTGATATCTCAGTCTTTCTGAAGCCCTGAAATGGTAATTTTAGCAGTTCAGAAAATGTCTTTCATTTCAATCAATAAAAAACTTCTGTAAAAAAAATTACTGAATAGACAACTGTTCCACATTTACACTTATTAAAAACTGACATAAACAAACACAATCTGTACAAAAAATATCCCAAATCCCATGTCACTTTGGAACAGTAATATTGAAAGACATTGTCGCCTAAGACCCCCTCTTCCTCTGCCACGGCCATGTCCTCTTCCTCTACTTCTGCCTCAGCTTCTTCCTGCAACAGCTTCCCTTTTCTTAGATTTCACCTTAAGTTCACCATCCACAAGTAGTGTATCCAGAGATAAACTGTCTGGTAGAATAAAATATCAATGTTATTTCTTCGAATACTCAGTGTTTCCAGCTGTACAGTTTCTCTGTTCTTCAGGGTCATTTTCACAGCTTTAAGATGTGTATTCATGCTGACATCCACACCACTGGATCAGTGGGTTCCAGTGGTTAATCTCCCTGAACGGTGATGGCATCTGAATGAAAATAACTGAACCAAATTGCACTGAAGTTTTTGAAATACCTTTGTAATTACTCAAGCCGTTACTCCCTACACTGACGCAAGGATTACAGAAACTGATGTCAAGGAGGTGAGTGAGTTCAACTACCTGTTCTGGGGGCCTGGACATAAAAGACTTTGCAAATAGAAAGAGGTGAAAATGAAGAAGAAAGCTGTATTGAAACAGAAATACAAGTCAAAAGGAACAATTACAAAGAATCATGCAGGAAGGAAAACTAGGTATTGATTTAGAATGGTTGAGTTACATTAAAATAAACCAAATATGCTTTGTTAAAGTTTAAATGTGCAGCCACAATTTGAGTATTTTTGGTTTATATGCCCTCAAGTAAAGGAAAAGCTGAAAGAATTAATCATATTTGAAAACCATATTTTATTGTATTTTGATTAGATATTAAATTTGCAGTTTTATTATAAATTGTACTGTTATTTTATGACATGAAAACTTATACTATAAATTTGGACTGCTATAGACTGCTTAGGTCCAACTTCAAGCGGATCTGCATTTTTTTATGTCATATTAAATATTTATTTTCTGCAGACTGACTTCGGAGTAATTCTTGAGCCAGGAGGGGAGGAATTAGTGTTCAAATTGCTGAGATCTTAGGTCAAAACGCTACAGAAAATAATCACTATGTAAAAAACAGTGACTTAGAGGCAGTCACCCCTTGCCAGCAATTCCAAGAGTTGAGGCTTCATGCCTCAAGACATAGTGACAAGAGTTGAGTGAACCAGAAATTGAGGCAGTGAAGGTTTTTACAGGGAAAGAAACAAACTGTGGGTGTATGGGAGAAATGGAAGAGGGTGACAGACTGGGGAAATGATAAAGGCCATTTTGGAAGCCCACAGGGAAGTGGTCTTGGGAACCTGGAGACACTGGCAGATTCAGAAGGCCAAGGGGATCTAGCTTATACTTTGGAGGCAGGGTGCTGGAAGTGAAGGCAGGTAAGCCATGTCAAGAGCCTGGGAGGCAGGGGAAAACTGGAAGGGGACCCCAGGTGAAGAAGGGTTTGGGATGGGGTGCAGAAGTCCATGGAGACGACTGGCAGATCGACTTTTTGTTTTGTTTTGTTTTTAAATGCAAGTTGACATTTTATTAATATGTTATCATTTCAAACATGTATTAGCATAACTGTTGTGGTTGTAAATGGTGTAACCATCACCTTAAAAATCAGAAGCAAGACAAAAACATATGACTACTATTAGTTAACATTGTTCTGAATTTTCTAAATGAACACATTCAGAAAAAGAGATCTGCAGTATAAAAATTGTAAATATTGCCATTATTTTCTGAAACTGTTTACCTGGAGGATCACTTATAAATAATTTACTAAGAAATCTAGGAACAAAACAATCACTCAAATCAATGGATATAAAAAAGACACCACTACTTCTATGATGAAAATATTTATGAGGACAAAATATGAAAATAGAGGAAAGTATGAGATGGCAATAGCTTTCAACTAATTTTCAGAGATACTAGTAAATGAAAATAATTAAAGCAATGTAGTACTGATGAATTCACAGACAGATCAGGAGAACAGTATAGTGTGTGTATCTACTTCTGTATCCCTTCTAGGTATCTGTGTATCTTTCTATATGCAAGATATATATCCATGTATCTTGCACCTGATGGAGAAGGAAGGATCTGGAGCTTCTGCCCAGAATAAATACAGCAGACACCACTTAAAGAAGCCCAGAGTCAAAAAATATTAATTCTATGGAGAAGTTTATTCAAGTGAAATAGCTTAATTTCAATTTTTAACTTTCATGTTTTTGAAATCAGTAAGAAATTGCACTGGGAACTGAGAGTCAGATATACATGTAGAAATGTTGCCGCCTACATCACTCTGCCAACAATCAGGCATGGGAATGGCCAAGTCCTTACTTCAGGGAGTGGGGAGAGTGATAAAGTTAAAAAATATTAAACAGAAGTTTTTCTTAAATTTTTTCCTTAAAAATATTTTCTTTCCATGTTACAGAAAATGCTATATGCTAATATTTGGTTTATTCTGTGAGCTTTCAACTCTGACTTTTATGTAATGGGCTTGTATATCATCTACTTGATCATATCTCTGTCTCATGTCCCCACTAAACAGAAGAATTCTTAAAGTCAAGAATGATTAACAAGATTGATTCTTTGCCTCAAGCATTGTAGGACTATTTTTTTAAATCTCATGATATTAACAATAGTGCTCGAACTAATAGGAGTAAAAAAAATGGACTTATCTGGCTCTTAGAACATTTTATAGAATTATGCAACAAGAGTAAATTAAAATATTTTTGAATGACTTCTGCACAACAGTTACTGAGGATGCAATTATGAAGGCAAACATAGTACCTGCCTTCCTTGATTTTAGAGTCTAGGGAAGATTTTAAAACCCAAAATAAACCAAAAATACTTATCTTCTATTCTTTGGAGATGGCTCTCTAAACTGCTCAATTTGTGCTTCTTGTAGGTTAACTGAAGATAATACTAAATACGATATTTATGTCTTTCCATTCCTTATCAGATTATCTCTTCTAGAATTTATGTCCACACTGTTTTATCATATCAGCTAAGTGCTTTTTGAGATTCAGTAACTAATACCTGACAGAGAAAATTAATATATACTACACCATTTAATTTCTAACCTATCGATACTATTTAATTTGAATGGCCTTTAAGGCACTCACAAATAATAGACCACCTACCATTTAAATTCCATCTCAGCCTCCAAATATAATTAAGAGAAAAGTAAGAACAAAAGTTGATTTTCCCAGAATCTGGGAACAATTTACAATGTTAGCATTAATCAATGTTAAATATGATACTATATCAACATTTACTTCTTTACACTATGTGACTATGCTATGTACTCAACCTCTTATGCTGCTATAATCAATGCAGAAGCTCTTTATACCGCCTTTTCAAAGCATTAAAATTCAAATCCAAACCATTAAACATTATATTTCATGTTTGCCTACTCTTAATCTGCAATACAACAATTAAAAACCATAAAATAGTGATGTAAAATCTATAATGAAAAGAGTTACTTCCCTCTGAGATTTGACTAATATTATGACAATCTGCTTTCTTGTTACTATACATTTTAAATGAAGTGATGTGTCTTGTGCCAGTATTTAAAAACTCTCTTTTGGATTCCTACCAAAAATAGTACTTCAGGCTAAACCTCAAAGACAAAAAACATTTAGTAGATTTGTTGAAATGGAGTTTAATATTCACATTAGTTGAGGCTCCTTTTTTGATAGGTGATATAATTCTAATATAGTCTCATTTAGAAATTTACAGTAAAAGAGCACACCACAACTTCTTGAGAACAACTTGGGAGATATCATAGAATATTATACTTTTTAAAAATATTCTTGAAAAAAGTAAAGAGTCTAATTTTAACGTGGGGTGAGGAGTGAGAAAAGAACAAGTAATATCTTACCACTGAAATTCAGAAACATATTAATTTTTTTATTCCTGTAGTAGTAAACTAAAAAGTAGAAAAGCAAATATTGTTAGACATATTCTAAAAGTTTTAAAAATCAATTTTATTATGCAATCATTAAATTACATCCTTATTTTTCTATAAAATTAGGCATCTATTTTGCTTTAAAATTTTTAAGTACATATAAGTTCTAATTACTAAAGATATTGTCCTAAATATTCTATTGTTAAGAGAATCAATATCTTTCCATTTCTGTGGATAAAAAGCACGGACAGAAACACTGCACCAATAAGAAATCACAGAGGAATATAAGCTTTCAGGATGCTAGGACTGTTGCAGACACCTGGGACAAATCCTATCTCTTCCTGTGAGGATACAGAAAATGAGAAATTGATGTAGTTTCTTCCACTATCAGCGAGATTATTGAAACTAGAGCCCAGGAACAGGAACCAAGAAATCATAAGCAAACAGCAAGCGACAGCCTGCTCCTAAAATATCAGCAACTAAAAATCTTAGAAGTTCGAACTTGTCATCTTTCTGTTAGGGAGTAATCTCTTTGCCTGCTAGGTAATGGAAATTTTTGAAGAAAATTTGCACATATGCCAAGTGCCACCTTCATCTGGCATATGTATAAATCTCAACTACAGCACAGACGTCAAAAGTCAAAAGTCTGCTATAAAATGGGTGTCCATAACAAGTCTCATCTTATAAATACAATAGAAGCATTTTTGGTTGAAGTTAGAGCATGTCTCCCAAGGAAGGTAGCTTACGATACTGATAATGCAAACTTAAATGTGTCTGTCCTTACTAAATCTTACTGTCTTGGTTATAAAGATACTACAAATTCAATCCACAGTGAGTAAATGAAATTTATGAAATAAATGTAGGTATGGATGCCCTGAAATATTTAATAAAGATCATTAATCTCCTCTCCAAAAAGGCAAGGGCACATGATACTTCTGAAACATATTCTAATCTTATCCACGTGTAACATTCAGCTGAATTAAAACAAAGAAATAAATTTAAAAAAAAACTAAATTAAAACAAATAAATAAATAAAAACAAATTTTAAAAAATAGTCAAATAACCAATATTCCTGATAGAAAACAAATTATCAAACATTTTTGAGAAGACAGCAATACTAAGAATGATTCCAGTATTAAATGAATTTCTGAAATGAATAGTAAAGAGCATCAATATAAATCTACACATTTTAAAAATTATTGCAAAACATTAGCTTTTTAGAGCCAGGCTACCAGGACCTTCAGTGTGTTCTTTAGTCAGACCCATCCTTACCCACGTGTTAAAATCTGAATGATGGACTGGGTAAAGAAAATGTGGTACATATATACCATGGAATACTCTGCAGCCATAAAAAAAATGAGATCACGTCCTTCACAGGGACATGGATGGGGCTGAAGGCCATTATCTTTAGCAAACTAATACAGAAACAGAAAAACAAATACTGTATGTTCTCTCTTACAAGTGGGAGCTAAATAATGAGAACACATGGACACATAGGGGGGAACAACACACACTAGGGTCCTTTGGAAGGTGGGGAATAGGAGGAGGGCGAGGATCTAGAAAAACAACTAATGGGTACTACGCTTCATACCTGGGTGATGAAATAATTTATACGACAAACCCCTATGACACAAGTTTACCTATAACAAACCTGCCAATTTTACCGCTGAACTTAAAATAAAGGTTAAAATTAAAGTAAAATAGAATCTGGCTAGTCCAACCGACAAAGGCAAAAGATAACCAGTCAAAGCATAAATGCATAGTCATATCACCTTCTTGCTCCCTGTATTCCAGCTCATTTGCATGAGTATTACCCCTTGTTTTCCAATTGCTCCAAGGTTCACTCTGACTCATTCACAACAAGGGCACTATCTTTTGACAATGCAGTTTGGTCAAGTACTATGTCCGACCTCAGATTCCTCTCAAGGATGACCTTGAGTCTCCCCTCATGGCCATGCATCACAACTGCATTTGACATCTACAAAATCCTATGGGACTGACTGCCTGGAATGCTCCTAGCTTGCGAAATAGGATTAAATACTAATTCTGTGGATCAAGGTGACCCCAAGGGTCTCATTGCTCTGGGAGGAAATATTGACACAGTAGTGCTAGTCCACTCCTTGGAGCTGGTGCGTTATCACTTCATGAGGGCAAATAAGAAGCATCTCTTCTTGTATTCTGTGCAACCCTGATAAGTAACACATACTGTTTCTCTCACAGCACAAGGCCATACCTAGGTATGATGGAGTTTATAAAGGAGTATGTAATTGCAGAATCAGGTAAAGCAAAAGGGGGAAAACAGATATGGGAATAAGAAGAAACTAGCAAACTGTCCCAAAGGCATTTATTGTTTGTGAGGGACTTTGCATGTACTTGCTTAATATTTAGCATAACCCTATTAAATAGAAACTATTAGTATGATCCCAAGTAACTTGCCCAAAGATGCAATAATAGAAAGTGGAGGACTCAGAATTCAAACTCAAGAGTCTATACCCTCTGTGTATGTCTGTATATGTGAGAGATATATTGTGAGAGATGTAGATGTAGAGAGGGCTTCACGGCCCTCTCATGTCTTATTACCCTCATGCTCAGTAAGTTTTTGTGCTTTTTAACCCCTCTGAGAACATCTGCTAATCCTGCCTTATACAAAGAGGACAAACGTGAGATCTGATTCTGGCTGAGAAATGGGGTGTGGGAAAATTGGAGTCAGTGACCCATTATATTAACAAACACCACGTCCTTGTGCTGAAGTTATGGAAGTAAGATCTTGCACTGGGAGCTCAATTTTAAGGCTTTGGTAGAGCACAATAACCAAATCTACTGAGCTTCCCTATGTTTGCGGTTCTTAACCCAAGGACAGCAACAGAGCTGATGTTTCACACATCTCTTTGTTGTCATCATTGACAGTTTGCTCGCCTTACTCAAAACACTGCCTCCTAAACATTAAGAGATACAGAGCTCATTTGCATCATATGTTTACTGGCCCCTGGAGGTCCATTCTAGAACTAGGTGTAAAGATTAATGCATATACCACACTTTTTTATCACACTATTTTCCCCAGACCCCTTATCATAAAGAAGAATCAGTTAGGACCCAGTCACAAAATCTGATACTCAACCATGTGAAAGAATAAGAGTAAAGCAAGAGTCAGGGAGAAAGTGTTCCATTTCCCTGAAAAGTAAAGATGATAGGATTTCATCTAACACTTGAAAGAAGATTGTTGGCTCAGTGTTATCTAGCAGCTTTGTGGACCAAGCCTTGACTGAGAGAACTCAATTGCTCTTTAACAACAAAGTTGTAGGAAGATAAACATCTGAGTCACTGGTTCTAAACCATTACACATTATTCCTTTCTTTCCTGCTTCTGTGATTCCAGCTCTATATCTCAATGACTTGAGTCACATCTAAACTATGCCTAATTTTGATGACTCATTTTAAACGAGATACTCTTCTTCTCACACCTTTTCTTCCCCTATTTCTGCTCACCACATAATGCGAGTTCATTAGACTAAAATCATTTTCTGTTTTGCTCACTACTAAATACTCAGTGTCTTAACAGCATCTATCCCTCATAGTGTAGGGGAGGAAAAAATACTTTCTTAGAAGAAAGGATAGACCCTTCTAGCCTCCTTGGCTGGTCTGGTCTGTGAATTAAATTGACATGAGACAGGTTGAAAGAAAAAAAACCAACAACATGGATTACATATGTATGCACAGGAGTCCCACAGAAATATGTGGCTCAAAGAAGCAGCCAGATGATTGAAGCTTTTATATCATCTTGAGCTACAGAAAGGAATAGGAATTTGGGGTTTCTGAGGGGGTGAGTGGAGGCAAATTATGTGAGAGTCAGGGACAAAATGTATAGTAAGTAAAAGTTGTTTATTATGTAAATAAAAGTTTCTCTGGTGATAAAAGTTGTCTTCACCTGAGAAAGAGTAGCTCTCTTCCTGGTACATATACCTTTACTACCTTTACTAATGAATATTTCCTTTATACATGTAAATAAATGGGGAGTGTGATACTTCATTTCAGGTAGCTGAAGAGAAGTAAAGAGCTTTTCCTGCTTTGGCTGGTTTTCAGATTCTTTCTGCTCAAAGTAAGCAATATGCTGAAGTGGCAAATTTTGAGGTGGCATAATCTGATCTCCTGCAGTCATATTTTGGGGTGGTATGTCTTTAACTATCATTTGCGCTCTATAAATAATTGTAGAGATAAAATAAAGCCTGCCGCGAACTGTAATTATGGCTGAGACGCTCCTCTAGGCATAGTCTCGCTTTTCAGATTGCCAGCAGGGATTGTTTCCTGCCAGACATATTTTCCAAGGAAAAGAGAACATTTCCATTCATGTATGATGAATAGCTTGCAATCCAGAATTACTCAAAAATAACAAGCCCTGACAGTAAGCACATATAAGTGAAAGAAGTAAAGATCCAAAGGCGGCTCCTGCATCCCTACAGTTGCTTAATACACCCTTTAAAATGAAGGCAGAGCCCTGTTTGGTAGCACTCTCTCTAAAAGTTTAGATGTGTTGCTGAACAAATAGAAAGTCTGAACTAATTTGACAAGGGTAGCTTCTAGGCAGTTATACTACAATTCCTTTTATGAAAAATAACAGGCGAAAGAAGCATTTGATTGTTATTTTCAAAAGGAAAATGGACAATTGCCATAAATGGGAAAATGCCAACTGGTTTATTTCATATTGATTTATCAACTATTCAAATATTTTGCAGTTGTGACCTTCAAAAATTGGTGGAAAAGATTATACCATTTCTTAACATGAACACCTATGCTATATTTTATACTTGTGATTCATTTAGCCCAATATTTCAATATATTTATACATACAGTTACAATAGTTTATGATAACTAATAGGTTAATGGTGACTATCAGTTACTAAAAAAAGTCTAAAAGATTTTTTTATTGACATTATGTCACCACAAAAATTAAAATTTAAGTACAAATTGTCCTTTCAAGTATCTGGTATAATTAATTATCCAGATAAATTCATTCCTCTAGGTTCTGAATAGCTAAAGTCATGCTTTAACATGAGTCTCCAAATATTTGAAAACACATAAACACATGTGATCAGATAATATAAGAAAATATTGATGGAGGGAAAATATTGATTCTGATACTGCATATACCACATTAAAAGTGTGTGAGCTTGGACAAATCACCTAAATTCTCTGAGCCTCAGATTTTTTAATTGTAAAAATGAGATAACCTCTCGAGCTTGGTTTTACAGGATGCTATGAGAATCCAGAGCAAACATTCATATGAATGTTCTTTATAAGATATCAAAGAGTAATATAATTATTGGTTTCTATAGCTTCTACTTAGTTTCCAATATTATTTCTCATTACCTTTATGAAAACTGGCAATTCTATCATTCTTGTCAGCTTTAGTATTGTGTATTTCATATTTGAGCCCTTCCTACTGCACAAATCAGTAATTATTATCTTTGTTCCCATTATTCTGTTGAGACTCTGTAGCAATCAATATCTAATGAGTCTCCTCCTAACTAGAATAAACTGAAAACATGCAAATTACTGCAACTCTTTCTATTCTTTACCACCCTACTCAGGTAATCACCAGCATACTCTGAAGAATACCTTCTAAAAATTACATTTTCAATGACATTCTTTTAAGGGGCTCACATATTAAAAGAACCTAAGAAGCATCTAGAGTCTTGGAGACTTTTACATTTCCCTTGGTTGCATTCTGTTTCAGTGGAATTATTAACCTCTAAATCGTTAGGGAAATTAGAGAGCTGAAAACCATTTAAATAGATCTCAAAGAAAGACCAATGGAATGGATGTCAATTGGTTGATAGTATAAAAGTAATTCCTGGTTGTACTAACGGAACTCCACTAAATTTTGAACTAGCAAATATAAACTCAGTGAAGATGTACACACTTAACATCTTTGTTTCATATATTTTTAGTACAGCTATGAAAATTAAAATTGGTTGTTGCAAGTGGAAATAGTTTTTTTATCAGTACAAAAATGATAAACAGGCTCCCATGAAAACCTAAATGGCAAAAGTAAAAAAAAAAAAATAAATAAACTGCTAAAACGAATTCCAAAGTGCACTTTTGGATGTGATTGTGAGACAAGACCATAAGCTTGTGGCAGTTTTAAATATAAAATTGTAGGGGTGGATTGATGTGTGTGATTATGAATGAACATCTGCATCTTGGCCTGTCCAGACCAATTTATTTGTGAAATAGAAAACAAACCTGATACTCATCAAATTGGCTTATGACTTCCCTAAAAAACTGACTGAATACTTGCTATGGAATATAGTATTAAATATGATTGTCAAACTCATAGTAGATGTCAGTTAATAGAAAATAATAAAATGAAATGTGTAATTACATATGTTAGAAGTATGATGATACTCAAGACTATTCCATAGTATAACTAAAGTTAGATGTATATCTAACTAAAGCAAAGCTCCTAAAAATAGATTTTTCTTTAATTTGAATCAGAATTTTTCCCAAAATAGAGGAATAAAACCTAGAATGATGAATTTAAATCATTAAAATTATCCAGTATATCTAGCTAATTCACTTCATAGATAACAGAGAAAAAAACCTAACCAGGGCGGATCTAGGAATCACATTACCTCTCTTGAGTCCAGTGCTGCTTCCATTACAATTTGCTGCTTAAATGTGTGTTTGTTAGTTTTTGTGTTGTATTTAAGGTAATGATATTTGATTATATTGTTTACGAGAAATTATTCTACAGACTAAGATAGTATCTCCATTTCTTCACCTAAAAAACAATCTATTACTTCAAGTAGCTCATTTATTTTTACAAACATTCTTTTATTTCAGTTTGTTTTCCTTCTCACCTCAGAATTAAAATTCGTTAAAAGCCCATTGAAAAATTATTTCCAGAATGTTTTGTTCTTGCAATACATAAATTTCCCTACCAGTACTATGTATCTTCAATGGAATTTCATGATTTTAGTAACAAATCACTTCTAAGATTAAGAAGTTTAACAAGTAAATCAAGTATCTTTCAGATTATCTTGTTCTCCATAATATAGAGACATAGAATACAAGTTAAAAACTACCTGTCACTTTCTAATTCTTTTTAAAACAACCATTTTTATATTACTGACTCAATCCCTTTTGCTCTGATATGCTTGATGCTTGATAGATGATGATATAATAGACATATCCCCACAGTTATATGCAGGGTTATACCAAATTCATAGAGCGACAGTTGTAGATTTGCCCTTTTCTCATAAACTTTAAAAAGCAAATAAGAACGTAAGCAAGTGAGGGTATTTTCACAAATATCCACATTTAATATATTTTTAGTTGCAAAAAGCTCTTAACACACCACACACCAATTGTCACATCCCAGGATACTTTGACAGATATCTAGCTCACTAGATAGATAGGTAGGTAAGTAGATAGAGAGATGATAGATAGATAGATAGATAGATAATAGATACATAGGTAGGTAGGTAAGTAGGTAGGTAGGTAGGTAGACAGTTAGCTAGATGGAGATAATTTTCTAGAATGATAGTAGTTTCAGAAGGAAAAAGAGGAAGTATGGCAATAAAATTATGTTGGCATTAAATCCTTAATTATTAACCTTAGGACAATTAACTGATGAATTACAAGGAAGGACTGTTGCTTTCAGCCATGGTGGTACAAATGGTGCTGGGTTTCCCTTCACAGTGGAAATAATTACACACTGTCCCAACCATACCAGGCAACTGTTTTTAGGCATTAGAAATTGGCCGGTGCAAAACTGTGATCTTTGAAAGTAGGGGAACACTTTCAAAAGGTGAGCCCTATATTTTCCCAGCTTTTTATCCAAGAGTGCCTTCTGGACCATGATGTAGGGAAGCAGAGCACAAGAAGTTCTGCTTAGGTTAAAAGGCAAAGACTGAAGTTTGGGCTACTGTAGTGGCTAGAAATTGTGGAGCAAATTTTAAAGAATAGGAAAGTGACAAAGGAGGAAACAAAAACATTTGCATGGAAATTCCGGTCTCTGAACCAGAGTTGGGCTAAGTTAGTACAGGGCAAGAATCCACAAGGTCTGGTGGAGAATGTTTGTTTTTTCATGGATAACTGAATAGAGCTATCAGAGGTCATGCAATCTTGGGAGATACTGCAGATCCAGCCAAGTGAGAATGAAGAAATCTCACACAGCACTTCGGGTATCCAGCTGAGATTTTTGGAAGGCCGTGTTTTAGAATGAAGGCTTAAACCCTAGTGTAAGGAGCACACATTAGGACAAGTGCAAAACCAAAACCGATTACCTCCAATAAAGATAAAATCAAACATAGAAGGATCAAAACTATTATCCATTGTTAGTCAACAGGGGCATGCAAATTTAAAAGCCATAAGATGCCTTTTTACAGACTAGAATAGCCAAAGTTAAAATGATTGTCAAAAACAAACACTGGCAAGGATGTAAGTCAACTGGAACTCTAATTTATTCCTAGTGGGAAGATGATATGGTTTGGATTTGTGTCCTCACCCAAATCTCGTGTCAAATTGTAATCCCCGATATTGGAGGAGAGGCCTGGTGAGAGGTGATTGGATAATGGGGGCAGACTTCCCCCTTGCTGTTCTCATGATAGTGAGTGAGTTTTCATGAGATCTGGTTGTTAAAAAGTGTGTAGCCCTTCCCCCTTTGCTCTGTCTCTCCTGCCACCATGTGAAGACTTGCTTGCTTCCTCTTCACCCGTCTGCCATGACTGTAAGTTTCCTGAGGCCTCCCCAGTCTTGCTACCTGTACAGCCTGTGAAACTGTGAGCCAATTAAACCTCTTTTCTCTATAAATTACCCAGTTTCAGGTATTTCTTTAGAACAGACTAATAAAGAGGGTAAAATGGAAGAACTATTTTGGAAAACCATTTGGCATTTTTGAAAAGTAAACATAGATGGCCTTATAACTTAGCCATCCCACTCCTAGGCATATATCAAAAACAAATGAACACGTGTTTCCAAAAGCCTTCTACAAAAATGTTTATTGTGACTTTATTCATAACTGCCATTCATACTTGCCCCAAAAATGGAAAAAAACAAGTGAATAATAATAAATAAATTGCATTCAATCCATTCTATGTTCACTTAGTGAAATACTATTCATGAATTTTTTAAAAAAGAATAAACTATCCATCCATACAAGCAAGAACACAAATTAACCACAAAACTATAATATTGAGAGAAATAATTCAGACATAAGTGAGTATATACTATATGATTTTATATTTATGAAGTTCAAGAGTAGAAAAACTAATCTATGATCTAGTTATTATAGCCTTTCTCACCTATGGTTTAGGAATTGCCTGGAAGATTAACACAAGAGAACTTTCTGGGAAAATGGAAATGTTCAATATCTTCATGTGATATTCATAACTTAATAATTGGTTAAAACTCCTCAGATGGTACACTTTCGATCAGTTTATCTCAATGTATGTATATTTTACCTTAATTTTTAAAAGGGTAATATAGAAGGACTATAGAGAAAATTTTCATTAGTCAAAATGCCCTAAAAGAGCCTAGTAGTAAAAATATGCTTTTGTCTTGTTACTAAAACAAAATTAGTAAGAAATAAAAGAAAAAAATGGGATATAAGATAACAGAGATGGAGAAAGAGAGAATTCCTTAGGAGAAATGTTGAGATCTCAGAAGACAGGCTTTATATATATATGAAAGGAAAAATGAGACCTTGGAGGCCAGAAGAAAAAGAGAAAAGAATTTATTCTTCTTCAAAGGAGAAGGAATAAAACAAAGGAAATGCAATGCCAGGGGTACATCCCACTCAAAAAAATAAGGAAGAGAAAGAAATACCTCTTAAAGCCTAGAAATTCAAAAGCTGAGGAGAGATGGTCTTGAAAAGTAAATGGCAACCTTAGGGTTCTAACTCAAATCCTGGTATACAGGATTCAAAAACATCAACAGCAACTTCAGCTCAGAAATCCACTAGAATAATTCTGCAGTTAAAAAGTAAAATAAAGGAATGAGGGAAAGCCTTCCCTAAGATACTAGTTTCATATATATAAGAAATTGTAGAACAAGAGCCAGTGAAAGCAGCAATTGTGCAAAACAAATGCCAGCTTGCATTTGGTGCGAAAGCTGCATCATTAAAGAGAGTTCACGTTTGTCATGATTTTGGCATGTCAAAGTTCAAAGAGGCTGTGTAAATAAAGAGATCTGAATATGCTATAATATATAAGAAAGAAAAGCAGTTTACTACATTCTAATGTCTGGGACCTCTAGTCTTACAAATACATAAGTACCTCAAATGCCCCCATCTGAGAGAAGAGGTATTTTTTGTTTGATATGGTAAATGTACAGTGCCACTGGGTTCTCAGACACAAAGTGAAGATAAATCTAGAAATATATTGTCTACTTTCCTTCCCTTGTACACATACAAAAAAAGTCCTTCCTATGATCTTTAGCCAATGGTAATGTGCCAGCTCTTTCTTACTTTCTGCTGACAGCTTATTGACCATGGTTCATACTAAATGTAAGGGTGGTTATATAGTTCTCCCAGGGGACCTAGAGGTTAGGACACAAAAATGAATTCTAGCCAATGGAACCATTTTCCAAAGCCAACAAATTTATGAAATGAAGACTAATAGTGGTTAAGATCAGCATCTAGGGTCAGAGTGCCTGGATTAAAATCCTGGCTCCATCATCCAACAACTGAGCAACTTTAATTTTCATATGCCTCAGTTTCCTATCTATAAAATAGACATAAGAATAATACCTATTGCATACAATTGTCATAAGGATGCAAAGAGTTAACACCCATAAAGCATGTACCACAGATCCAGGGATATAGAAAGTGTTCAATATATATGTTGGTTTTAACAACTTGACTGTCCTTCAGCTGGGTAACCTTCTACCTAGAGGTGAAATGGTTGCTTGTTCTTGGCTGCAGTCTCTCAACCTTGCTTTTCTGCTCAACATGAGAAATATTAAGCCACAAAAAATATTTTTCTGAACCAATTTGATCTGATTCACTTAAAAGAAAGTTCAGCTAGTAAATGTAATAATTTGAAATAACAGATTTTTCTAAAATTGAATTCAAACCCATTTTAATAGAAAAAAATAATAATAGCAGCAAACATTTGTATAGCTACCATATAATAAGCACTTGACAAATTATTTCATTTAATGTTTACAATCACTAAGGGGAACAATTACTATCAATAACTGCATTTTATAGATGAGGACAACTTTACTTGGAAGACTTTGTAAAACAAACTATTAGAACAGTTCCAGGTACTATGTCACAACTGTGGTTATCACAGCTGGGTTGAGTGTCTGTGCCCAAGAGTGTCAAAGGATCTTTATTTCTACTGAAGAAATAGTTACCAGACAGGGTAGTGGTGATGTGGGAAGAGTCTCAAATCACCTAACTGTTTTAGTGGAAATATCAGTAGTTGACAGAGTGGAGTTGAGCTGCTTATGATGAGTTGCTCACTCATCACAAGTCAGAAACTATGGAGAATGCAAATAACAATTAGAATTTATTTGGCAATGCATGTAACAGACACTTTAAGACCTCCCCAAGAACTAAGCAGTAGCTGGAAGGGATGGAGAAATATGTACTTTTTCAAGAGACTGAAATTCAAACCAAAGAATTTTAGGTTTAAATGTGATTTGGCCTGAGGACATTTGGGTCATAGATATTGTATAACAACTTAATCAGTTCTACTAATAAAGAATATATTCATCTACTGCATGCAAGCTTATTGCCAGTGTGTGCCAGCCATCCAAGATGAAGAATTAAGAAACACAGTCCTAAATAAAAGCAGAATATTACTCAGCCTAGTGTAAGCAGCCCAAAAGCCAGCAGCATTGCTTAATGGGATTATGTTTAATCTGAAAGGACACCACTAGAGATAATGTAAAACATCCAAAGGCCTGAAGTGGCATTGAAATTATTCAACTCCTGGACTGCAGGAGCTTTTAATCAGGGCCCCTGGAATGCTGCAGCAATTTAATAAGTTTAAATTGGTTTCACTTGGATAGATCCAGATTTGTGTTGCAGATGTTATCCCACCCAAATCTCCTACACAGGTTCATCAAAAAGGGGATCATGCCTAAGCAATCTGTGGAAATTAAAAAAGAAGTAAATGCCAAAACTCGAATCTAGAAAGAGGAAGGTGTCAGATAGAAAAGTTTACCAAAGAATAAGCCTGTGAGTGTTCTGCCTTTAGACTAAATAAAATGTCTGTAATGCTTCAGTTTACTAAATCATTCTTTGTTTCAATGTATTAAATGTTTGTACAACATTTTAACATAAAAATGTTAGTATACATATTTGAGATAAAACTATAAAAATCAACACAGTCAAAAATAGTAAATTGAAATGAATTCAATAGAGGTGCACACACAATAAGAAATGTATAGAGTGTAAATTTAAATGTAAAAAGTTGGTCTTCATGCAGAAGAGAGAAGAGGTGATTTTTAGGGGTCAGAAGTTCTGCATAAGCAATCTCTGTCCTTAAGCTGTGGAAAAAAATCAATTCATATCTATACTCCTAAACTGAATTAGGATTTTAAATGCCTATCACCATGTATAAAAGAATTCATCTCACTTCCAAACAAAGAACACTGAACAGGGCAACAATTAGTTGATTAATTATTCATCACATCGCCAATGTTCTTACAAAGAAGGAAATATACAAAGCAATCGCCTACATTTTCTTACTTTCACAAGGACATTTGCTAAGTGCCTATTAAATGAATGTAACTAATCATGGTATATCAGTGCAAACTGTGCATAAATACATCAAAAATCAAATCACCAATCCATTCAACCCGTAAAATCCAGCAGGTGGTCTGAAGAACATTTAAGAACAACTAATCTACTAAGCAACCTTCATCACCCACTAAATAACCTTCAGCAAGAGCCTTAATTGTATGCAGGTGCAGATAATTGTACCCAAAATAGTTAAATGGTCACATCCAAAGGTATTAAGTATACATAATTTTGAAATGAAGGATAGAAGAAAAAGAAACTAACTTTTATCCCTAACCTCTGGGACAAAATACATTACTCCAGATCATAAACAACCTTGATGGCTAAGGTATTAACTTAGGTCAGTCTATCACCAAAGTCAAAATTCTCACTATGTCCTTCCATGTAAAAAGGCATTGACTCTACTTAGAAATATGCCTCTTCTTGAATCTTGTCTTACGTCTTCTTTCTGGGTGCCCTGTTCAAAATCTAACCATTCTAGTTCCCCCAATAACTACATTGTGATATAAGTTACCATTTGAAAGTACATTCCATGCTCATGGATAGGAAGAATCAATATCCTGAAAATGGCCATACCACCCAAAGTAATTTATAAATCAATGCTACACCCATCAACATACCCTTTACTTTCATCACAGAATTAGCAAAAAAAAAACTACTTTAAATTTCATATGGAACCAAAAAGGAGCCTGTATAGCCAAGACAATCCTAAGCAAAAAGAGAAAAGCTGGAGGCATCACACTACCTTACTTCAAAATATACTACAAGGCTACAGTAACCAAAACAGCATGGTACATGTACCAAAACAGATATATAGACCAATATAACAGAACAGAGGCCTCAGAAATAATGCCACATGTCTACAACCATCTGATCTTTGACAAACCTGAGAAAAACAAGCAATGGGAAAAGGATTCCTTATTTCATAAATGCTGTGGGGAAAACTGGCTGGCCTATGCAGAAAACTGAAACTGGACCCCTTCCTTACACCTTATACAAAAGTTAACTCAAGATAGATTAAAGACTTAAACATAAGACCTAAAACCATATAAACCCTAGAAGAAAACCTAGGAAATACCATTCATGAAATAGGCATGGGCAAAGACTACATAACTAAAACACCAAAAGCAATGGCAACAGAAGCCAAAATTGACAAATGAGATCTAGTTAAACTAAAGAGCTTCTGCATAGCAAAAGAAACTATCATCAGAGTGAAACAGCAACCTACAGAATGGAGGAAATTTTGGCAATCTAGCTATCTGACAAAGGGCTAATATCCAGAATCTACAAGGAACTTCAACAAATTTACAAGAAAAAACAAACAACCCCATCAAAAAGTGGGTGAAGGATATGAACAGACACTTCCCAAAAGAAGACATTTATGCAGCCAACAAACATATTTAAAAAAAAAGGTCATCATCACTGGTCATTAGAGAAATGCAAATCAAAACCACAATGAGATGCCATCTCATGCCAGTTAGAATGGCAATCATTAAAAAGTCAGGGAACAACAGATGCTGGAGAGGATGTGGAGAAATAGGAATGCTTTTATACAGTTGGTAGGAGTGTAAATTAGTTCAACCATTGTGGAAGACAGTGTGGCAATTCCTCAAGGATCTAGAACCAGAACTACCATTTGAGCCAGCAATCCCATTACTGGGTACATACTCAAAGGATTATAAATAATTCTACTATAAAGACACATGCACATTATGCTTATTGCAGCACTATTTACAATAACAAAGACTTGGAACCAACCCAAATGTCCATCAATGATACACTGGATAAAGAAAATGTGGCACATATACACCATGGAATGCTATGCAGCCATAAAATAGGATGAGTTCATGTCCTTTGCAGGGACATAGATGAAGCTGGACACCATCATTCTTGACAAACTAAACAGGAATAGAAAACCAAACACCACATGTTCTCACTCATAAATGGGAGTTGAACAATGAGAACACACGGACACAGGGAGGGGAACATCACACACTGGGGCCTGTTGCGGGGTGGGGGACAAGGTGAGGGATAGCATTAGGAGAAATACCTAATGTAGATGACGAGTTGATGGGTGCAGCAAACCCCCATGGCACGTGTATACCTATGTAACAAACCTGCATATGTACCTATGTAATAAGTTCTGCACATGTATCCCAGAACTTAAAGTTTAATAATAACAAAAAAGAAAGTACTGCAATAAGGCTTCCAGATTCATGATGGTATAATACAAAAATATCTCTACCCACTTCTCATCTCAAAAATAATCCCCCCAAAAATCAATAACCTAGGAAGGAAATACAAATCCATCTTTAAAAAAATTCTAGATGATGTCTGTAATTCCAAATTACAAACTATGAAGACTGAAAGAATACAAGGAAGAGGTACAATTACTTAGCATAGGGGAGGAAGAGCAATCCTAAGTATGTGGAGGGTAGGTGTTTTGGTGGATTTGACCCCAGATGTTCCAGTTTCCTTATCAATAAAATGAAAATAATAATAGCATATAACAGTATTGTAATAATCAACTGAGAAAAGAAATTTGGTGTGGGTATAGAAATGGAGTATAGAGATGCTACAGAAAATCTCACTGCAGAAGTTTACTAGCCTTATCAGGGTAGTTGGAAATATAGCCCTTAAGCTCCTAAGGACCATAAAGGCTACTGATACAGATTTGGGAGCTACCAGCACACAAATTACAGTTAAAGCTGTGTGATGAGGGATAGGGAAGGAGTGGGATAGGGAAGGAGTACAGCAGATGGGACAAATAAACACTCGATAAGTAAAAATAATTATAAGAATATTTAAAGTAATAGTTAAAATAATTAAAATTTGAGAACATAGGACCAGACACTGGGCTAACGATCTTACGTTTATTTCTCCTTACTTCTGGCAAAAGCTACATTTGCTGGATAACTCTTGTTTTGATTTTACTGATGAGAAAATTGAAGATTGTATGGTAAGTTTTCATTGCCATTGATATTATTGTCTTTCCAAGCTATAGCTGGAATGCATGATGATGTGCCACTCAGGTTGTGTTGAGCTGTACTATATTGTGCTGTGGGAGATATAAGGCATTTTAAAGTTCATTGGCCAGTCAGATGGAAGGGTGCAGATAGTCAAGCACAACTGAACAAACAGTAGCTCAGTAATATCTGGAAAATGAAGGAAGAGAGTATCTTGAGATAAGAAGAATTGGAGCCATCCCAGACTCCTCTTGGTATATAATGATGACCTCCCCTTCAGGAATATGACTTTAATAAATGGCTACACATGAACATAAAGGAGCTGGACAAAAAAAAAGGCAAGAGCCAATGGTATACATTAAAGTCAGCTAGATAAAGGCTGAATGGGTGAAATACACCAGAAATAAAACTAGAAAAAAAAATCATTTGTTTAGAAAAGATAGTTTCCTCTGTCAGATCAAAGCCAAATGAATCTATTTTAGCAGAATACATTTAAAAATAAACATATTCATATAAATGGAGTTTGAATCAGTCTGTGTATTTCTAGGGTACTCAGAGATAAAGATGAATGTTATCCAGGACCTTAGCATGTCAGAAGATATTTTCAATTAATAAGCCTATAACAAAGCCATAAAGTGTAACCCTTTCTCCAGACATGAGTTGTATGAAATGCATTGATCATAAAGAGGACAAATTTGGAAATGTGTAGTTTTAGAACAAATGTTGGAAAATAATTCAGTCTCAGCCCTATCAGAAGCCTTTAAATGCTTGCATTATATTTCTTTCCCTTGCTTTTTCTGTTTTCTCTTCTTAATTTGATATAGACCTTCATTTATTTTCTCCAATATTCATCAAACCTGCTTTCAAGAAAGGATCAGTTATTCACAAATTGTTCTCTAAAGAGCCAAATGTTTGGCTAAACACAGAAATCCTAAAATATAAAACATTTAAAAAAATATTTTTTCAATGTACACCTAGCCAAAGTGCACTAGTCATGAATAACCATATCACTTGAAATGTAATCACTAATTCAAACATTTAGTATAAGTGGAAGTATGTCAAAGATGGCTAACCAACCACAGAAATTGAAACTTCCCCTGTCACAGGGAAGCAGAACCTGAACATAGCTATAAGCTGCCTCCCTTGCGTTGAGGCGTAGCTACAGGGATCGATTTCACCAGCAGAATAAGAGCAACAGTGATGTTGTTTGTACAATGTGATCTGGGTTCCAAGAATTATAGGAAGATGCTACTTGGGTTCTGGAGGCTGCCCATCAACGAGAAACATTTGCATTTATAGTTACATAAAAGAAAATAATCTTTGATTTTATTGACTACATAATTTTGTTTTTGATGTTCTTGCTGTCGCAGAAGTGTTGCAAACTTGTTTTCTATGGTTCTAATGTTATTTGTTTTTTGTTTTGGTTTTGATTTCATTTTTTTTAACAAAAAGTTTTGATTGCTATAGCAGAATCCCTAAAAGTTTCTCAGAGTAGAAAACTTTGGGATGTTGCAAACATGTAAATATTCTTGGAGGCAAATAAATTATGATTTATCGGTTATATGCCACTCCTCAGCACATGTGTAAGCATTTTCCATGTATTACCTCATCATAGCCTCACAGTAGACTGTAGAATGAACTAGATTCTGAATTCTCCTAATTTCCTCTAATATTTGGCTACAAACTTCCAACTGAGAACAAAAACTGCTCTGTTCCTAAAGCCCTATTGGCTGTAACTAGTTGAATTTTAAGGGATAAGGCTCCTTTTGATATATGGGTCACACAGAAAGTTCATCCAACCACCTGATGTCATAACCAGAGACATTCAAACTGCAAACCAGGACAGGGAGCTGACATTTTCACACAGTTGACAGCTTTCCCCAAGATATCAGAACAAGACTCCATGTCACAATGAGACTCTTACCCCCTTAATGCTACCTTTTTCACTTGACAAGATAATGGTGTAATTGAAATTTCACAGTCAGTAGCTTCTGAAGATAACTTGACAGAACCTGACCTAAGAGATCTGTTAGTATCTGTTGGCTAAATAAGGAAATATCTCTGCTATTGCTAATACTACAAATTGTACCTGGATAAATTACTCTGGGAAAGTTGAGACCCACATACACAGAAGAAGAAAACAGGCCATATAGCTGTAACAGGTCACCCTAATTTCCCATGATCATTTGATTTTTTCAACTGGTTGCCTTTAAGCCTAGGCTCATGGCTCAAAACTATTATGCAAAGTGGAATTGTCATATAACCACTAATTTTACTTTGTATTTTCCCTTTTTAAACTTTGTATCTGAGACTTGTTAAATTTTCTTAGAAGTACAACTCCTAAGACAATAATGCTGTCCCAACACCTTGAGATGATAGGAAATGCCTATTAGACAGAACTGAACATAATGGACAACTCCAAGTAAACATTTCCTCAGAGCCACTCCTTTTAAACTGCATTTCTCTAATGTGGCTGAAAGAATTTTAACACCAACTCCTAGTTGCCAATAACTTCTCCCAATATGGAACCAGACCAGCAATCCAGGAGAGGTCTATCTTGGCACAAAGGGACAATCAAAACCTAACTACAGGATGATTGATCACTGATACTTTCAGAGAAAGATTGTGAAGTGGGAAATGTAAAAGTTGTTGAAATCAAAATGGAGTCACTTGTGGTTGGTTGTGGGGGTGCAAGGAGAACCTGACAGATAGAGCCAAGAAAGGCCATGAAGGGAGGGTTCTCAAACTTAAATGCCCGACAGCAGAAACTATCACAAAAGATGGCAAAACCCAGAGTCATGCACTGAAGCCATTGCAACCTTGCACAAAAAATATTTCTGCAAGAACATCTTCCCTGCAATTACCTGTCCAACCTCAGATTGGTGCCACTCTTGTTATTAATCCTTGTAGCCAATGATACTTATCTTAAAACAATTATGTAATCCTCCTCATTTTTCCTTTAAAAACCTTAGTCTTTTTTTTCTTCCCTGAATATGCACATAATTTATTATGGCACAGGAATTAGCATCACAATGTCCTATTTCCCCAAAAATATTGTTTTCTTTTACAAAGCCTCTGATTGTTATTTAGGTTAAAAATTTCATGAAATCAAGTAAGCTCAGGATCAAAGCCTACATTCCTCACTCAAAAAAACATCTACAATTCACTGGACTAATTTATTATTTAGTCAGAATGACCACCATTTACTTCAATCAAGCAAAAACCCATGAACTTAAAGGGTTTATTAAGTATTCCTTCAGCCACATATAATATGCTTCCTTAAAGAATCTCTGTTAACTATAACTCTCTTTATCCCCTTACATTTTCAATGGTGCCACAGCATTCCAACAACACATTAAAGACCTCATAGATGGAGGCTCAGCCAGCTTCCCCACTGGTCACCCATCAATACAGCATTGAGTGTTTTAGCCAGACTATTGTTGAAATATATGTGTCTAAATTGTTAGGGAAGCAACTGAAGAGGTGATGAACTAGGAAAATAAAGAAATATAAACTTCTAGATGGTACAGTAAATTAAGAAGGCAAGAAAAGAAAGGCAAGTAGGAGTGAGGGTATGATGGTTTGCTTTCCCTAATAGGTACAGTTAATCTCTTAAGTTCTTTGTTTTTACTTCAATTATGGCTTGCATAAGTTTTGTCTCAAAATACTGTCATTTGTGTACTTATCTCTTCTTTCATATTATAGATTATTTAAAAAACAGGGACAGGTTCTTGTTTATCTTTGCACCTTACTCAGTTTTTAACAATGTATATATTGTATAGAGTTATCTTGAATGATTCACATTGAATAAAAATTTCAGTGTTTTCAAATTGAAAAACATTGAAGGTAGAGAGGAATTACTGGAGTTCAAGATCTTAAAGGGGTAGACATCCATCAAACTAATCAAAACCCAAGGATGTTTACGAAGTGAATGGCTGATTTTTGATGTTGAATGTAATTGGGGAATTTGAAGAACTCTGAAAACAAGGTATTATAGGGCTTGATTAATATTAAGGATTCTTAATTACTAAAATAATGTGTGAAGTTGGGAGTAAGAAGGAAATTATAAGATGGGTGTTTATAGAAATAAAGGATAAAATATAGATGCTAATAGACAACAGTCGTAAGAAAAAGGACAAGTGTTATGATCAGAAAGTGTGGACTTTTCCATGGTGAACAGGTATAAACAAACCCACCCAAATGTTCCAAGGGAGCCAAGGGGCTGAATAAAGAGGCTAACGAATCCAGCTTCTCAGAAATAAATATTCAATATGGCCTTATAAACAGAAGTGATGTTTTGGGCAGTTACAAGATAGTGGACCCCCTCATCCGCCTCCAGAAAATATTCTTTATATAGCAAGCTTTTAGGGCAAAACACGGGCAGCTGGTCATATCTTCAGAGCTTCTTGCCAAGACTGATGATAACTGAGGAGTATAGACAGGTATCTTTATAAGGGGTTATCTATGCCACAATCAATGTTTAATGACCTTACTGCAGCACACCTTGGTATGTGAGGGTCAAACACCAGTCCTTATAGTGGTTTTGCTTCAAGATGCCATCACATTTGCCTTGCAACAGTTTGTTTTCCTACATGAACAATTTTTTTTTAATGGCCTGGTCAGTGATGGTGTCATATCAATAGTCTAGACATGATGGCAGAGAACATGGAAATTATTGTCTTCATTTTAGTTTTATAAGAGTTGAAGATTTTCTTGCAAGTAGGACACAACACAATGACACTCAAATAGATAAAAGTTGGAACTCTTTGTTGCATAAAACTCCAGTGTAGAGCAGCCTGCCAGTCAGGGCCGTACAGGGATTGCTCCCCAGGACAGGGTAGTAGTTAGCTAAGCTGGAGCTGTAAGGGGCATCTAAAGTAATGGCAAGCAGTGTTGAATTAACCCAGTTTCCAGGGCTTCCAGCCCTGTGGATTAGCTAATTGAAATAATTTTAGTTTTCAGCTTCTAGGGCATACGGGCTGTCTCTACAGAGAAGAAGCAGCTTCCTTTCATGCCAGGATTAAAATTCATAGTTGGTTGCTCCATTTATCTGTTCTTCACTTGAGAATTTTGGAGCCACATTAAGGGAGAATCTGAAGGCATTTGATCAAAGTCTGTATCATCATGGATAAACCTTTAACAAATCATACAAATACAGAATTAAAGTTATCCCTTGAAGCTTCAGAGAAATATTTTTAGAACATAATAAAGCAAAATTGTTCAAAGTTAGGACTATAAAGTGTATGGAATTCCTAAATCTGAGTCCTCTATGCATCAACTGCAGACCTACTGTCAACAGATCCCCTGTTAATTCCCAGCGTATTGACTGAAATGGGACACATCCTGATGATGTTATGTGGGAACTCTGAAGAAATGCTCCTCTATTCTGACTGACCTCTCAGAGTGCCATCTATACCCTCATACACACACCTACAAACAAACTTACAAGCCAGATCTCTGCTAACATTTTTACTGGAGATACTATTTATTGCAGTAGATTTGATCACCTATCTTCAAGAGGAGATAAAAGAATAATGGTCATATGTACAACTATGGTGTTTGTTAACTTGTGTATAATATTTCCATAGGAATTTATGAATATATAGAAAGGGTTGAAGTATATCTTAAACATTTGAGGTTGAAATTCATAAGAAAAACCACATAAACATCCTTAATGCCACTATTAGATATTTAACACTGACCTAAATACCCACTGATATTACCTAATTTAGCATATTTTTATGTTCTGATATCGATTTTTTTTAAACAAAACATGTTTGAGAAAATTGCATTGGACAAATTAAACAGCAAGAAAAAAATTCAAGATGATTGCAATAAAGGAGAGATATTTAACTCAATTGAAATAAAAGACGAGACAGTTTTTAAGCACTAGGGTGAGCTACTGGAAAAATACTAGAGGATTTTAGGGAGGAAGCTTCGTCAGTGTGATTAGACCCTCTGTGTTTGCTAATTGGCACTTATTGAAGTTAGGCTCCAATACTCTCACAGAGAGTGGGAGATAGGGGCCCTGTCTTTCTTGATGATTACATTTCAAGGCATGGCTCCTAGGTCCTTGAGAAAGACATTGCTTGGGTTGTAAAACTGGCAAGAAGATTTACATCTAAGAGAGACAAAGAATTTACACTTCCAAGTTTTCTAAAGTAAATGCTCTAAGAAAAGGAAAGTGCAGGAACTTATAGTCAGGAAGAAACCTGTCTAGTCAAGCTGAGGGAAACTTTTAAGCCATCTTGTCACTGAAGGTCACTTGAAAGAGAAATTTTTATCCTTGCAACCACATGATAAATTTTAATTGTTTATTTTCTTAGCTATGTGAACTACTGCCCCTTCACACAATATTCATTCATCAATTTATTCACATACATATCACATATCTATAACCACACACTGGACTGTTTTTTTTTTTTTTTTTTTTTTTTTTTTTGAGACGGAGTCTCACTCTGTAGCCCAGGCTGGAGAGATTGCAAACTTTTATAAGGAATTTAAATACTGAGAAAACAAAGAGAGGAGTAATAAACAAAATTACCCCAGGAGAGTAAGAAAAGTATAGTTGCCAATACACGTTTTCTTGTAAGTTAGGTACATGTTTAATTTTCACAGACTATGATATTTCAAGTGATTTTCAGGTATAACTTACTATTTAAAAAAATGAACTGAATCATTTCACAAAGAGTACATTTTTTTCTAAATCATCTATCTTTTAAATATACATTTAAAAATCAGATGTTTCTGAGGATGAATTCATATTCTGAATTTTTAAAAAAACTTACAGATTTTATAAAACACAGAGCTATATTTTTTCAGATATTTATTTCATTAAAGAAAATGTACTTTGTTTGGCTTTTTATTTCCTGTTTTGTTCCATTCTTGACTTGAATTGCTTTTGTTGTTGAAAACTGACTTTAAATACTATTTTATTTGCTTTAGCTACAAGTCATTTTTTTTTCCTTAAAACAGGAATTGCTTTTGTAATGCACACTTTTTGACCTTTCTTAGTCCATTGTGTTTCTGTAAAGGAATACCTGAGGCTGGATAATTCATAAAGAAAAGAAGGTATCTGGCTCACGACCCTGTTGGCTGAAAGACTGGGCATCTGGCAAAAGCCTCAGGCTACTTCCACTCATCGCAAAGGCAAAAAGGAGCGGGTGTGTGCAGAGACCACAGGACAAGAGGGAAGCAAGACAGAGAGGGGAGGTGCCAGGTTCTTTATAACAACCAGCTCTCATGTGAACAAATACAGTGAGAACTCCTTTAAGGGAAGGCATTAATCTATTCGTGAGGGTTCTGCCCCCACCACCTGAACACCTCCCATTAGGCCCTACCTTCAACATGGGGAGTCAAATTTTAACATGAGATTTTGAGAGAACAAATATCCAAAACATAGCAATTTGTCCATTTTATTTTCCCTCCTAGCTCAGCCAAGCTAAACCACAGATGAATTTGGTTCTAGGTTCTGGTCTTCTTGGTCATTCTAGAAATGGAAAAGTCACTTGGCAGTATGACTTTAAAGGATTCCTGCTGTTGACTAACATATACATATGTAAACAATCCATTATTTATTAATGAAAGTCAGATTCCGAAAAGACCAAACAGAGAAGAGAGGATGAATATCTATCTTTGGAGATGAGATTCTTAAAAGAGATTTTTACGGAAAATGTTTTTAAAACTCATTTATTTTCATTAAATGTACCCACAGTTATTAGCAACGAATACACTGGGATGTAGCAATGGAGATGCAAGAAAAAAAGAAAGGCCATTTTCTGCTTAATTGCAAAACAATAAGAATTTCCCTGTGTCCCTTACATTTTTCAAACACTAAAACTTTTTATATCACTTGGGTCCATTACATTTTTGAAACACTTCAAAACATTTACATAACAATGTGATGGAGTAGCATCACATTGTAATGCTTGGAATGTGTCTAATTCACTTTACAATAACTAAACCAACTAAACATACACTGATATTTTACACCACACATGTATTTATTGAATTTTGCTTCTTGTTATATGAGATATAAAAAAGCCTTATAAATTATTGAATGCCTAACAAAATAACTGAACTTGACGATTTTCTAAAACTACATATAAAAAATTCAAGCTTTCTGAGAGCTAGCCTTTTCATTTGAGTGGTAAGGGGGAACCATTTTAAGACAGAAAACAAGTGAAATTTTTCATATATAAAGGCAAGGTTATTGATTTTTAAAATGGTAGCTGTGATATGATTAGAGTGCCACCTAGTGGTGAAGTGTATTAGACCAGTTGTGTTTCTGCAGTTTCTCACAAGGCAGTTCCCTTATTTTCCATCTGTCTAGGAACGGAGTGAGTTGCATTGCCTGAGTACAAGATAAAGCATTAGGAGATGGTTGTAGTTCTGATGGGAGAGCTTCCAGACAACACAGAAGACAAATATATACAACCTGAAAGCTAACAGTGTCATTTTATAGTTTCTTCAAACCTGGCAGTGTGGAGGTGATTCAGAGAAGCCCCTGAGGCCATCTGGTCATTTTTCCCCACTACCTTCAGGCAGTGATTTTGGCTGTGCAGAATGTCAAAGATTTCACTAATCTACAGAAACAATAGTTTCTTGGCTTCCCTTAGAAACACTTGCCAATACTGAGTCACTCTCACTGCCTGGAAACATGTCCTTATTTCTAATTAAAACTCAGAACGTTATAATCTAAATTATTTTATCTTGTTCTTTCCTCAATGGGATTAGAGAAAGAATTAGACAAAGAGTCTATGGATCATCTAGTTAGAGCTGAAAGAATGCCTAGAGATACAACAGGCCATTTTATAGATGACAAAATAGCAGCTCATTTTTTTAAAGCAAATTGCCTAAATTGGAAGAGAAAATTAATGCCAGGGCCGGGTGAGCATCTAGACCTGACTTAAAATCTAGCAGCCTTTCTACTTCCTAACGGTATGCCACCCTACTTTGGGTATGGTCATCTTGATCATTGCAGTCAAATACACAAGATGTGTGGTTTGCTCTCAGGCTTTCTTCTTAAGATAGTAACACTATTATTCTCTCCTCTGACACTTGTCAGAATTTCCGCCTAGTTATTTTTATTCCTAGTATGTAGTGTCTAGCACAGCATAAGCACACTGCAGTCATCTAATATTTATAGATTAGCCCTTCCCATCTTAGCTACATCTCTAGCCATCTTTCCTTCCTGTTGTGCTTATCTGAGATATGCTCAACAGAAGAAAATAGCCTAAATATGGCCAGGATTTGCAATAAGCATTGTTTCATTTTAAATAAGTTAAGAACAAATCATCCTCATTTTCACAGCCCATCAAGTTGGACTTAAGCAAAGTTTGATATCAGATACAAAATGTGAATACCAACTTCTGTGGATTAAAAATGGCAAGTAATGATTTATTAATGAAAAAATGTAAAATCTTCATATTTTCTTATGGTTTCTGTAAATATAAAGATAAAATCCTTACTGCCAGAAATTACAAATATATTTGGTGGTTCCTCCTACAGGGTATTAGCCATGTTTATACCTATATCCGCCTTTTGCTCATTGACTTGTAATATATATGCCTTTGTTATATGGTTTCTGGGTTTTGCTGTTGCTCCTAGAATCAAATTCCTAACTGTATGTAAAAATATTAATTCATTCAACAAGAGTTTTCTAAAGATATTGGCTGCTTTTAAATGTTACATAAGGTCTTTCAAAGAATCAAGTTACTATTGGTTTTGCTGCTTTTGTTGCCACTTAGAATCGCTGACCTGTAAGACACTTATATCTAGAACCAATTTTTCATTTTGTTGCCAACTCAAACATATATGAAATGGCAGGTAAACACCCTGGCATGAAAGAAGAAGAACACTAAAAAAAAAATCACTGTACTTTCAAGGGACGTGTGAAAGAAAGCTTGTGAAATTGAGTTATATGCAACAAAAACCTGAGTAGGATTACATAAGACCCCTCAAAAATCTCAGCCAAAGAAATTCTCATCTATATCTTACAGCATATTCTATCATGATTGTCTTCATTTCTCTTTGACTGAAAAAAATACATGCAGAGGGATGAGGGGTAGGGAGATGTTGATCAAAAAATACATAATTTTGGTTAAATAGGAGGAATAAGTTCAGGAGATCTATCTTACAACATGGTGATAATAGTTAATAATATATTGTATTATTTTAAAATGCTAAAAGGGTGAATGTAAAGTGTTCTCATCACAAAAATGATGACTATCTGAGGTAATGTATAATTAGCTAGATTTAGTCATTATTGCATATATACTTTGAAACATCATGATGTAAATTTTAAATTCACACAATTTTGTATGTCAATTTAAAAGTAAAAGATAAATACATAAAAAGAGGGGCCTAAAATAAATAGCTTGGGAATGAAGTTTCCTGTAAGAATCCCCTACCCCAAAAAATACGTTTAAAGCCCAATTCACAAAATATTCCTTAATATCTGTAAATCACTTTTAAAGTCTAAAGTTAAGTATAATGTTGAAAAAAGATGTGTAGTTTCTTGTTCAAACAAAACGATTACAAAAACAAATAACCTGGAAATGAGAGTAACTTTTCTTTAACAATCAAATAATTCTTTATTGAATTGAAGATTAATTTCAACTGCAAGGAAAATATCAATAAGTAAGAGCACATACTTCTACCAGTACATCTAGAAAACTGTAATTTAATTATATCAATCTGTTTCCCCCACTACTCTAAGCCCCTGAGGGACTATGTCTTATTATTCTTCATATCTCCATCATTGAACATACTATCTGTCACAAAAATTCAATAAATGTTTGTCCAAATAAACTATACCAAAGTGCTTATTGAATTGGTGATTAGAGTCAGAAAAGCCTTGATGTTTTTTCTCCTCTTAGAAATACAATAATCCACAGAAGTTGGTATTCACATTTTGTATCTGATATCAAACTTTACATAGGCCTGGGATGTAGATGAAAAAATAGTCAAGATTTTGTTTCATTTTGTACATGTTGAATTGAAACTTACATTAATAAAAATGGAAGAAGAAGATTCTTTTTATTCCCCTAATATGTCCCAGAAGTTCCTACCTCTGAGACTTTGGTGACATTTATTTTCTTAGTCCAGTAAATATCTCTCCCTGTCTTACCATCTAGTGTTGTCTACAACTATTATCCAACACTCAAGGCCCAACTCCAATCGTACCTCACCCATGAAGTATAGCATCATGTCTGCAAACCTTGGAATCAAATGGAACTGAGTGTAATTATCCAAGTTTTCATTTTACATCTGTAAAATGTACGTCATTGTGAAGAATACATTTTAAGCCTCTAACACTGTAGCTGAAAATACATATTTCTGGCACTTTATGTTTTGGGGTATACGATACCATAACTGACACCTATATGCATTGAACAAACTCATATAAATCTCTGGACATTTGCCCCAGAATTTACCCTGCTAACTTTATTTACCTGGCTGTTAATGTTTTTGTCATTGTACGCTTGTTTTGATACGTGCCTTCTTATTGAGTTTTGGCTTGGCTTATTGAACTTTATTCCTATAGTCTCCTCAATCCTGTTAATTTGTGGTCATTCTTGGCCTTAGGTGAAAAACTCCTCCTTCATTTCCAACACCTTGTACTATTCCCTTCAGCTCCCCTACTATTAGGAAAGGAGAACTTGGGGAGTAAGCACTGATCTTTGAGCAGTCACTCTCAAAGTGAATCTAAAACCTTGCCCAAATTAGATAGAGACCAAACCTCTCCTACTTATAGAGAGTTTTGATTTCAAGGTAGAAGGCATATACAAGCCAGGAGAAATTCCAGAAAGCTAAGACTTCTAGCAAGACGATTGGCCCCAGCACTGTAGAGCGGTAAAAAAGATGAAAAGTAAAGAGAAGTACTACTCCAGATAATCAGAAAAAGATCAACAGAGGACAATATATTTGAGTAAAGACCAAAAGAAGTCAGGATGCAAATCATGTGATTACCTGAAAGATAAGCAGTTCATGACAGAGGAAAATATATAATTTCTGGACATTGAATCTTTTTTTATGTTCAAAGGGTAACAAGTAGACTAGTGGGATAGAGAAGAGGGAGGCAGGAGAAAGCGTTTAGGAAAAAGGTCAGAAGAGCCAGCTAATATAAGGCCTTGTAGGTGATGGTAAAAACTTGAGATTTTAGACTAAGCATGATGGGAAACTATTAAAAGGTTGAAAACACGAAAGTGACATGAACCAATTTACCATTTGAAAATAACTCTCACTTAAATATGTGTGTAGGATTCAAAATCTCACAAATAAGGAAATCATAAATACAGAGGACAATCTGAAATCTATAAAAACCAACAACAGAATATCAAATGTTGTATTGAATATACACAAAAATAGGTTATTTTCCTCTAGTATTTTACTAAGATTGACTATTTCAACTTAATCCTTGGGAAAGTATAAACTATAAGTATAGGCTTATTACTTTACTTTTCTTCAACTTTCCTTAAATATTTAGTGAGTAAAATTAATATGCATAAACCTAAAGAAAAATGTTTTTTAACACTTTTGAAGGAAACATTTAAATTTTTCTTAACCAACTCATTTAATACATTGAGTGTTTTGAAAGAGTAAACTTGAAGTATGAGAACTTGAATGCTCTTTTCCACTTAAAGGAAAAGCAAAAGTATGAAAACGGATTAGCTAATGCTGAACAGGTATATAAAGAGTAGTAGAAAATGTAGAAAATGAAGAAAATCAAACATTTTTATCAAACATATCTAAAATAGATGGTATATATCTGATAATAAAATTTGACCATGAAATATAAATAAATGGAAAGAAAAGTACAAAAGCTAAGTATCAGTTTTTCTGAGTCGTTACAAGATAAAGTAGAACTAATCTTTTTTCTTTTTTCTTTTTTTTTTTTGAGACAAAAATCTCACTCTTGTCACCCAGGCTGGAGTGCAGTGGTGTGATCTCGGCTCACTGCAACCTCCGTCTCCTGGGTTCAAGCGATTCTCCTGCCTTAGCTTCCCGAGTAGCTAGGATTACAGGCACCTGCCACCATGCCCAGCTAATTTTTGTATTTTTAGTAGAGACAGGATTTCACCATGTTGGCCAGGCTGGTCTCAAACTCCTGACCTCAGGTGATCCACTTGTCTCAGCCTCCCAAAGTGCTGGGATTACAAGCGTGAGCCACCGTGCCCGGCCAGAACTATTCTTATAAGTTTAAAACTTAGAGCATACCGTTTAGAGTCCTTCTGTTACTACTTCTATAAGGCCAACTTCTGTTTATCTTTCAAGGGCCAGCTCAAATGTCACACATCAAAGTCTTTCTTGCCTATCAGCACTCTGCCATAATAACCCTGTTAATACTTTCTTATGCTTATTACAGCTCACTAAAAACTGAGAACAAGGCAGTAGAGCTCAAAGAAATCCCTCACAAAACATTTAGCTTCCACTGTAGGGCGCACTGCAGCAGCCCGCCATCTGAAGGCTGGGAGCTGAACACGATATCTGAGAGAAATGCCCGTTAGGAGCTCTGAGCTTTCAGAGCTTCTTCCAAACATTGACAGCTTGTCATCAGGAGAAAGAAGAAACTCACTGGGGCAGAAAGCTGCTTGATTAGCCATAAAGCATGACGTGATCTCTTGACTCAGGTGATCAGATTCCAAACCCTGCTGAAAGGAAAATTCCAATTCTCCTCTTAACATATGTAAAGCAAATGGTAAATTAAATTTAACTAAAGTTGTAACAAAACCTAAATCCAACTTAACCACACATTATATTGATTTATCCCCGTCAAACTAAAAACCTAATGAAAAGAGAGGCATTCCTTTTTCTGGGGGTAAATATTACTTACTTCAGTCTCTACTATTCTTTTAAACATAATGTCAATCATACAATAAAAATTACAAGACATTCAGAGATCCAAGAAACTGTCATCTATTGTCAAGAGCAGAAATTGCCAATCAAAAGAGAACCAGAGATAAGTCCATTGTTGGTATCATTGGACAGAGACTTTTAAAACAAACTGATAAACATTAAAGGTGAATGAAAAACATGTGTGAATATATGGTATTTATAGCAGAGAGAAAAGAACTATAAAAACAAGTTATATGAGAAGGCTAAAGGGGAAAAAAACACAATACCAGAAATAAAGAATTCTTTTCATAGGCTTGAAAAAAGACTTCACACAATGGAAGAAACAATTAGTAAACTTAAAGAAAAACATAATATAAATTATTCAACTTGAAAGAGCAAATAAAAGTGAAAATAAAATAAAACAATGTCTGAGGTGTGGGACAACATCAAATAATCTAACATGTTTAATCAGACTCTGACAAAATAGGGAAAATCATATAATTGAACAAATATTTAAAGAAGGTTATTATTGTAAGCTAACAATTTTTCCAATGTTGTTGAAAAAAAAAAGTGACTGAAATACTCCAAAAGTTGAGTGAATTATAGGAAGGTAAACGCAAAATAATCACACCTAGGTACATCATAATCAAATTGCTGAAAACAAATAATAAAGAAAAAATCATAAAAACATCCAAAGAAAAAAGATGCATTACATGTGGAGAACCAGTAATAAGAATAAAGGTTTAGTGCCCATCAAAAAAATGAAGTTCCAAAGACAAAGACATTGCATAATAAAGTATTAAAAGAAAAAAAATTAATCTAGAATTCCTTAACCAATGAAAGTAACTTTCACAAATGAAATGAAATAAAGATATTTTCAAAGAAACAAAAACCAAGAGAATTGATCTTCAATTTGGATGTGTCCTACAAAAGAAATACTTAAAAAAAAAAAAAGAAAAAGTCTTCAGGCTAATTAAAGGGAAATGATGACAAATGGAAGTCTTCATCATAAAAAATAAAATCAAGCCGGGCACAGTAGCTCATGCCTGTAACCCCAGCACTTTGGGAGGCCGAGGTGGGTGGATGACCTGAGGTCAGGTGTTTGAGACCAGTCTGACCAATGTGGCAAAACCCTGTCTCTACTAAAAATACAAAAATTAGCCAGGTGTGGTGACACACACCTGTAGTCCCAGCTACATGGGAGGCTAAAGCAGGAGAATCGCCTGGACCTGGGAGGTGGCAGTTGCCATGAGGCAACATCACGCCATTGTACTCCAGCCCAGGTGGTGACTGAGCAAGACTCCGTCTCAGGAATAGTTAATTAATTAATTAAATAAAAGAAAAATTAAAAACATCAAAAAGGTAAGTATGTTGGTTAAAATAAAACATATCTTATTACTACACGTTTATTTTTACACATTTTTAATTTTCTTTAAAATTTATTCACTACTAGTTAAAAATAATATTGTGTGATTCATTGTCATAGAGTTTAGATATATAACACAACATAAGTTGTAAGGTTTTGAAGGTAGAATGTGGTAAGATAAGATACACATCTTGTAACCTCTAGTGTAACTATGAAAATACAACACAAAGAGATGTAGTGAAAAAGGCACCAGATAATTACCAAAATTCATCAAACACCACCTAGGATCTATACATTTTATTAAAGTATAACTTATTTTTAAAAATATTACAAATATCTCTGCATATGAAATCAGAAAACACAACTAAATTTAGGCTTCTCTTGATAGTCAAGGTCAAAGTTTTTGTACAGAGCTATAAAATTGTGGTACATCAAGAAGTTGCAGGGTATACTACTGAGCTCCTGATCATTAGAACTAATTATTCCAGACAGGTATGTTTTTCTAGGGCATGTGACTGTGTTTTATAATCTATTAAAAAATGAAAGAGAATTTTTACAAAAAGACAGCTATTAAAGTATTTTTTTACATGCATAACTATCCTATTTAGCTATGTGTTCCAAGCCAAGGGAGGCAGAATTTTTTATTTATATATGGCTCCACAGATCAAGCCCAGTGAGTTGACCTTAGTAATATTCAACAGGTCTTTCACGGAAGAAATAAAATAAATGTGTAACTATGACGATGATTTTTTTTTCTTTTTTTTTTTGAGACAGAGTCTGGCTCTGTCGCCCAGGCTGGAGCGCACTGGCGCAATCTCGACTCACTGCAAGCTCCTCCTCCCACGTTCACGCCATTCTCCTGCCTCAGCCTCCCGAGTAGCTGGGATTACAGGCACCCGCCACCACGCCCGGCTACTTTTTTGTATCTTTTTTTTAGTAGAGACGGGGTTTCACCATGTTGGCCAGGATGGTCTCTATCTCCTGACCTCGTGATCCGCCCGTCTCGGCCTTCCAAAGTGCTGGAATTAACAGGCGTGAGCCACCGCGCCCGGCCGACAATGATATTCTTATCCTTAGCAAACTAACACAGGAACAAAAACCAAATACCACATGTTCTCACTTATAAGTGGGAGCTAAATGATGAGAACACATGGGCACATAAAAGGGAACAACACACACTGGGGCACGGTGGAGGGTGAGAGGAGAAAGAGGATCAGGAAAAGTAACTAATGGGCACCATGCTTAATACCTGGGTGATGAAATAATCGGTACAACAAACTCTCATGACACAGGTTTATCTGTGTAACAAACCTGCACTTGTATCCCTGAACTTAAAATAAAAAGCCAAAAAGTTAAAAATTACTAAAGATTAAAAAAGATATTCTCATATCTTTGGAAAAATATGTATGCATACAAAAGGTGATTATGGAAAGAGCAAATAAATAGATGATGTGTATGCAATATGAGTACTCCTAGATGTCTCATAAATGAAGTAGCAGTGTGAACTTAGTCTTATCACTCGCTAATATATAAATCAAATTAAATAGTTGAATGTCTTAGTTCAAGAAATCTGCGAAAAAAATCAATAGCATTTGTTTGATATTTTAGGCTGAAAGGACTCAATAGTTTTAGGCATTTGGGAGTTACGATACTGGCAATGTCACAAATGAAAAAGACACTTATCCACTGAGAAGAGCTATAGGCCATATTGCTTTTTCAGAGCATTAAGGTAATATCTTTAGATAAACTTCCCTGCAATGATGGATTTATTTATAACCAATTCTTAGGTCATTAAATGTTCCAAAGTGATATAGAGGGAGTTTGTGTTATAACCCCTTTCAGGTTATAATCTTTAGGCTGTACCATAATTTTTTCCTTTTAAAAGACAGTGATGGCCTGAAGAGTATCTAACTAGCTATCTCTCCACCCATCCATCTATCCTAATATTTTTGGAATGATTTTTAATGTATGTGCATTTATTAATAATGTTAACTCTTTTGCCTTAAGTCCCTGGAAAAAAAAGTAGAGGACATGGCATAGGGGAAGCTGGATCAGAGAGGAAGAAATAGAGAGCTGGTCCCTTCCTCCCTCTCCCACAGTGGGAATATGGGAGGATACAAGAGACTGAAGTAGTATAAAAGGGCAGATTCCAGGGTTTTCAGTTTTTCCACTTCTCAAGGCTTAGCTCCATATGGGTGGTGTTTCTATCCAATTATATATGGGAGTGGTCAAGAAACAGGAGGTCCACTTCTGCCATATCTAGGGAGGCCAAGGCCTTTAGAAGAAATCTACCATCCTGTAAGTGTTATGTCCATCACAGTACACAGGTAGTAGTACCACAAGTGGCAGAAAAGGGTATCTAATAATAGAAAAAAAGCCTATGCAGTACCCTGACTCCTCATGGCTTGCACAGGGCATATTAATGATTCACGGGTTCAATGAACCCTGGTGAGGGAACATGAAGGGTGTAGGAGATTTCAGAGGTTGCAGTACGTTAGAGAAACATGAATGGCTTTGGTCATAGGTGCCACCCACCACTTTAAAATTGCCAGAGAATATCAGAACACAGGCCACCTACAAAAGAAACAGGATTTAGAGAATATCACCTTTCTTTCCCGCCCAACTCATATAGGCCCCCTTTATATTAGATGTCATCTTGGATGGAAGCAGATTGTTTTAGAAGAAAATATGAAAAACCAAGTGTTTCCCCAAAGGAGACCAAGTCTTCCAAGGGACACTATTTAAATAAGGAGAAATGGGTGTCCTGATAATTGGTATGTTTAAAGTTTCCCTCCCAACTTAATACCCTGTGGGTTGTGGGTGAAAGAAAACAATTAGATCTATTATCGAGGCAAAGTTTTGATTTTTTTGCACATTTGGATTGTAAACGTGAGTAAATATTATCTCCTCACTACTAACAGAAAAATAAGTAAAAAATCAAGTGGATAGATAGATGATGACAGCAGACAGATATCAGAAAAAAGATCTAATATATAAATATAGGTGATTAGTAAATACATGGAGTTAAAATGGAGATATAAATTGATGTAGAGGTAGGCATATTGAAAGAAGTAAATATTGATATAGACATAGATATGAAATATCCCACCATCACAACAAAAAAGAATTAGTTTTGCAAGGACAAAACTAGAGGACATTGGGCTAAATGAAATAAGCCAGGCACAGAAAGACCAATACTACATTATCTCACTTGTTTGTGATCTAATGTGGTTGAACTCATAGAAATGGAGAGTATAAGGGTGGTTACCAGAGGGTGGGAGGAGAGAATAGGAGGCTATTGGTCAAAAAATACAAAGTTTGCTAGACAGGAAGAAGAAATGTGTTTTTGATATTTATTGCACAGCATAGTGACTATAGTAAATAACAATGTGTTGTATATTTGAAAATTTCTGAGAGTAAATTTCAAGTGTTCTCACCACAAAAATGTCAATTATGTGAGATGAAGTATACGTTAATTAGCTTGCTTTTGCTCATTTCACATATTGAATTAATCATTCCAATTATTTAAACATCACATTGTACCCCATAAATATATATACTATTTTTATTTGTCAATAAATAATTTTATATAAACAAATATTATTTCACAGATATTGTTCATGAACACAAAATTGTCACTGTGACTTTTCTACCCGTTCCTCCTCAAAAATAAAGCTTAAGCGAAAGAATTCAACATAGTTGAATATCTCCCTTTTGTTTTTTGTTTGTTTTTTGAGACAGGATCTCACTTTGTTGCCCAAGCTGGCCTCTTGTGACTCTGTCACAGCCTCTGCAGCCTCAATCTCGTGGGCTCAAGAGACCTTCACACATAAGCCTCCCAAGTAGCTTGGACTACAGGCTTGTGCCACCACGTCCAGCTAATTTTTACATTTTTTGTAGCAACAGAGTTTTATTATACGTCCCAGGCTTGTCTCTAAGTCCTGGGCTCAAGCAATCGATCCTCCCAGCTTAGCCACCCAAAGTGCTGGGATTAGAGGCATGAGCCACCATGCCCAGCCCACCACAGAACATCTTAAACATACTAGGTTTTTTCCATATGCTATCTCATTTAGTATTTAAACAACTTTACCATATAAATATACTATTAGTCCTATTTCGTAGTTGAGAATACAAAAAAAAAAGTTAAGTAACTTGTTTAAGGCTGTAAAGCTTACAAAATAGAGCCAATGTGAAAACCTTATCTGAGTCTGCTAAGTCAAGTTGACCACCCCCAAAAAAAGACTTTGAGGAAAATCAAACAACCTTTTCTTTAGGATTCGGATATATAGATTCCCTTAGAATATCATGATACAACCTCAAGAATTAGTCAACTTTTTTTTTTATTTCCCAGACAGTATTATTGTAAACTTTTGAGGATTAAAGATTACTGTGCTCCTTTTTTAGATACAGAGCAATTGCACTATAATTTCTATATAGTGGGGAAAAAAATAGACCTTCCAAATAAAGAAATAAAGTTTTAAGTTTCAGACTTATAACTTAAGTTTGCTTAAAATTGGAATTTGATGACAGAAAGTAGGCAAAAGTATTAATATTATGTAAAACATAAAATATTGGATCTTAGACACTAGATCAATAGTCAAAACAAAAACAATCTTACCACTTCAGCAGAAGGTTAAAGACCATGAAGAAACTAAAGTTAATCGTTCTCTTTAAAAGAGATCAATTTTAAGTGATTGTAGGGTAAGATAATTCTGAAATTGTGGCAAATGCTTTTCTAAGAAACAATTGCATTCTGGCTGTGTGTGCAGAAAACAAACAAACAAGCAAGTGAATAAATAAATGCACCCACCTGCCCATGACCATATTAAGGACACAGAGGGAGAAAGCAGAACTTCCCTACGCTGATCTATGAAAAGACTTATAGAACAATGTGTTCACAAGTAGTGCTGCTTTATCTGGTGTTTTCTTCCAAGATTACTGAAGAAAGGAGGAATGTTTAAAATCGATAAATAACACAGCATGATTTTTGTTTTGAAATGATAGAAAAAAAATATTGACATGACCTCTGCCTGACTTTCCACTCAGATCCGAGGATAAGATGTGTCATGCACTACATACGAACAGAGAAACTAGGAGGTGTAAAAACAAAATCGAACTAAAAAGTAAATAGCAATCCCTTTCACAAAGAAAACATAATATTCTCTAAATAATTGGAGACAAGGCAAGCAGGTAAATTCATTTTATCTATTAAATCAAAGATAGTCTTAGAGCCTAAGACTCATCTGTAAGGTTTCATTTTAAAATCCATGAAGCAGAATTAAGTATTATTTTCAATGTTTCTTATTGGTATTTTCTATTTTTTTCTTAGCAAGTTCCTGAATGGAGTGTAAATAAAGTTATAGTTTTTTAATTTATAAAACTATCAACATTATTCCCTTGAGTTGAAAAGTTCATTAAAAATCCTAGTTTTCTGACAAGTTTAGTTGACTAGAGCAAAGCTACTCTAAGTGTGGTCCATGGACCTGTGTAGGTATTTGAATTGTGACTAACCTGCCGTGAAATACATGGAAATTTAGAATAAATGTTTAGAAACCTTTATAGTAATTTAGCAATGTCTTTGAAATTTAAAAATGTCTTTGAATTTAAAAATAAAACATACAGGCTTCCATTTCATTTTTCCAGCACTTCCATTTCATTTTGATGTTGTACTTTATAAAATCTTAGGCCTGAAATAGAATGGAGGGAGAAAAACAGATACTTTCCCATAGGTAAGTTTTAAAAGCACTGCTTAAGGATGAGCTTTGGCAACAAATAGAAATTGTTTTGTATACCAGCTCTAATTGCAGCCAAATTCTAATTATATGGCATTGGGAAAGTTACTTCATCTCTCCAAGTTTCCATTTCCTCAACTGAATAATGAGTATCTACTTTACATGTTTGTTTATGCGGTCCTGAATGAGCAAAATCAGTGTCACCCCAGCACTTGTTAGAAATGCAGATTCTCAGACCTTTTCCAGACCTAGTAAATCAGAATCTTCATGTTAACAGCATCCCTAGTGAAGTATCTGCACAAATACGGCACTTGACTTATAGAAAATGACCAGGAACTATGAGCTGTTGCTGGTTTTATTCATCACAGTAATACGTAAATAGTATTCCTTGAAATAAAGGGTTATATTTGGAACTTGTGTAAACACAGACATAAATGTCAAACAATTATCTTTCTGATACTTTACAGGTACCTAAAAAGTTAAGAATATGATACAGATTCTGTTGATATTAATAAAAAAGAACACATGGCTCTCACCCTCAAGAGACCCATGTGATAAGATAGAAACCATGTACATCTAATAGAAATACAAAAGTGTTCTGACTTGTTGGTACAGCCATAGAGAAATTATTTACAGAGAAATGTTGAATAAATTGAGGCAATACTACTTTAAGGTAGTACTCTTGCACACACACACAAAAAAAATTATTCTTGAACTGAAAAAGACAAAGGCAAAAAAACCACTCTGTTCTCAGCCAATAATACTTGTGTATACCCAGTCTTGTATCAAAAATAACTTGAATGTTCAAGGGTTGAAGTGTTAACTCCAGCCAAATTTCTTGTCCTTTAAAGTTACCCCGCTGTGACTGGCAATACGGAGGTCACATACCATTTCAGCTGAAATAGCAAAGCTCAGTGGGAAGTAAAGAATGATATTGCCTGCTACTTATCTCTGATCCTCTGTCCAGGTTTCTGAGAAACCATATCAGGGCAGCAAATATAGCTCCATAGAGATTTTTTAGAATCAACCTATGAGGGTTAAGACAGGAAAGAAAAAGAGCACATTGACATTTGCCATTTTTACAAAATAAAGGTGCATCCCAAAAATTTACATAAGAAATGTGTCTCAGCCTAATACTGCCAGTGATACTCTGGAGGCCACAGTGGATACCTAATAGAACTAGTTCAATATCTAATACACGTCTGATTGTTTTTCTCTGTTAAAGCCAAGTAAAAGGATTGCCCAGGGCAAAGAGACATAAACACTGATAAATCACCATTTCACTTACTTTACTTTTATTTTCTTTTCAATTCCACATAGCTGACTTTTGTAAAAGCTGAACTCTTACAAAATGGAAACTTCAGTTAGTTACAGCGAAGTATTTTTCTATGATGTCAAATACCAGGATATGTTCGTAATGCAGACAGTTACCTAGTGTTCACTCTGTATCACACACTGTACTAGAGACTAAAAGATGGATGCAAAAGAAACAAGAGGAATTTTTTCTGACTGAGATTTTCTGGAAGTACACAAGGGGCTTTTTCAAAAATGCATACTATTTTATAGTGAAAACCTGATTTCCTTTCTCAATTTCCATTCACTTTTCATTTTATGTTACATTTCAGCATAGCATAAACACAGACAGCTTCTTGAAAGTCTAAGCTTCAACAGATATATTCATAGTTTGAAGATTTATATGACACTAAAACAATTGATTTACAAGTTTTTAAATTTGAAACTGGATAAAATTTTGTCATTTCTTAAATGTATAGGAACAAGGTGCATTTTTTTATAACTTAAAATTCCTTATATATTGCAAGGGAGAAAATCATTAGATTATATCATAGGACTGACTTAAAATATATTGGCATTATTTTTAGAAATATGAAACATGGATGCACTAGTACAATTCAAAAATTAATTTCATATGCCATTCTTATACTTGGTAATATAGAATGTCATTTTTAGAAATGGTTCCAAAACTCAAAATTATAAGACTGTATTATCATTTTGTTTTAGCCCAAAAAAAGTAGTGGAAACCTTATTTTAAATGTCATGATTTTGTCTAATCTTCATTGTAAGAATCCTCCTAAAGTACATGTGAATAATTGTGTTAAATTATTCATCATGCAAGCTAATTTGACAGTTAATTATAATAAAGGAAAGAGTTTTCTGAACATAATTCAGGGCTTTAATGCCTAAAGGATAAACTACACTGACGGAATTTGTCGTTGACTGTGGTCTTACTGCTACATGCTAAGCCCAAAATTAACATTTTGTACTTTTGAGAGCTTAAAAAAAAAGATTATATTTTTTGACAATGCAAAATATGCTGATTTTTTTCTTGGAGAGAAGCATTGAATAGTAAAAGTTGAACAGGCTTAGGACTAAATTCCTCATTTTGCTTTTCATCAGCTGTGTGGTTGGGGAAACTAGTTTAACTCTGAACTTCATGGGTTTTGTTGTGGTTTTTTCCAGCTGTAAAATGTTGATAAAATATGCAATTTGGGGCTTTATTGTGACAATTAAAATAAATAAAAAGCAGCTGCCTCTGTTCCTTAAATATAGTAGGCACTCAATAAGTGTTAGCTCTCTTCCTTTCTTTCTTTTCTTTTGAAAGGGGATGGGAAGAGGGAATATTTATAATTTCTTCAGTGCCATGAATAGTATTTTCAAAAATTATATTTTATGACATTTATTAGCTGGTAAATGGTTGTCACATGCATTGCTATTTTAATGTTTCCAATAATATTATGCTGGAGGCAAAGCAGATAACTATTCTGTTTTTACAGGTTTAAAAGTTTGGGAAGTTAAATTAGCCAAGTTTATACAACTAAAAAGTGACATAACTGGGATACAATCTCAGATTTGCATGAGTCGAAAAACCCATTTCTTACCCCAGTATACACACTAGTATTCAGTGGCACAAAAATCTTCTCTAGACTGTAGCAAAATTAGTAAAATTAGCATAATCAGGGAGTTCTTCATAAAGCAGAATATATTCCTATTTTTAAATTCAGAGATTATGCCTTTTTTTCTGGATAAAATTTCTTTTTATTATGAAGCAGTGGCAAGAATAGATGGTAAATGTTTTTCATGTCTTTTTTACCCAGAATTTAAAATTGTCAAAGCCCACTTGTCTCCTTTTTTTCTTTTTGAAATTTTACTGGACTGTGAAATGCAGAAGTCTGATAATAGTATACCAGGGCATGCTACTTTATTACTCTTCCTAGTAAATATGCAAGGTGATGGATATGCTATTCGGCCTATTTTGATCACTCCACAATGTACACTTGTATTAAAACATCACATTATATCCCATAAATACATACAATTATTTGTCAATTAAAACAAATACAATTTTTAAAATTATATTATGCTGAAATAGATGAGGATTCCAAATTAGGCTAGTTCTAAAAGAATGCAATATGATGCAAACTATTCTTATTATATATGGACTAACAATTCCAAAAAGGGTATTTTCAACTTTTTAATAGAATGTAGTGGTGGTAGTTTCCGCAGAGCTGTGAAGTTTGGTGGTGTCAAGTTATGCGCTAGTAACAAGCTAAATATCGATAGAATAGAAGAGACTCCAGTAACAGTGGTTAACTATCACCAGGTAAGTCAGCACCCAGTGGAAGCATGCCTAGCAAAAAGCAGCAACATTTAATGATGGCTTTCTGCAGTGACAAGTCATACAGTTTTCAGAGCAATCCGACCGTATCAGGGTTATCAGGGCACTAACATTGCACTGTTCTGGTTTTTCAGACTTTTTTCTATGTCAATTTATTTTCCACAGTGTGAAATTCTCACTCCTCATTTATTCCTGGCCACTCCCTTGGCATGTCTAGCTAATAAAAATAATGTTTCAGAAGTCTAGATTTCATGACCTGGTATTAATGCTTGTGTATGTACCCTGTCCTCCTTTCTTCCTCAGAAACAACAATGGGTTGCCCTCACATACTGTTCCCTAAATATCCTGTGCATGTCACTGTCATTGCCCTTCCATGTTATTAATATCAGACAATTCCCTCATTATCGTATATATCATCAGTGCCTATGGGGTAACTGGCACTTGACTAGCACTCAGAACATGACAATGAATGAATGGTGTCTATAGTACAGGTATATCTGGAGCAACTTTAGTAACTTTCCTCTACAGAGAAAAGATCTAGTGATAACACTCCTTGAGAGTTCCTGCCGAGGGCAACCTCAAAACATTTCAACAGAAATTCAGGGCCACTGAAACACCACCAGAATTTGAAGACCCATGTTCCAAATTTGGTCTATATTTATAAAATTTGAGAGATTTTATACTGATACATGAAAGTGTTGGTTTTATAACTGCATAATCTTTCAATGAAATATAAAGGAGAAGAAAGAAAAATATCTCATTTGACCTACCTTTACCAAGGGTTCCTCTCTCAGTAGCTTTCCCTGATGATATAAAGAACCATGTGTGATCAGGCTTTTAATAAAATGGCACTAAATACATTCCCAGTGCAGGATCAAATGCTTGGTATTGTTAAAAGCCAACCTAGAGATAGCAGAGTGGATTAAAGCTCATATGGATGTAGTAACTACTTTTAACAGATTAATTTTCTTTCCAGAGGGAATTTTAAAGAGCCGACCTAGAAATGGCTTTGGCATTCTTTTAAATTAAGTGTAAATTAAAAAGAAATATAAAAATCCAGGGCATGGGCTAAACGTCAAAAGGAGTCAAATCATGTAACATATGTGCTCATGACTGAATTTATCAGAAGTTCCTGAGACAATAAAATAAGATGCAATATACTGAAAGGCAAAGTTCCGAACTTTGGTAACACAAATACTTTTCATGTGTGAAAGAACTTCTAGTATCAATTTTAGGATACTTTTTATCTGTCTGAAAAAGACACACTAAAAATATTTTGTTCAATTAAGCAAAATGAGTTGAATAGGCTCTATTCAACTCATGTTCATGAGAACTATATCTCTACTAAGTAAAATGTACAAGTGTCTCAGTGGCTTGGACCCTTTTAAAATCACAATAATTTAAAGTCATTAGGGTGCAGACAGAAACAGGATCTGTAAGTTATTATAAAATTCATTTAATTTCTGATGCATTCTCATAAGAAAATTCAATATTCAAGAAACATCTTAAGAAGGCAGAGAGAGAAGCATATAACTCTGGATGAAAGGGTGCAGTGGAATTGGTGCAATGCTTGGGGATAGGAATAGTTAGAGAGGAATTCACAGGAAACTTAATGCTTAAACTGAGTCTCAAAGAATTAGTGACAATTTTCCACATGGGCAGTGAAAAAAAGAGCATTCTGGGCAGAAAGAGTAGTATGGTATATTTTTCATTATGTTTGTGCATGGCCACTCTTGTGGCCACAAGAAATAATCCAAACTGTCTTAAATAAAAAAGGAACTATTAGCTCAAAGACCAGCCAAGGTACATACAGAAAAACAGAAACCATAACAGGGATTTCAAACTGAATGCATTTACTACTGGGAATTGGTTACACTGATGTGGGAAGCGAAGGGGGATGCTGAGTTAACCCAGATGTTAGTAATTTCAGGACAAATCTACCATCTCTGAAATTGGTAGAACAAAAGCAAACCTGGGGGGAGGTCCTCCAGATGTCTGGAGAGGTTGAAGGAGGTCCTCCAGATGTCTGGTGCCCAGATGTCTGAGGACACAGTGCAGCTGGGGCTGGAAGCAAATTGGAGCACAGGTTAACAAATCTGATACTGCTTTACATGTCCACTAGTGGGAGCTAGGCTTCTCACTACAGGAGTGAGAATTTGCAGATAAGAAGGTGGAGAAGTATAGAATGATCAACATGGTAATGGACTAGAGTTGGAGACATCAGTAGAAACCCGTGTTTACCTTAATATAGATAAAGATGGTTATGTATAGGATAACTGCAAATATGTGTATACACACAGGTTAGTATACACACAGGTTTCTGTGCTTTGTTATCTGAGAAAGCCTGGAAACAGGGACACCCAAATAGCAACAAACCCACTTAGTACCCAAATCTTGGTTTTTAATATGATTCTCCAATAAAAAGAACAAGGGTTCCTTGGAAAAATAACTTATTCTAGGACTAGGGCAGGAATATGCAAGATGAGTCTTGCATATGAGATGCCGGAAGCATCTCATAGTGCCCAAACATAAGAAAGTGCTCCACAACAACAAAAACCTAATTGATGGGAGTATATAAAAAAGACACAGGAGCAGAGTGAAAGGAAGGCCAAAGCTGCAACAATTTGAGCAACAAAATAAGTACTACTAGATTGTAACTCAAAGTATAAAATAAATATCCATGAGTCCATACTGACATAAATAAATGACTGATATAAATAAATGACTTAGTGACTAAGTAAGTAAATAAGGGAGAAGAGACAGATCTCTCTTCAGAAAAATTTCAAATAATTTATGTATATAATCTTCCTTCGAGAAAGGAGCAAAAATTCCTTGTACTTAAATGTGGGCAATGCATCACCCTTCCAAAGAGTACAGTAAGACAGAGATTGGAGTGAGGGGAGGGAAGGATAGTAACTTGTTAGTGGAGAAATCTGACAAGCACTGCTGCAATCAGGTGACCAAGCCTGACATTCACAGTGATAAGTCAAGTGAATGGCATATACCCTTGATACAATGTGATGAAAGTGGTGTTTTGCCTCTGTGTTAATCCTCCTAAAAACCCACAATGATAATTTAATCATGAGAAATACATCAGAGAAATTCTAATAGAGGCACATCATCAGAGAAATTCCAATAAAGGGGCATTCATACTCTTCAAAACTATCAAGGCCATCAAAATAAGGAAAGTCTGAAAAAATATCACAGACAAGGGGAGCCCAGGGAGATACAAGTACATGTGATGTGGTATCTTGGATGGAAACCTAAAACAGAAAAAAATTGGTAAAAACTAAGAAAATAAATTTTCAAACTGAATAAACTATGGGCTTTAATTAATAATAATGTATCAATATTAGTTCATTAATTATAACAAAGTTACCACAGTAATATAAAATATTAATATAATAGGGAGATCTAGGTAAGGAATATGTATAATCGCTCTGTACTATCTTCTCCATTTTTCTGTAAATTTAGAACTATACTTTAAAGAAAATATGTTGAATGATGGACTTAAACATTGTTGATGTGGTAAACTTAATATTAAGTATATTTAACCACAATAAAAAGTCTATTATTACACATTAGTAATGGGGGAGGCTATGCATGTGTGGGGGCAGGGAGTGTATGGGGAATCTGTGTACCTTTTCCTTGATTTTTCTCTAAAGCTATTCTTTAGAAAGAATTTTTAAAAAGCTATTTTAGACACAAGTAAGTGAATAAATAAATTGGATGCTAGAGCTAAAACTGTCATCAGTTGCAAGAGCTATGCTGTTAAAAGCGAAGAACAGGAGGGAAGATCCTCTGCCTTCTTTGCTGCTTCCACTTTCACCCTCATGCCTCCCAGTGGCAGAATCTAAGGGGAAGTTGGATGTTAAATGAGTCTACAAAGTTAGTTTTCAGAATTCCAGTCTCAGTTTAGAAGTATGAGTTTAGAACTGAGAGATATTAGGTAAATCACCAGCACAGCTGTCAAGGATTCATCCAGGAACTTGAAGCATGTAACCAGGAACTACCTTTTGACTTTTTTCTCTTCTACGTTGGTTTCATTCTTAGGTATGAAGGGCACAGTGGCCTAAGGTTCACATTCTAGGTCTAAGATCATGAGGATGGAGTGTCTTTTTTTTTGGCTCATGCATTTAATATTCTGGGATTGGTTTCCATTAAACCAGAGTGATGTGGATCATGTGACATACCTTTCAAGTAACATTGCTTTGAGAAAGTTATGATTTCAATGGCCATGCTGACATCTCAGGATAGAGTCAATTTCATCCAATTCCACCCAAAGCACATGGCTTGATAGTCACACTCAGTTACACATGGGAATGTGTAAGAACATTGTAGTGCATGTAGAGAAGAAACAAACTCAAAAATAAATTTATATACCACATAAAAAATGTTTTTAACTTTAAATATAGGAGATATGTGAAATGATTGAGACATTTTGAATACATTTCAGATTTGCTGTTTAAAATTGGTATTACAGCAGCATTGTGGAGGATAGTTCTAAAAATGATTAGACTAGAATTGAGGCAATGAGCTAGGAGGCAATTACCCTAATATAAAATTAAAATGATGAGAGGCTGATCTAAGAGGCATGTGTAAGAATGGGAGGGAAAAGACATGTACAGTCATAGCAATGCCAATGCCTATTGATTCATTGAGTGGGCAGGACAAGAGAAGAAAAGATCTAGAACAGGGATTTTAAAGCCTAAGTGAATTTAGTGATTTTCTGGGAGACTGTTAAAACACAAATTAAAATGCCTCATACTCAAATATCTTGTTTTAAATGATATAGGATGGAAGGTTTTTTTTTTTAATCTTCATATTTAATTAACACCCCAGGGGGATTCTGAGGAACACATGTTGAGAACACAGGTTTAGGATGATTCCCAGCTTTTTGATTTAGAGAACTGACTTTCTAGTTCTGTTAACTAAAATTTTATGAAGAGGAAGAGGAGCAAGGCTGAAAAGGAGAGAGAGATCAGTTACTCCATTTTGCCTAAGACTGTACCAGCACCAGCACTGAAAGTCCTCTGTCCTGGAAAATCCCTCAGCCCTGGACAAAACTGGGCAGTTAGTTTTCCTAAATATAGAAGAGAAAAAAAATGTATATAATTGAGCAAGAGCTGCTTGCAGAATGTCTAAATATAGATGTCTAATTGGCAATTATAAATTTAGAAACTAAGAAAAGCGATAAAAGCTAGAAATACACATTTAAAGTCACTATTATATAGGTACAGATGCTACAAGTAATAAGATTAGGTGACAGCAGTCCGAATTAATTTCATAACATAGCTCACTAACAGTGAAGAAGAGGAGAGGAAAAAGAAGGAGAAGGAGAAAGACTGATGACAGAAATTTTAATGAACATCAATATTTAAGAAAATGTAGAAGAAAAGGAGTCTGCAAAGAACAATGAGAAGATACTTTCAACAAAGAAAACCACTGAGAAGACTAACTGAGCCATCAGTGCACATGATTATGACTGGAACAAAATGAGTCATCCAGAATATTAAGCACTGGGGAGAGGTAACCATTGATTTGGATATTTAGGAGATCAGAAGTACATTTAGGAGGAGCAGTTTTGTTTATGTAGAGTTTTATTTACAGTTTAATTCATGCAGAGCTGTATTGTAATGGCTTGAAAAATTAAGAAGAGAGAAAATGAGGGCAGTGATAATATTTGACAATGCAAACTAGCAGGTGACAGGCTGAATTTAGCCTGTAGAAATTTTTTAACAGAGCTGCAAATGTTTTGTCTTCATCTTTGCTTAGTTTTATTAGTTAGATGGTAGCATTTAACATTTAAGATATTTTAGACAAGTTCATATTTCCAGGTTTTCTTGGAAAATGAGAAGTTCTGGCATTTGGATCTGTGCTCTCGTATGGCAGGAATCAGTTGTGGCCGGGCTGAGGGTCACAGCCTCTGTAATTTTCCACTGTTGCCCGCATATTTCGCAGCTCTCTTTTCCATCAACAGCCTAGTCCCTGCAGATATTTGAGTGTGAGACCCAGGTATAACACACACAACTCTGAAAGGAAGAAGAGAAAGTATTTCTAAGGATGATTAGGTCTGATGAAACTTTTAGCTTTATTTTTCCTTTTAAAGGTGGGATTAGCTTGAGCCTATTTATATGCTAACTAGAAAAAGAAGAGGATAATTATTGAAGCAAAGTCAAAGTGTGAGAGGGGATGTGATGTAGAACAATAATGGAGAAATTAGCCTTGGATGAGTGGAAAGACTCCTCCAGAGAACCTAGTTGTACATATAATGAAACTATGATTTAAGAATATGACATTGAATATGTTAACTAGACTCACTTGAGATGGATAGTCACTAACAGTTCATTGTAGCCCTATTCAGATCACAGGTTTGCAATTAAGTAGAAAATAAAAGCCCCAATGTTTTCAGTTATACCAAGAAACTAGTGTTCAGTTCCCTAAGAGGCCCAGAGCATAGCTCATGCTTTTGTTTCTGATGAATTACACCCAGCAGCCCTCTGCTGCAATACTGTGCTCTCATACAAAGGAATGGAGAGAAGATATTTGTGTAAAATCCAGAGTCTGTAAATCAAGACTCTGCTACAACACAAAATGATCCATTTCCCAGCCTTGCCAAAAAGTATTTGTTTACATATACATATCTTCATGAAGTTAAAAATTGCTTTTGTTCAGGTTGGTGTACTGGGGCCAAATGTAACCACAAAGAATATTACTTGAGTTGCAGTTTCACGTGAATTAGATAAAGTTCTTGGCAATGGCATGACTCTAAAGAGTGAACTAGAATTTGCAAATGCTATAAATTAATTATCTGGTTTTTAGCATATCACCCAGACTCCTCCAAATAAAACCATACATAGTATATGTCTTATCACTGCTACAAAGTTAAGAGGAAGCTTCTCAATCTAACATTCAAAATCATCCACAACACAGCTTGCATTAAATAAAATAGGTAAAAATTGAAAACAATCTACTATGGTCTTATCTATTTGGCAGATCAAATTGTTTTCTGGCACATTCCATTTGGTTCTGAATAGTTGCTATTTTTTCATAACAGTGATGATCTAAATGTTACATTTGCCTTAATGTTTCTGTAGGATCCATATAATGACAATACAGCATCATTATTAGTTCAGTCATTGCAATACTTAGGGATTATAAGTCTAATAGCTTTCCCATTAAAAACAATGTCTTAATGCAAGCATGAGTAAAATACTGTAAAATACCTTAAAATAAAGTAAAATACCTTAAGAGAAACAAACTTGTTTAATTTCTACAAGTACATTTGAACATGGAAATATCTTATGGCCACTATGGCAATATTAAAAAATTACTGTATCCAAAATGTCAGCGTTTCTTTAGACTATAGACTCTTAATGGAAAGATTTCGTAGTAAGGAAGGAAAAACATGCATCGTAAGATGTGACATGAAAGTGAAATGAGAGACTTTTGAACCAATCACCTCATTTTCAAGAAATTTGCTTCAGTTATATTGAAACCATGCAAGTTAGCCTAATGTAATCTTATCTGGTAATCAGTATAAATGAATAATCTTAACATTTCTCCACTTTTTGTGCATATGCCTCTGAAGTTTCTTACTAAAAGATTAAGTAAAATTTTGGACCCAGCATGCACTTATTCTTACTCTCTTTCAAGCTGATTCACAAAGGAGAATGCTCAACAGTCTTCTATGACCCAGTAGGCATAGCAGGCCAGAAGTACTGAGAAGAAAGGTAAGATCAGAATAAGCTCCTTGCTCTTCTATGCACCTTTTAACAAATTTCTCTCAGTTCATATAAATTTAAACAGAATTTTCTTCCCGTGTTCTTTTTTCAACACACTATTTCTTTACAAAGGTTTGATTCTTCTCCAAAAGATGAGAGAGAAAATGAGAAAGTTATTGAAATTGAGGAAGAGTTATGATCAAGTTATACCTTCCTAGCCTGGATATGCTTTATAATTCCCCAGTCAAATATCCTAACTGCTAACCTCAAACACGCTATAATTTTCTAGCCCTCACAGAATCAATGGCATCAGTATATCCATCCATTTTCATCTCATTAGGCCTGACTCAATAAAAACTCACACTGTTTGTCTACTTTTCTTCCCTTTTCAAGCTTTTGTCTCTGAATACAGTTTTTTGTTGCTGCTGTAATAAATTACATCAAACTTTCTGGCTCAAAACAACACGAATTTATTATCTTACAACTTTAGCAGTTTGAAGCCTAACGTGGGTCTCACTCGGCTAAAACTAAGGAGTTGGGAGAGCTGCTACCCTTCTGAAAGCTCCGGGGAGGTATCCATGTCCTTGCGTCTTCTGGCTGGTAGAGACCCACATTTCTTGGCTCATTGCCCCCTTCCTCCGTCTTCCAACCCAGCAAGTCCTTCTCACACGGCATCACTCTGACCTTGTTTCCATCATCCCATATCCTTCTCAGAATCTAACTTTTTACCCTCTTCCACTTTTACAGACTCTAGTGATTTCACTGGGCCCACAGGGAAAATCCAAGATAATCTCCCATTTTAAGGTCAGCTGATTAGCAATCTTAATCCTCTCTGCAATTTTAATTTCCCTTTTCATGCACCCTAACATTGTCACAGGTTCTGAGGATTAAGTTGTGGACATTTTGGGGGAACCATTACTTCACCTACCACAGTCTCCTAAAGTTCCTCTAGCATTTCCTTCTGAAAATTCATATAAATGCAATCTTGACTCATTAGTGCACAACTTTACTTCATTCTTTCAAAACTTTCCCAAGGTAGTAGCTTCTTGGCAGCATGCCATTGTGAAAAAGTATTAAGTAGGACTCAAAAAGTTTAAATCCAAGTCCTGGCTATTACACTAATTTGATCAAGATATTTAACATTTGCTAACCTCCATTTCTTTGCTTACAAAATAAAGGTAGTAAATGTGTGATGTTACACATTCATGATGTGACTAGCTCACAGAGTGTTGTGATAACCAAAAGGTTTGATGACTTGGAAGTTCCCTTGAAATGATTCCTTTAAAAATTCAACTTAAAATGGTTAAGTTGGATAAAGTACAGGTCAAGGAACAGTGATATGGACTGTAGAGATACATTGACCTGTATTGAAAATCTGGCTCATTCATGTGATATTGGGCTAATTTCTTAAATTCTCCAAATAAGTTTTACCATGTACAAAATAATTCTACCTCTTAGGGGCAATGGGACAATTATAAAATATAAATATATAAAAGTATTTAGAAGAACACTGATAGTGCTTTATAAGCTCTCATTAGTTTTGATAATTAGTAAATGATGAACTAATTTTATTGTGACATTTTCCTAAATTTTCATTAGTTTTGATAATTAGTAAATGATAAACTGATTTTATTGTGGCATTTTCCTAAATTTTAAGGGAAATGAGATATATCTTATCTTTCACCTCTACTTACTATGAAGTTAGCACAATTTCTTTATAAAAGATCTTAAAATCTTTTTTATCCCTTTTAAATCAGTAAAAAAAGATTTTTAATGCATTAATGCCAATATTTTTGATATTCTACTTGTCCCAAATTTGGCCATATGAGCTTCTGCAAGACAGCAACTATTTTAATTTAAACATAATTTTGTTCCTATGTTCTTTTCTCAGCACCAGTAGTATTGATTTCTGGCTTTCTGGTAAATCAAAATGCTCTAGATCACATGATACTTTTCCTGCCACAAACCAGGAATCACCCATTTTTCAAAAAGTACTGACTTATTTTAATGGAGAATATTATTTATAAAACCAAGATCTAGTTTCTAGATGGTCTCATTGTAAATAGTTTATTATTGATTCCAACCCCATTCCATGCACAGAGCTAAATAATATATACATATACATACTTTGTTTCCTTACTTAGACTGCTACTATTTAATTGTCAAGTATAATTATAACTTTGATACACCCCATTACTCATATGACAATGAGTTTATTCAACTTGTTACTTTATTTCACTCTCCTCCTCCCGTGTTTTAGTTTTATTATATCCACTTTGTAATTATACACTCTTTTTCTACCCTTTGCTTCTTCATTTTTATTCTTGCATCTGCACTTAAACGTATTCCATGTTAAACATCTTTCTTCGTAACTAAGTTTTCAGAGTTAACACTTGGTTGGATGAAACCACCCTGTAGTCAATTCCTTTGGAGGGGCTCATAAGTAGAGTATTCCTAGAGGTATTGCATGTTTGAAAGTGATAATCGAGACTTGAAAGCTGAATAACAATTTTGTTGGCTAAAACATCCTTAATTCTTTTAAGTTTATCAAGAGTATTCAAATAGGAAGAGAGGAAGTCAAACTGTCTCTGTTTGCAGATGATGTGATTGTATATTTAGAAAACCCCATCGTCTCAGCCCCAAATCTCCTTAAGCTGATAAGCAGTTTCAGCAAAGTCTCAGGATACAAAATCAATGTGCAAAAATCACAAGCATTTCTACACACCAATGATAGAAAAACAGAGCCAAATAATGAGTGAACTCCCATTCACAATTGTTACAAACAGAACAAAATACCTAGGAATCCAACTTTCAAGGGATGTGAAGGACCTCTTCAAGGAGAACTACAAACCACTGCTCAAGGAAATAAGAGAGGACACAAACAAATGGAAGAACTTTCCATGCTCATGGATAGGAAGAATCAATATTGTGAAAATTGCCATACTGCCAAAACTAACTTATGAATTCAATGCTATCCCCATCAAGCTACAATTGACTTTCTTCATAGAATTAGTAAAAACTACTTTAAATTTCATATGGAACCAAAAAAGATTCCATATAGCCACGACAATCCTAAGCCAAAAGAACAAAGCTGGAGGCATCACGCTACCTGACTTCAAACTGTACTATAACGCTACAGTAAGCAAAACAGCATGGTACTGGTACCAAAACAGATATATAGACCAATGGAACACAACAGAGGCCTCAGAAATAATGCCACACATCTACAACCATCTGATTTTTGACAAACCTGACAAAAACAAGCAATGGGGAAAGGATTCCCTATGTCATAAATGGTGCTGGGAAAACTGGCTAGCCATGTGCAGAAAACTGAAACTGGACCCCTTCCTTACAACTTATACAAAAATTAACTCAAGATGGATTAAAGACTTAAACATAAAACCTAAAACCATATAAACCCTAGAAGAAAACCTAGGAAATACCATTCATGACATAGGCATGGGCAAAGATTACATAACTAAAACACCAAAAGCAATGGCAACAAAAGCCAAAATTGACAAATGGGATCTAATTAAACTAAGGAGCTTCTGCACAGCAAAAGAAACTATCATCAGAATGAACAGGCAACCTACAGAATGGGAGAAAATTTTTGCAATCTATCCATCTGACAAAGGGCTAATATCCAGACTCTACAAAGAACTTAAACAAATTTACAAGAAAAAAAAACAAACCCATCAAAAAGTTTGTGAAGGATATGAACAGACACTTCTCAAAAGAAGACATTTATGTGGCCAACAAACATGAAAAAAAGCTCATCATCATTGGTCTTTAGAGAAATGCAAATCAAAACCACAATGAGATGCCATCTCATGCCAGTTAGAATGGCAGTCATTAAAAAGTCAGGAAACAGATGCTGGAGAGGATGTGGAGCAATAGGAACGCTTTTACACTGTTGGTAGGACTGTAAATTAGTTCAACCATTGTGAAAGACAGTATGGATATTCCTCAAGGATCTAGAACCAGAAATACCATCTGACCCAGCAATTGCATTACTGGGTATATACCCAAAGGATTATAAATCATTCTACTATAAAGGCACATGCACACATACATTACCGCAACACAGTTCACAATAGCAAAGACTTGGAACCAACCTAAATGCCCATAAATCTTAGACTGGATAAAGAAAATGTGGCATATATAAACTGTGGAATATTATGTAGCCATAAAAAAGGATGAGTTCATGTCCTTTGCAGGGACATGGATGAAGCTGGAAACCATCATTCTCAGCAAACTAACACAAGAACAGAAAACCGAACACCGCATGTTCTCGCTCATAAGTGGGAGTTGAACAATGAGAACACATGAAGACAGGGAGGGGAACATCACACACTGGGGCCTGTTGGGGGGTAGGGGAGTAGGGGAGGGATAGCATTAGGAGAAATACCTAATGTAAATGACGGGTTGATGGGTGCAGCAAACCACCATGGCACGTGTATACCTATGTAACAAACTTGCACGTTCTGCACATGTATCCCAGAACTTAAAGTATAATAAAAGAAAAAAATAATAATCATCATAAAATGTTGTACCACTATTGTCTTGTTTTGTATCCTGCTTAAGAGGTTTTATGCTAATTTGTTTTTATTTATTTCCTTTAAAAGTTTTTTGTTTTGTGTGTGTTTGCTGTTTGTTTTCCTGTAGTACTAGAGGATGTGATATATTTAAAGTGTGATATATTTATTAGAGTATGTCACAAACATGATCATTCTTTATTCGTGATTTCAGGGAAATGATAGGCTCTTTTAACATTAAATGTAAGCCTTCTATTTTCAGAAAATCTTATTTGATTATACTATTAAATATTAGTGTTGCTTATTTTCTCAAATTTCTTCTTCAGACATTCTAATTATGAATATATTGGTTCTTTGTCTATGCTTTGTATCTCTTTCTCTTTGATCTTTTAAATTCTTTTATTCATTTTCATTCTCTTATTTTCATTTATTTCCTCATCGGACCTTCTCAAATTTTCAGTCAAATCATTTTTTTCCGTGAGCTTTTCATACATCATTTTGAAATGATCTCTCTGTATTTTTATTTCTAACATGATTTTGCCTTTTTCTTCCATCTCTTTCCTGAGTCCAGTCAACTCTCATTCTATATCTCCTTTTTTTGCCCCTTTCTGTTCTAAGATTTTGTAGTTCTAATGTAAAGTGCTCATTTATATCTTCACTTACTTAAAGCTATTTAATTAAAGTTGGAGAGGGTACGGTTGTGTTGCTGATTCCTTCTGACTCGTTGGTTTTGAAGAAGGTATATTCATCAGCTACAAACGTTTTTATTTTTATTTTTATTTTTATTTTTTCTTTGTTTTGTGTTTGTTTGCCTGCAGTACCAGAGGACGTGATATAGTTAAAATGTGGTACATTTATGGGAGTATGAAATCATGAAATCATGAAGGAAGAATGGTCGTGTTTGTGACATACTCTTATTCATGATAGCAGTTTTGTATGGGTATTATATGCAATTTTCTGTTCTATTCAGTTAATGTTCATTTGATATTTTCCTGGACAAAAGTAACGAATTTAAGTAGACCAGTATTGGAAGTGTAGATTGTGGATCAGGATTGTTAGTTCAACATCCTCCTCCTCTGTTAATACAACAAAGTGAAGTTGCTTTAATTAATGGTATCATTATTTTTGGCACGTTTCGAGGGTGAGGAATGATTGATATTTCTTCTGATTTTGTAAGTCTCTTTACTTCTGTGGGATCTTTAGCTTCAACTGCTTGCTGCCTTCCTTTCCTTTACTGACAAGACTCCAAGGGAAGTATCACTCCAAGTCTCCCCACTCTAACCCAGAAGAGGTGCCTTTGCAAAACTTTCACCACTGGTCTTTGCACTTCCATACTTTTTTTTTTTCCTTTTTATCCCCCAGTAGCCATGGGTATGACCAACAAGGTATCTGACGTGTTCTTAGTGTTTCTCCATTGAGAATGTTAACTCTCTCTTAATATGCTTGATTTTATCCATGTTTATTAAGTCCCTATCGCTTTTTTAAAATTTTCTGCTCAATCTCTGATTGACTCATTGGTTCATTTTGAGTTGCTATACCAGAATCCTACAGATTAGGTAATTTACAAAGAAGAGAAATTTATTTCTTAGAGTTCAGGAGGCTAGGAAGTCCAAGATCAAGAGGCCCACATCTTTTGATAGCCTTCTTACTATATCATCTCATGGTTGAAGGCAGAAGGGAAAGAGAATATGAGAGAGCAAGAGAGCAAGAAGGTGCCAAATTGCTTTTATAACAAATGCGCACTTGAGACAACTAACCCACTCCCAAGATAACAGCCTTAATCCATTCATGAGAGCAGAGCCCTCTTCACCTAATTACCTCTTATTAGTTCCTATGGCCCAACAATATTCCTTTGGAGATTAAGTTTCCAATACATGAACTTTGAGGGGCACAATCAAACCATAGCATTCTATCATACAGTGACATGCGTTCTGAGAATGAATCTGTTGGATTTGCATGTTTATTTTACTACTTACACATAATTTGAAATCTGCAGTAGTCTTGGTGTTCTAATTACACTGTAGATATTAATTATGAGTTATCTTATTTGCTCTTCTATGACCTGTGTACATGATTTTTAGAGGGATATTGAAAATTTCTGATTTAGATAGCTGCCATTATCTATAGAAAACTGGAAGTCATAATTATCATTTCTTATTCCTTGGAACTACTTGGTATGGTAGATAAAACAGTATTAAGGAAAACAACTAATTCAGAAGTCTACGGATCTAGCTTTTCCTCAAGAAAATGTCTTAAACTATAACTTGTCTTAAGGTTCCCATCTGGTGTATGTTGGCTCAAAGCTCATTCATTACTGATTTCTTGGCCCATTTCTTCAGCCTTTTAACTCCAAGTGCTCTTCTGGCATTTTCTCCTGAATATATCTTTCCATCACAATCACAATTTTTTGGACTAGTTTCATTTGTTCTCGAAATTGTATCACTCAGTTTACCCATCTTATTGCTTGGGAGAGTCTGCACATACTCGCAATGCTTCTCACCCTTCTCTACTGCTGGGAAGCTTTAAGAAATGAATTGATATTTGAAAATCAAGGTACTTTGTAAATAGAAGGGAATAATATTTTATCATAAACCTCACTTTACTTTAGAATAAATAAATTTAGATGGTAATTCCAATGTTAAAGGTGACACAGCAAGTTTATAAGAATGTCTAGTTCTTTGTTACTCTTCTCTTTACATGCATTGCATCTCCCTAATATCACGTATTTTAAAACTGCAAATGAAATTGAGTTTCTCAGGCTCTAAGACCACCAACTCCCAAGTACCTTTTCTAAGCTTTGATGTCTAAATATTTTAATATATTTTCCATCTTCCCATTTGGACTCATCATCTCTCCATCCATGTCACTCTCATTTTATAGTCTATTTTTGCATCCACCATGTCTATTTTAATGTCTGAGGGTTTTTTTTTTACAACTTTTAGACAAAGATTTTCTGCTTAGTTTTTCCTATATTGCTGCTTTCTTTTTTTAACTGCCAACCTCAATCAGATATTTTTCATATGCCAGAAAAACTCCCGGAAGCACATTTATAACTGGGAAAATCTCCTTCTCCTCCTTGTCATTTCTGCTCCTACACACTCCCCACATCCATCATCATGTCCCTCTTTTTAATCCTCCTATACATTTATCTAATCCTTCAGCATTTCAATGCTCATTTTTAATAAGGATTTTAGATGAATAAAAAGAAAACAAGTAAATAATTCTGGATAAAAAGCCCATAGAGCAATAAATTTCTATTTTCTAGTCTCTCCTATACCCTGAGAATATATTCAAGAGCAAGAAAGCAAAATATGGTTTCAACTTTCAGGAGTTTGGGATTAATCTTAACACCAGATTTATTTGCTATAATTTAGTCATTTAGTCTAAGGAAAAAAAATGTGAGTTCTAAGGCCAGTAAATTAGAGAAGACATTGGAGGCACAGGTCTATCCATTACTTCTGACTGTAGGAAACATATAAAAACTGGAAAATGATAATTTGGGGTATAGCAGAAGCATATTTAGTTGCTACAATTGCATATTCTATTTAAGTATGTGGTACCCTTAAATAATTCTGGGTGGGAATGAGAGGAAACAAGAAGAGTTTTCCAGTAGGTATTGGGATAGGGTGACAACTTGTTTCCACTTGACTCAGGCTCAGTGTAATTGTAGCCCTGCATAAGAAGAAAATAAATTAATATTCTTCCAGACTCTAAAAGGAACCTAAAGCATTTAATAGAATTCCATTTGTCCCAACATAATGCACATTTGGCAGAACTACTGAGCTGTAAAAATAATAGTCATTGTAGACTTTCTGCTTCTATGTTCCCCAACTGCACTAAGAGTTGGAGACACATTTCTCCAGTTCAGTTTCAATTATTTTGACTTCTCATTAGCGAAAGGATTGATAACTACCATTTTGCTAACAGCATATAAAGCTTTCTGTGATCTAAATTTAATTTAGGCTAATTTCCAGCACAGTGTGAGCTACTGTATAGTTCATAGAATAGACAACCTAATTTTCTCACTGCATGCAGTTAGCTACATAGAGGCTGTGCCGTGAGCCGTTTGCCATTTGCCATTGACTTAGTGTGTGGATCTTAGTTCACTCTCATTTATCAGTTTAATATAAATAATAATCTGCCTGTTTGTAGAGCCAAACGTTCAAATCAAAAGAAGTAAAGTTTTATAAACAGTTAGTCCAAATATTTTTGAACCATAAATGGGATGAGCATAACTCCAATTTTATGTTTTTTAATTTATAACAAGTTCATTGTTAAGTATAACCATTTCAATCATCTGAGTATACTTCATTACTTTTTATCTAAAACAGCAAGTTTAATTATAGGTTAGTGTATGTTCCACAAAGCAAAAAGGAAATATTAGGTTAAAATAAAATTAAATGTGCTTCTCTTTCATAAAACTTCTGATAACTTTTAGTATGTTAACATGCAACATGAATCTCTAAGAGCAATGTAAAATAGTCAGTGTTTCTCAACTTCATTTGGCAACAATATCTCTCTTTTTTTTTTCTTTAATTACTGATCATCTCCAGGACCACCAAACATGAATTGAGAAATGCAGGTCAAATTGAAGCAACTTCATTTTAAAATATATGAGAATGGGCCAGTCCTCTCTCATTCCTGCAACAGACCATAAACCTCCAGGTTCAAGAATAAATAAACACCCCAAACAACATCTAAATTGAACTTAGACATTTAGTCAAAAGGCATATGATGAAGTATGATCCTCCATATGGTTATATGAAGAATATAACCCATGATAGGCCTTTACGTTGGTGCACAATGCAAATACAGCATGATCTCACTTATATGTGGAATCTAAAAAAGTTGACCTCAGAGAAGTAGAGAGTCAAATGGAGGTTACCAGAGGCTGGGGGAAAAGTGGGAGAACAAGAGATATTGGTCAAACTATACAAAATTTCAGCTAGACAGAAGAAATCAGTTCAAGAGATCTATTGACATGGTGACCATATTTAATAACAATGCATTGTATTCTTGAAAATTGGTAAGAAAGTAGATTTTAAGAGTTATCACCACAAAAAAAGTGAAGTAATGTATATGCGAATTAGCTTGATTTAGTCATTCTGCAACCTATACATATTTAAAAATATGTACATAATAGAGTTTTCATTTTTCAATTAAAAAAGGGAAAATAATGTTAACAAAATCAATGCATAATGAAGACAAGTAATAATCTTATGTAAGATGTGCTTCTTGTATGAATTGTTCTATTGTAAAGACACATGCACGTGTTTTGTTCATTGCAGCACTAATCACAATAGCAAAGACATGGAATCAACCTGAATGCCCATCAATGATAGACTGGATAAAGAAAATGTGGTACATATACACCATGCAATACCATGCAACCATAATAAAGAATGAGATCATGTCTTTTGCAGCGACATGGATGGAGCTGGAGGCCATTATCCTTAGCAAACTAACACAAGAACAGGAAACCAAATGCGGCATGTTCTCACTTATAAGTGGGAGCTAAATGATGAGAACACATGAACACATGGAGGGGAACAACAGACACTGGGGCCTACCAGAGAGTGGAGGGTGGGAGGAGGGAAAGGATCAGAAAAAACAACTAATGGGTACTAGGCTTAATACCTGGGTGATGAAATAATCTGTACAACAAACCCTATGACACACATTTACCTATGTAACAAACCTGCACATCCTACACATGTACCCCTGTACTTAAAATGAAAGTTGTTTTTTTTTAAAGAGACAACCAATGCAAAAGGAAAAGAGATTGATGCAATATTTGGAAAGGGTAACACATTAGTTAGCTAATGTTTCAGCTGGGATTTTTTTTTATGAACACATTATAAAACAACATAGTCTGACAAGAGGCAACAAAATTATGAGAGATATGGAACATGGGTATGTTACACTGGGAATGGGGTGGTAGCCAGTGAATTGAACAATGAGGGAAAATGCAAAGCATCAACTATTGTCTCAAAATAATGAATCCTGTAGCAACAGGCCTTATGAAGGCAGGAGCACCCATGAAACCTTCGCTGCAGAGATAGAGCAAGGAGAAGCAATCAACAGAAAAAAATCTAAAACTATCTGCCAACTTCACAGTTTTGCTTGTGAGTAGTCTTAAGAAACAGAAATGTAGAATGAATTTTTTTTAATTCATTCCAAAAGCTAGGAGCAGCCACTTTTGCTCACACTCCTTATTTCATTTTTCTGGATATACACAATTATTTCCCGTAAGCACAGAAATTCAGAAAGCAAAGGAAGATATTTAACAAACACTTATTGTGCTAGAGTGAGACTTTCAGTAGCAAGAGGTTCAGATTCACAGAAATACACCTAGGAGTTTAGAAACAAGCAAAACTATAATGATAATATAATATTAATCACCATATGAAGGCTAACACATAATATATACTACACAGCATGAACAGTTGTTCTAAAACACATATTAATTGATTTAACTCGTAAGACAGCTCTCTGAGGTAAGTACTTCCATTATTCCTGTTAAATACAAGAAATTAAAGTCCAGAGAGGTCAAGTATAGTGTCTCAATTTGGAGATAGGATGTGCAGAAATAGAATGTAAACTCATCTGTTAGATTCCAGATTTTTTGCTGTTAACTACAACAACTCCAAAACCTTTTCTGAAATTTTTTAATTGTAAGGAGTTGATAAACCTAATAAAACTAGCTCATTTTAAAACTCCTAAATGAATCAATTAATCATGCATCTTCTGCATTCAGACAATCCATTACTTCCTGGTTTTTGAAAACCTTTTCCAAAATCAAAAGGCAATGCCCATATGCCATATGAGGATATTTACGGCTCCCTATTAGAGTAAAGGAGCATTTCTCTTCTGTCAAGATGAAGCTGAAATGGAAAGACAGGAAGGGAGAAGTTTGACTTGGTTTTTGTTTATCTCAGGAGTTCTCTGACAATCTGCCGAGCTGTTGTTTTATGCAGTGAGACTTTGCAGACCGTGACAAGACAGCTTGCAGACAACTCATTTTTTATTTAGGAAATGTGTGCTTAATGGCTTCAGTGTCTGAAGTTTCCTTTGAATCAGATTTTGTGGTGCACTTGCTTTGGTTTCATTTCATTTGGAATTTGGCAGAAAAGGAGTTGTGAATGAAGACTCTTCTCATTTATGTACTTTTCTCTGAACACAGGAGAGACAGAACATGAATTAATTATGACTCCAAGTGAAACCAATACATAGGTGACTGAAATCTTGATGTGTCTTAATACATTTTATTGTAGAATTACATATTGTGATTGTATTTTACTTGCGTTTTCTCCATTTATAAAGCTACTACAAAGAATTTATATTGCTGCAGTTTAATATTTTATAAGCATTGATATAACTTTATGGTATGCCAATGGTATTTTTTAAATAAAATCATGAAGATACATAGTTTACAAAGCCAGTGTGTTTTTAGATTCTAAAGTCAGTTTTTTCTTTTACTTTTCTCTGATATATTTCCTATATTCATTAAGTGAATAATAATCATAGAATTTTGATATATTTCCTATATTCATTAAGTGAATAATAATCATAGAATTTCTTAATTAATTATCCATCCAGTGTCTGCTGATTAAATACATTTGATAACCACACTTATGCCAAGCTCTATATAAATTATATGTAGGTAGTAATTCTCTGAAGACATTTACAAGTCCATCTCTTATTTCATCATCAAGACACTCAAATTTGCTTTTGAAGTCAGTAAATTCTGTACTATAAATCCTTTTTCAGAAATATAACAATGGACAAAAACCAGTCTCAGGGACATTTGATATTATTGATCACAGCTTGTCATGATCATTCAATTATGTGAGTGAAATCTAACTTGTCAGAAGATATTTTCTTTTTGTAGTTGATGTGATTCTCTCACTGCAGGTTCTCAAGTTTTTAATGCCTGATATGAATGCTTTGATTTCTTTTCAAAGATAGGAAGAATCCTTTGCTAAGAGCCATGCAGTTGGTAAGCAAAAACTTTAATGATTTTAGAAAATGGGTAATTAAGCCTTATTATTACTTGACAATGTAGCTGTAATAACTGACCATAGGATTTACTCTGTCACTAATTTAGGGATGTTTATTATAAGCCTGAATACACAAAAGGTAACACAACACAAATGTGACAGAAGAAGTATAAAAATATGTTTGACACTTTATTCAGCTTTGATCTAGAATAATAATCAAATCACATTATCCCCAATTGATATCACATTGTTGATAACATCAATATATATTCTGCATATTTTCTATAATGTACTCGAAATGAAATTTTATCAGTTATCTTCATTTTTAGCAATAAAAGATGAAAAGCTGAGATTTAGAATTAGAATATTCTATAATGCTTAAAGAAGTAAAATTCAAGATAGGAAAATCAGATACATGACAATCCCAGAATTCATATAGGGGTTACATAACTTATTGAAGAGTAATTCTAAAATATTACAATTTAAAAAATTAACACATATTTTCATTCAGGTATTTTATAATAAGTAAATGCAGCATCAATAATTCATTAAAAATGTAATGAAATTAGTGCAGTACATCTATATTGTAAAGCATTGCTATCACATTCTTTAGTTATATGAAGAAATTCTATCAATATAATGATAAATTTCAAAAATAACATATCAAATGTTATATGTATTGTGCCTCTTTGTGATGGCAAGGTCCAGATGCAACATTTGTCTTTGACCTTGGAAGGGATATTTTGGCATTCCTTAAACCATTAGACCTCTTGAAATTTTACCAAGGTTTCAGGCCCCTGAATTCCAATGAGATTTATTTCCCACTTTCTACTACATATTTTTCTTACCCAGGTATGTAGGGTAGTTGCTACTTCCTGCCTACCAGGCCCAAGCAAAATGTCATCATTGCAGTGGACCAGAGCAATTTAGTTGAATGGAAGGATAATCAAAGTCCCTATGGACCAGATTATGACAGAAGGCTAAAGAATTGATGCAATCCTGATATAAGACAGCAAAAGTATATGCTGTCCATGACAGCCAAGAGTAAACTTTTACCATTCTTTACTACTGGGTATAAAGAAAGCAGCGTTAGCCAGATCAGGAGTTGCATACAAAGTGCCAAGGAATATGTTGATTTGTTCAATCAGTGAAACCACATCAGGAATAGCAGCTGCAATTGGAGTCACCACCTGATTAAGTTTACAAAAATCCACAGTTATTCCCCAAAATCCATCTGTCTTCTTTGAAAACATACACTAGCTGAACAGAGATACAATGAAGATTGACATTCTTGCATTTTTCAAGCCCTGGACACTGACACTACCTACAGAGATTCAATGTTGCTTTTGGTTTACTACTTCAGTAGGTAGAGATAGTGTTAGCAGTTTCTGCTTTTCTATCCTAACATTCCTCACTCCACAGGGCAAGGAACCAATGTGGGGGTTCTGCTACTTTTTGGAGTATGTTTTTTAGCCAATGCCAAAGACATAGGCAGTCCAGAACATACTCCTTTGGCTCTGCTGCCCATTAAGGTAGCCTTGCCCACCCTCCATCATTTCAGGCCAATAAGTACCACTACCTGGTCCCTGACTCCATGGGCCACCGCTGTCCCCTCTCAATTCAGAGAGCCCATTTCAGTGGCAGTTGTTCCCAATGTTATTCCTTGCTTACAGAGAACACCACTACAGATCTTCTCTTGAGGAAAATAAAAGTCTGAGAAGATGAGTTAAAGAATCAAAGAAGGTTCACTTCCTAGTCCTGGTATAATTGAATAAGCAGAAACTTGGAGGGATATATGGAATCCTGACACATCCAGCTGCAAGAGAAGTACCAAAAATGGGAATAAATAGAAATCTGTCAAAGGCGCTTGACTTTCTGTGGCTACTACCTTCGTGAGTTCACAATAAAGTATGTCATGGTAGGCCTAGCTGCTATGGAGGGTGAACAGTTGGAAACATTCTGGCCAGTAATGGAGAAAGAGGACAAAGTGGATCCTGGCCAGATCACTGCATTGATCTGCCATAATCTCTAATCCACAAAGACCTCAAAGTATAAAAGCTGTAGCTTCACTCCTGCTTATCAAATATCATGCAACTTCACTTTTAGCTGACACTAATCTGATTGTATATCAAGAAGGAGAATCTGGGAAATATAGTTTCTAACATAAGCATCTTAACAATAGAATAGTTGAACATACCAAATTAAGGGGTTTACTATGAGACAAACCCTATGCTAAACCTCCTATATTTAATACTCACTTAATCTTTATAACTACTCTATGAAATGCTAACACAAAAATGATAAGAAAATTATTCATAAATCCACCACTTATCGTTACAAAGAATTACAAACCTAAGAACAGGAAAGTATGTCCCCTCCCTCCTTCCAACCCTTCTTCCACCTGTGCACCAACCCTCAATGTAACTACTGTTAGCCTTTTGGTGTATATACCTCCTAGCTCTTTTCTACTCTTGTGGAAGTATAAGAATTTCTGGAGCCATTTTAATGGCTTATAAATAAAAAATGCATCCTACATTTGTGAACCACATAAACCTCCAAGATTATTTTGTAGCTTTCAGTGAGGCAGTGAGAACATGGAATATGATTCTGATGTAAATCCCAAATAGCATAGGGAATCAGAGTCTAATATAATTTAACTTAAAGAAATAAAGAAACATGGTATTTACTTCACACCTGAGTTTATAGAGTAACATTTATTCTGGTTATTTTAGCTAGGGTTCAGAAACTAATTTTTTATTAACTCTCTTCCTCTGCTGAACAATATGTATGGTATAAGAATTACTCTAGTCTTTTGACATATATTAATATCTGGCTAAGTAGGTGCCTCATTGGACCCACGATCTTGGCCAACACCTCAAGCTTAGCCTTCTTTCACTTACACCTCTATTGTTACTAAAAGATCAGTAAAGAAAAATCTAAGAAAGGCATTTGTTCCATCATTATTCTTAGATTTGATTTTTATTGTTTCACAATTCTTCCATCTTTGCTTTTGCCATAGTTCACTTATGAACAGAGTATTATACCTTTCTATCCCACTTGGGCTTAGCTATTATGACCTGCTTTAACGAATGGAATCTGAGTAGAAGTTATAGTGGGTAGTAATGAGGAAACAGTTGATTTTGACCAACAGACTGAAGAAAAACTCCTCCAGCTGACTTTCTGAATGCTAAGTGGGAAACAAGTGTCTATATTGAAAACTATATGAGTTTGCAGTTGATAAATGTGCAGTATTATCAGAGTAATAACTAGTCTTTCTAACTACAGATGTGGAGAAATAGATTCTTCTTTCTTTTTTTTTTTTTAGAAATGTATAATTTATTATTATTATACTTTAAGTTTTAGGGTACATGTGTACAACATGCAGGTTTGTTACATATGTGTACATGTGCCATGTTGGTGTGCTGCACCCATTAACTCGTCATTTAGCATTAGGTATATCTCCTAATGCTATCCCTCCCCCCTCCCCCTATCCCACAACAGCCCCTGGTATGTGATATTCCCTTTCCTCTGTCCATGTGTTCTCACTGTTCAATTCTCACCTATGAGTGAGAACATGCGGTGTTTGGTTTTTTTGTCCTTGCAATAGTTTGCTGAGAATGATGGTTTCCAGCTTCATCCATGTCCCTACAAAGGACATGAACTCATCATTTTTATGGCTGCATAGTATTCCATGGTGTATATGTGCCACGTTTTCTTAATCCAGTCTATCATTGTTGGACATTTGGGTTGGTTCCAAGTCTTTGGTATTGTGAATAGTGCTGCAATAAACATACGTGTGCATGTGTCTTTATAGCAGCATGATTTATAATCCTTTGGCTATATACCCAGTAATGGGATGGCTGGGTCAAATGGTATTTCTAGTTCTAGATCCCTGAGGAATCGCCACACCGACTTCCACAATGGTTGAACTAGTTTACAGTCCCACCAACAATGTAAAAGTATTCCTGTTTCTCCCCATCCTCTCCAGCACCTGTTGTTTCCTGACTTTTTAATGATTGCCATTCTAACTGGTGTGAGATGATATCTCATTGTGGTTTTGATTTGCATTTCTCTGATGGCAAGTGAGTTTGCAGTTGATAAATGTGCAGTATTATCAGAGTAATAACTAGTCTTTCTAACTACAGATGTGGGGAAATAGATTCTTCTTTCTAATAGATGGATAGAGAACTCAATACCATGTATACATAAATAACAGCATGATATCACATTAGCGATCACATTCAGGGATATAAATTCAATAATGAAGGGTCAGAAATAAAGATTTCTAAAATAAACCACTATTTTCCAGGTTTTAGTTCCTTCTGAATACAATGGTAGCTGATAAATTAACTATCAAACTGTGTTACAGTATGAAGTTATACCAAAAGAAAAATTGATAGAATTAAATATTTTTATTATTAAATGAAAACAAATAAAAGCAAGTAGCAAATATCTAGCCCAAAAAATTAGAAAGAGGACCAAAAACAAACAAAGTCTAAGGAATACAAAAGGACAGAAATAATAAAGATGAAAACAAATATTAATAAACTAGAAAACAGAATGAAGGATAAATCTAAGAACCAAATATTTTATGGTAAAGAAAAGCATAAAATAGTCTAACATCTAATAAGTTTTATCAAGATAATGTGAAAATAATACAGAATATGAATAAAATTAAGAATGAGAAAATAAATATAAAATTGATCATGATAAATAAGAGATAGTTTGACATGAGATAAAATTAAAGTATCATTACATAATCTGAAAACAACAAAGCACAAATACTTCAGCAAAGTTCTAAAAATATTTTTAAAATAAAAAATACTATATGTCCTAAATCAGCCAATGACCTCATAATTAACAGGAAAGCACTAGAGAAATTCTCATTAAAATCAGAAGCAGTAAAAGATGCTGGGCACAGCATCATCACTATAGTTTAACATTTCACTGAGTGTCTTAAAACAAGGCTGGAATAATTGGAAAACCATACTATGCACCCAGCTGAAGAAAAAATACATTAAAAATCTTCTCTAATTACTATGTAGGTTTAATGCTATTCAAATTATATCCCAAGTGATTGTTTTTAGACATTCACAGAATGTTTCCAAAGTTTATCAAGAAGAGTCAATGGATTGAAAGATCCAAAAAAGTTTTTTAAAGAAATGAGGAAGATTTTCTATGACTGATATTTAAAATAATTAAAACTGCAAAAGATCCAAGAAGATTGTCATGCAAGAATTGACAAATAGATAATCAGAATGTCATAAATTGTACAGAAATAGATTTTCACAATGATATTAGAAAACAATGAGAGTGGTATTATCAATCTGTAGGTGGACAGGCAGATAGAAAGACAGAAAAGATGATTCAATAAATAAGGTTGGGAAAAAATGGTTACTTCTTTGATAAATGAAATATATGCTCATCTAACATCGTACCAAAAACTCAATTCCAAGTTAATAAAAATATTAAGTAAAAATAAAATCATTAAAACAGAAAATATTTACTAAGTATTTGTCAGATCACAAGGTAGAAAAATATCTTTTGTTAGTTAATGCCCTTAATCTTTTCATTTTAGAAATTGATAAATCTGCAAAAAGCAGTGTCCATTATTCAGCAACCATTATTCATATTCTACAACCTTCTGTGACATTGATAAGCCAAGTTATGCAGGAAAAATTCTACATGTTAGATATGTATAGTTAGAAAAAAAGAAGCCAAAAGTATAATGGCCTATTTTTCAGGTTTTTAACAACTTGATAGAGAAAACACCCTGCAATAATTAGCTAGCTAATTATATACTTTATACATTCAACCTGAAATCAATGAAAACAAAAAAAATAAAAAAATAGCATCTTGAATTAAATAAGAAAATAGTTGCAAATTTAAAACACAAGCTAACAAAAATATTTGCCAAACAGTGCACTTCAGAACAAATTGGGAAAGGATATAACTTTTTGGACTTTAGGGAAAATTTATCAAGAAGTAAATGGTGCACCTCTGAAAGGTCCTAGCATCATTTACTTAGACTGGTAAGAATTGTGAGCATGAACCAGGACAGGAAGAGTAAACAAGATCCTCACGGGGACTCAGTTTCATACTGTAGAATAGCAGAGTGCCATTCTGGAAGTCAGTGCACTTCTAAAGGGAAACAAGAAATAAAAATAGTGAGACAGAAAAGACAAAATAACCATTGTTTGCAGTAAATATGACTCTATATTTAGAAAACACAAGAGAAATCAACTAAAAAAATCGATGTGAAACAATAAGAAAAAAGACAATCAGGAGACAGATTAAAAAAATAAAATATAAAAGCAACAGCTTTTCAATATTTAAACCACAGCAAGTTAGAAAATTTAATGGTTAAATAAATCTCATTTTCAATAGGAATAACAGAAGATAAAACACTTAGGAAAAAGTTTAACAAGAATTGTGTGGGGTGATATAAAGAAAACTTTAAAACTCTACTGAGGCATATTAAAAAGCGTTGAAAGATAAATGGAAACATAACTTGTGGAAACCAAAATTTCACATTGTAAATTTGTTTATTCTCCAAATTCACCTATTGAATCAATACAGCTTGAAACAAAATAATTTAAAGTAAAATGTTAACTTTGACCTGGTAAAATAAACATGCAGAAGTGGGCGAGAAAATTAAGAAAAGAAAAATGAAGAGCCCTACAGAATATTAAAACGTCATTGAGTTACACAAATTAGAACAGCTTGGTACAAGTGAAACAATATCCTCATGGCTCTCAAACAGCACATAAGAATCACCTAGGATGCATATTAACTCTTAATTTCCCTATGGATCAAACATCTCAAAATTCTGATTTTCTAGATCTGTTCTGTAGCATGAAAATATGCATTTTAACAGGATTCCCAGATGATTGCAACACAAGTAAAGTACAAGGATCCGTCCCATAACTAATCCACCAGTTTAACTGAGGACCTCTATTTGCACTATAAAAAAATACCATATGATGTCTCCAACATACTAAAAACAGTCAATGGGCCACACTGTTGCACTCAATGAATTTGTTTCCATGGTTGAATTCTTTGTTTTCTTTCTCAGAACTAAAACTGAAAAAACTAGGAACTATTTATGCCCATTTACATCAAAAAATTACCTAATTGAATTGAATATTCTATAAGCCCATGAAATGTGAGTTCAAAAAGGTTTCTATTAAAACTAAATTAAATGTTTTAGAAAAACGCAAAGTAAATTGATTTTTAAAAATTATTTTAAACTGTAGTGGATGAGAAATCTATAACAGGCTAGGACACAAATTTTAAAAAAAATTCAGAGATTACTCACAAAATCTTTCTTTAAGATCTTGCACATATTAAAGATAGGAACATCTTTATTACAAGATTGCTAACACAAAAATTAACAATAGATGCATAGTCAAAAAACATGCCTGAAATCTAATTGAAGAGATTGGCAAATGAATGTGCATTTATATGTTTTAAATTAAAACGTTAGAGACATTCTGTATTTTTATACGTCTCCAACCAATTTTCTGTTTGTTTGTTTATTAACAGACCAAATACTATTACCAATCATGCTGGCTAAGGGGACATCTTCTTGAATGCAAGAACCACAATTTGAGAAACATTATAATAGACAAATAAATGAAACAGAATAGAATGTTCAGAAATCAGCCAGTTAAATAGGAAATTTGAAAATATATATTTTAAATAGAGAAAAGATAGATAAATCAATAAACAATATTTAAAATATCAATAGTCACTTTAAAAACTGTTATAAAGCTGGATCCTGTTCTTACTCTTATAAAACATTTTAAAAGACAAATATAATATAATGTAATAATTCAGGCCATAAAGGGACAAAAAAAATCTTTTAAATAAATGATGTTTATAATAGAATTAAAATGAGAGTGATCTTTTAAGTATTATATTATATATAAGCCATAAAGAAAAGATTTACATATTGACTATATGCATATTTTAATTTTACTGTGAAAAAGTCAAAGACAACACAGCTAAAAAATAACAAGCCAGGAAAAGTATTCTCAACATATATGACCGAATGAAACTTAATTTTTTACTATAAAAATGCTCTTATAAATTAATAAAACACTCCATTTAAAAATGGACAAAGCCAGGAGTTTATGACCAGCTTGGGCAACATAGAGAGATACTATAAAAAAAATGGACAAAGGACATTACAAATAGTTTACGGAAAAAATAAAATTAAAATAAGCAATAAAAATGTGACGCATACTCAATCACAGTCATAACTAAACAAATGCACATTAAAACAAAAATGAGTTACAGTGTTTCACCAGGTAGACTGGTAAGATTAAAATGATTACTGAAGTCCAATATTCACAGGAATTTGGGGAACTATAAATTTCTGCAACATTTTTGGAGACTAATTTGGATATATATATTAAATTTAATATGCACATGTACTCTGACCTCTCAATTCCATTCAAAGAATTTGTTCTATAGATATAATATCACAAGTTCCCAAATAGTTATAACACTAATAATCTTTTTCTTGCTTAAATTAGCTAAATTTGCAACTTGGAGTCCTGGCGAATACAATTTATCTTACATAAATATAGCTAAATCACTAAAAAAACTGTTCGAATTTCAATCTTAAAAATTAAGTGCTCCGCAGGAACAAATAGTCCCTCCCTAAACCATAAATTTCTCCACTACAGGTTATGCACAGTGAGAATGAGAATCACATCCATCTGTTCACAGTTGTATCTCCATTGCCTGTATCAGTAATGACAGGTAAAAAAACGTTCAATTAATAGTTATTAAATTGAACTGAGAAAAAGAAACATTCTAATAATATAAGAAAATTTTCCGATATAGCCGAAGTACACATACCCTTTGATCAAGCAATTTCATTTTTCAATTATTTTTCTTACAGAAACACTCACAAAGGTGTGATATAATGTCCACAAAAGTATCATTTGCAATACTGTATTTGGCAAAAACCTTATAACAAGAACAAGCAAGTTCTGTAAGACACACTTCCAGGTTAAAAAGGAAACCCTTGTACACTGTTGATGCAATTGAAAATTAGTACAGCCATTACAGAAAACAATATGGAGGCTCCCCAAAAAAATGAAAGATTGAACTATCTCATGATCCAGCAATGCCACCTTTGGGTATACATCCAAAAGAAATGAAATCCGCCTCTCGAAAAGATGTCGGCATTTCCATGTTCATTGCAGCATTATTCACAATAGCCAAGATATGGAAACAACCTAAGTGTCCCTTAGTGAATAAATAAAGAAAATATACTACATATACACAAAGGAATATTATTCAGCATTTAAAAATAAGGAAATCCTGACATTTTCCACAACACGAAAACCTAGAGGGCATTACACTAAGTGAAATGAGTCAGACACAAAAAGACAAATACTGCATGATCTCCCTTATACTTGGAATATAAAAAATTCAAACTCACAGAAACAGAGAATAGAATGGTGTTTACCAAGGGCTGGGCAGGGGGATACAGGGAATGTTGGTCAAAGAATGCAAATTTTCAAGATTAAGTGCTAGAGATCTAATGTACAGCATGATGATTGGTTAATGATAATGTGCTATATACTTAAAATTTACTAAGAGACTAGAGCTTAATTGTTCTCCCCAGGGGAAAAAAAAGAAAAGTAAAGTAAATATTTGAGGTGATGGATAGGTTAATTAGCTTGATTGGGAGAATCATTTCATAATGAATACATATAACATCATATTGTGTACCTTAAATATATACAAGGTTTATTTGTTGATCATGCCTCAGCAAAGCTGGCTGGGGGGAAAGATGCTGAGGAGTTTTTATAGAATGCAACTTGAAGTGGAGCTGCAGGGCTTTCAATGTGTCTAGGTAGTCTGGCAAAAAAAATGTGGCAAGTTCCCACAGTAATCAAATTATAAAACCAAATCAAGGATTCTACTGAGAGGATCTTTAAGGGACCAGAGAGTCATAATTATTGACCAATTCCGAAGTTGTAGGGGTATAAAAGGAAAGGCCATTCTGATACTGTTAAAGAAAAAATTATTAAATGATACTTGTTAAAGCACAGTAAGACAAACTTTATTCAGGACCATCATGATAGGTACAGGGACCACTACAACAGGGTCTCACAGTGGGAGAAATTGGGCTTAACTCCAAATATAGCCAAGGAACAGTGTGGGAGTCAGTGGATGGAAAATGACTAAGAGGAAACATCAGGAATAAGGGGGTTTCTGGTTCAACTGACCAATTGGTTCTTGCTGAAAACAGGCCAGGGTGATCAGACATCACCTAGTAGATGGTGGAGGATGAGGAATTTGATCAGATATAGAGAATAGGAGGTTCTTGCTAGCTGACTTAGCAGTGTTATTTGTTGAAACTGGATTTTATAAGGAAATGTGAAACCACCTTTGCAAAAATTATAACAGTGAGAAAATTACGACAGTGAAAGAGATCTGATCTAACCAACCCTGATCATGCCTCTACCTTCCAAACTGCCCTCAGTCATTCCTGGGCTTCAGCCAAGCTAACTTTGGGAGAAATTTAGTGTATAGTTTAAATGATAACAGCCCTTCTCCAGAACTAAACCACCTTTGTAAAACTAATGAAAGGCCACCAGGTTAGGAGGATGACAGGAGCCTGAATTCTCCTAAGTATAGACATCAATGATTAGCAGCTATTATTCCAGAGATCACAAGATTTGCAACTTCTCCAATTACTCCTGCAGAGAACATCACTATTGTAGAACATAAGATTGGCCTTTTGAGATGTCTTTCTCCACTCAAATTTGCCAACCAGTCCTGTGGCTTCACCCAGGCGTAGACTCAGCATGCATGAAGACCTTTTTCCACACTCCTATAGCTATACCCCCTCCCACAACCAATCAGCAGCACCCACTCACTAGCCAGTATCTTTTCCAAAAACTATCTTTGAAGAGCCCTAGTCTCCAAATTTTCAGGGAGGCTAATTTGAATAATAATAAAATTCTAGTCTCCTCTTTAGCCAGCTCTATGTGTGAAAAACTAAACTCCTTATTGTATTTCCCCTGTCATGGAAAATTGTCTCTATCTGAGCAGCAGGCAAAAAGAACCCATTTGATGGTTCCAAGTGCACACATGGGCCTTTGGTCAGAAGCCTGACCAAAGTTGGCCAAGCAAAGAATCTTTGTCAATACATAACAAAAACCATCAAAGAGATGTACTCCTGCTGATATGATTTGGCTGTGTCCCCACCCAAATCTCATCTTGAATTCCCACATGTTGTGGGAGGGACCTAGTGGGAGGTAATTGAAACATGGGGGCAAGTCTTTCCTGTGCTGTTCTCAGATAGTGAGTAAGTCTCACGAGATCTGATCATTTTAAAAAGAGGAGATCCCCTGCACAAGCTGTATCTCTCTTTGCCTGCTGCCATCCATGTAAGACGTGACTTGCTCCTCCTTGCCTTCTGCCGTGATTGTGAGGCTTCTCCAGCCACGTGGAACTCTAAGTCCAATTAAATGTCTTTCTTTTGTAAATTGCCCAGTCTCAGGTATGTTTTTATCAGCAGCATGAAAACTCACTAATACACCTGTCCTACTCTCATTTCATGGCAGAAGCAAGTTATTTGCAATTATAAATAAACAACAAAAAAAAGCTTTTTAAAAGAAAAAAAAATCTGCTTAACATTGGGGCCCAAACATGGCAGTTTTAGTATGCTGAGGAAAACATAATTTTAAGGGCTTAGAGAGAGGTCTTTGCTTTCCTTCCACCCAAAGTATAAGAATGTTGATACTTTGGGAGCTCCAGAGAGATCAGAGCTGCTGGGACCCCACAGAGGAGGGAGTAGGGTTCATTGTGAGAAAACAGTGCAATAGCAATACCTAAGGGAAGTGATTTTGACAGATAACACTGAAGGGCTATTAAAGCTCAGGAAGGAAGCAGGTGGCGGATGTCACATAGTATCCTGTAAAACTTATACCCAGACCTATAGGTCTGGTATAAAGTCTCCCTACAGTGCAGTTGGGGGAAAAAAATAAAAAACACATGGCTAGGAAGATATGCAATATGATCCTACATTGAAAAGTAAAGCTGTGTGTATCTATAATAATTTATAAATAGAAAATGCATAGAGAATGCAAATGTAGACAAATATGGGCAATGATAAGAGTACTTATCACTAGGTGATTGAATTATGTGCAATTTTAATTTTCTTTCTATAATTTTCTATTTTGGAGTTTTCCTACGATTAGGAAGAAATCATTATAAATTATGATCTTCATAATTATAATACGTTATGAAGTAGTCTATTATAATACGTAATGCATTGTAATAGAAAGCATCAAAAATATTAAGACAATTTTTATGTTTATTCTTATTTGGTAGATAAAAATCATAAAAGACTTGGTGCATTATCCAGATCCATTGGAAAGACATCCAAGAATAGCTTTAGAAATTCCAAAGTTACTGAATTTTCCTATTTGAATTAACACTTTCATGTATAAGGTCATGGTAATGTCCAGCATTTGGCTTCAAGTCATAGATTAAGCATTCATAAAGTCTTTCTTGCTCTTGTTGCTGGAACGCATATTTACCTACTAATTAAACTTATTATTTTCAAAAGGAAAAGCCTGTTTATTCTTTCAAGATAAAATTTTAAAGGTTTGATTTTAATCATATTATTGCATAAATTATATAAATAACTACTTCTCCAGATGAACTTTATCTTTTATTTACCACCCAGATGCGATGGGAAAAAATTAAGAAATAAAAATTCTAGGCTATATAAAAATATTGCTAACATAACATTTTTTCTCCATTTAAATAGCAAGGCAGGCACACTGCAGAGGAAATATTTCCATATGGCATGCATAAACACGCTGGTTATTGATCCCTTAAGAGTTTCTGTGCTGTGATATGTTTGAAGACTGGGAGACTATTTCTATACAATTCCCCACATTATTATATTTTTCCTATTACGATAATTTTTTCATTTTTAAATTTTAAATCATAGGTTTTTATTACTACTTTTTGTATCATACACTATTCTTAACCACTATTGAAACTGTTGAATATCTTAGGCTAGTGGATGCTATTTACTTTTAAAACTAGAAAACTGATTTTTAAGAACGAGAGATATGTATGTATTTATGCAAGTATGTATGTGTGTGTGTGTATATATACATACATATATATGAATGCATGTATGCACATATACATATATAGATGTACATACACACAGGAGAACATGGGGGTTATGTTTCAAAAATAAAGTAAATTATGGCAGAATGAATATCACGTACAGAGAGAAGTGACTGGGACAAAACAGGATTTGCAAGGAGAGAATATATGTAGATTTTAGGCAAAACAGGTTAGGCTGTTTTTTTTATTCTCCACTTTCCCTTTATTTCTTAATACAACTCTATTAACATATGATTTCTCGTTATGTTTTTCAGAAGCTTAATCTCTGGAGATACTAGTAAGATTTTCTTTAAAAAAAAACTTTTATGGTTAAGACATCTGGGGGAAAGCTAGATATTGTATTGCTTTTTGTGAGTCACAGAATACCTTAGAATGTTAAAGGATCTGATAATTCCCGTTGAATTTTTTCCAAACCTTTATTACAATGAAAATCTTTTAAATGTATTAATAATCTTCAACAGCATCTATAGAAACACATTATCCAATCCCTGTCTTTCATACTCACACTTATAATTTAAACAATTCCTAAGTGTTCTAATTTTTAATACTACAATTTTTCTGTTTTGCTCTCATTCCTTTTTTAAAAATATTATTTACACCTTCTTCCTATATTTCTTTTTCTGTCAATTGCTCTTGTGCCATTCTTTAACTATTTTACTCATTTATTTATTCATTTAGGTATATTTAAATCATTGTTTATTAAGTTCCTTTAACATGTTTCTTATTTCTCTTCATCCCTTTCTTTGTTGAAGATTATCTTTTTTAAAACTTGGAGCATTTTTGGGGACCCTTCCTTCTGTTTCAATTATTTTTTCCCTTTCTTCATTTTGCAATGCGTATTTATCTGCCCCCCAACCATCACACATACACACAGAGTTGGCTGTATGCACTGTGTGCTACCTTAGTTCTGGTTGGTTTCATCGTCACAACACTTTCACGTAAATGGCCTTGCATTTATCTCTCATACTGCAGGCTCTGAGAGGTAGGAACCATGTCTGTCCTTTTTAATGTTCCATGCTCAGACTTTATCATAATGCACAGAATATTTAGCTGTTGAATGAAAAAAAGGATGACTGATAATGTTTACCTGTTGACTGAATAAATGAATGACTGAATAATGCTACTAACATGAGTATATTCTCTAAAGATGCTTGAACATGTTTAAACAAAGAGTTTATCATAAGTATTTCATTGTGAATACAGTTGCTGATGTAAATGTTTTTATTGTTGAGTAGTTTGGTGTTTTCCATGATTGAATAGTAATTTGTTTATGGAGACCACTGATTTCATAGAGACAGGTAAAAGCACTCGTTTGTTTGGGTTTAACAAATTTTTTACAAATATTAATCTGGATCAATCATTTATTGAGAAGTAACTTTGTACTGATTGACATACCTAATTAGAACAGTGAAAACATTTAAATATGGTTGTGTATAAAGCAGAAATTTTTTGCTTGTTAATACAGACACACAAAAAAAATCCCAAAGATAAAAGTAAAACCATTTAAATTTGAATAAGAAATGTATGATTATTAACTACATTATGTGCTTAGTTTGCTTAAAAGAACAAATTAAATATGATATAAGGAACAAAAAAGCCTATTCACTAAAAGAAGATTATATCTGATTGCAGCAGCACACTAGAAATTTTAAACACACAGAAGAACAATATCATTTTTAAAATCCTCAAGAAATGGATCACTTCATTCTAAAAAATATTAAATATTTATTATGGCCTGATAGGTTGATTCATTTGGGTAATCAATAATTAATCATTCTGAAAGCTTCAGATCCTTTATAAATATCAAAGACTTTTAGTAATTGCTTTACAAATCCTAAGTAGCATAGAGTCTACAGACTTTATATATCAAGGAAAATGAATACAAGTTAAGAAGATGGGTGCTTTAAAATGAATAAGCTAAATCCCAAATGTTCACATTTTGAAATATTTACTCTTATGAAAGAGATCAGTGTGGTGATAGAAAAGTAAAAATAATACCATTCTAGGCATAGAGAGAGCATATGTATGAGTAATAATGCCAACAGAGCAAGTCCACTGCCAATTCGCTTTTTGAAAACATTAAATATACATCCAACACAATTAACCTGGATATATGAGGAAAGAATAAGGTACCTAAATAAATTTCACAGATTATCACTTCAGCATTTGTACTAACCCTATTTAACTATATAAGAAATATTACTATTAAATATATTAAGTTTCAATTCCTTTATATGCTCATCCTTTAACTATAATAGCCATAATTTTGAAAATAATAACTGATATATATTTTACATTTATCAAGTATGCAATCTGCTACACCAAGAACTTTACATCTATACAATCTCATTTAATGTTCTTAATAACTTAGTGGTAGTTATTATTATAGTAAAATCCAATGACAATGTAATAACTGATTATAAAAATTTCAACTGCATAATAAATGAAGTAATGTTATTGCAAATGTAATTAAAGGACTAGGTTGAACCTGCATAAGATTTCATGTGACGGAGTTGTGTCAAGATGAAAGATGTAGCCATTCTGGTCCCAACTATAGCTTAGTGTCACCTGGTAACAGTTGTCAGCTCTAGCTGAAATATCTCCATGGGTCTGGGTCCTGTAGTTGGCTTGGACTTCTAGGTCATAGGCTGCAGTTTCAGGAATTTTTCAGGGTCATTTTTGGTTGACTGAGTTGAGAAAATACTGGGGACTTTGGAACTTATTCTTCCCAAAACGAGCTAGCCTGCGACTCACCTGGCCTTTTGCTCCCATCCAAGTTTCCAACATGGCTACCCTCCACATTGGAGTAGCCATGATGAATGAGAGCTAAACAGAATACTACTTGCATTATCCATATTTGTACTATCAACAGATATTAAAATAATATCAAATCTGTTTCAAGGTGAATGAAATTCGAACTTAAAGAAGTAACTTAAATCGCTCACCAAGTAACCACAAATTGAAAATGAATCCTAGGACTCCTCTTTGCAGGTAGTAAAAATCAACACTAGTTAACTCGAGGAAACACAAAAGAAAAATGGTTTATTATAAGGATTCAGGTGTCATCTCTTTACATTCAAGGTCAGAATACAGTCAGGAATAAACTGGAACAACAGAATAGAGTACCACAGTGAACAAACAAACACCTCCTTCTCAGTCTTACATCTCTGCTTCTCTCTGCATGTCCATTCCGCTGTGGTTACAAATCAGATTTCTTTGCTTCCGTTCCCTACAGCAGAAATAGACATCCTCAGGTTCCAACTGTTTTTCCCATTTAAGTAATCAGATAGACCAATATTCCTCAGAGCAGCCTCATATCTATGGAATTTTCCTGTTGAAATCTTTCATAAATTTCTCATATACCCTGAATAAAATCCAACTCATTACCACAACTTACACTTTTAACAAGAAATAGTCTTGCTTATGTTTCCACATTCCTCTTCTGCTGTTCCATCCCTTGCTCCTCCCGTAAGCCAAGCACATTCCTACCACAGAAGGCCTTTGCCTTCACAAATCCGTCTGCAAGGAAGGTGGCAAGCCTACATCTTGGCTGATTTCTTCCTGTAGTTTATATCATTTCAAGTGTCGCCTCTCAAAGAGGCTGTCCATAACCAAGATATTAAAAAGCACTCCCTCTTTAGTTACTCTTTATTACCACGCACTGTTTTACTTTTGCATGGCACTTAACACAAATGTATGTACTTGTTTACTATCTGTGACTCCCACATAGAGTGAGTTCTTGAGAGCAGGAATTTCATCTGTTTTCTTTACCACTATGTGCCTAGAGTGTAGAATACCTCCTGGCATATGGCAGACATTCTATACAATTTTTAATGGAATGAGTGAATCAATGTACAATATATCAGACTGGCACAGGGTAGGGCCCTTGGGCAAACCCAGAGATTCATGGAAAACTTACTGGAAGAGAAATTCCTCTTTTGTCTTTTATTCTTCACACTGAAAATCTCAGATTCTTCCAAAACTACCTTTCATGATAAGATTTCTAAATCTCACCAGCTTCACAATCCAAATGGCCATTTGACAAATTCCAGTTTTAAGTCTTTCTCTTAAAATAAGACTCAAAACTGAATACAATAATCCCAAAAAAGTTTGTCCAGCACAAAGACTAGATATGTACTTTGGATGATCTGTTCCTTGGATTCCTGTTAATCCAAACTGATTAGGCTCTTAGGCATTAAACTATCAAAATATCATTGGTTCAAATAGAGATGATGGTGAACTAAAATTTATAGTCACATTACTGCTGTTAAGCCTCATTCTGTACTGTGACAATTTTTTTATACCAAAGCTCTGATGTTTACCTTTATCTCATTAAATTTTGACTCTTTTATCTCACCCTTGTATTCTAAATTATCAAGATCATTTCAAATCATCATTTTTGTCATCCATCATATTAGTTATTTCACCCAGTTCTTTGTCAGCCACAAACTATAGCAGCGGTTACTGTCATGCTTTAAATTATTGATTAAAATGTGGCTAATCAATATTTCTTTATTATTAAAGAAATATTAAGTTGCCTTATATTTCTTTCTTTATTGCTAAACCTGCAATAAAGAAACTAGCATCTACCTTGAAATTTATCTTTGATTTGACTGCTGTATCTGTTTTTCTACAATGATAATAAAAGATTTTGTCATATGCCTCATATATCATCAGCTTCAAAATTTTTAATGAAGTTTTCTCTACTTTTTCCAAGGTAGAGGTTTTCTAATGGATAAAAAAGACTAAAAAAAAACAAAAACAAGCAAAACTGAGGCATGTGTTTTAACATAAATGGTCATCTATTTTAACACTTGAAAATGTATTTCTTATATATAACTATTAAAAATATAATTTAACTATGTTTAACTATGTTTTGACCCAAATAAATACTGATTTTTATTTTTGCATGTTGACATTATAATTTTAGATGCTAATTTGAAATTATTCACACATTTTGCTGTGCCAATGAAAGTAAAAACTTTTTGAAGCTTAAAACAAAGTAAAGATGAAATTATTTAAAAGACAAGCAACAAGTTTGAATTACTTTTTACTAGGAAATATGAAAATCTGAAATGAATAATTTTTTGAGAAAATATAGCTTACCAAGACTGACAATAAAAGATAAAAAAGGTCTAAAAAGAAAAGTTCCCCACCAAAGAATATTTTTTAAAACTATCAAAGAGATACTCTACCCTCCATAAAAAGCATAAGTCCCAGATGACTTCACAAGAAAAATTACCATGGAATTTAATCTAATTGGGATAACAAGAAAAAGAGGAAAGCTTTCTAATATTTGTTCTGAGCTGTATCAGAAATCAATTTCCTTTATATATAAAAAAGCAACCATTAGGAATAAATAATAGGAGAAATGACTGCAATTAAAATAATAGCAAAAATGATTAAATGCCTAGGAATAATCTCAAGAAAGTTATGCTACAGTAATAAATGCCCTCATATCTTATTGAGTTGCAAGGACAAAGATTTATTTCTCATTTATATTTCATGTCCTTGGATACTTGCCTGCTTATATGTTCCATATTTTTTTTTTCATTTTGAAACTCAAGTTGAAGGAGCATCATCTATCAAGGACATGTTCATCTCATGACAGAGGGAAAGGCTGGTGGTCCTTAGATTTCATTCAATGAGTAGCCTGTGTCCCAATTGTCATATGGTCAAAGCACGTACTATGGCCAAAACTGACATAAATGGAATGAGGAATTATAACCCTTCATATACATAGGTACAGAATAATTGGTACAACAATAACAAAATCTACCCTCTGAATTTACTGTAACTGAAAATAAACCTGATTTTAAAAGAAATATACAGTTTTATCTCACTTATGATTACTGATGCAAAATAACCAGAGAGATGATTGAAAGTCTGCTACTTAAACCAAGTGGGGTTTGTTCCAGGTATTCAAAGATTAACAACAGAAAAACTGTTAATAAAATTCATCTTGTTAATACTTGTTAACTTTTTAATAGGAAAAAAGTATGATAAACTCCATAAACACTGAAAAAGCATTTGACAAAAACTTAACACAATTTTTTATTTTTTTTTTTTGATACAGGGTCTCACTCCTTCGCCCAGGCTGGAGTGCAGTGGTGCAATCACAGCTGACTGCAGGCTTGACTTCATGGGCTTACATGATCCTCCCACCTCAGCCTCCCAGGTAGCTGGTACTACAGGCTTGTACCACCATGCCTGGTTAACTTTTGTAGTTTTAGTAGAGATGGGGTTTCACCATGTGGCCCAGCCTGGTCTCGAACTCCTGGCTCAAGTGATCTCCCTGCCTCAGCCTCCCAAAATGCTGGGATGACAGGCGTGAGCCACCACACCCGGAAACACTTTTAATTTTAAAAAATCCTCCATAAAATAAGAACTGATAGGTAGTTTCTTACAACATGCCAGTGTTATACTGAATAGGAAAACATTGGAGGCATTTAAGCTAAAGACATTGATAGGGCAAACAGGTTTCCTGACAGCACTGTAATATAACATTTTACCAGAGGTATTAAACAATGCACTGATATGAAAGAAGAAAATTAAATATATTGAAACATTAAAATAGAAGAGATTAAACTATAATTACATGTGGCTGAAATTTTTGTGTGCCTGGAAACCAAAGAAAATCAATTATACAAGATCTACAAGAATAAGATAATTTAGTTTGGTAACTGAGTTTTCAAGTAACATCAGAAAGCAATTGTCTCCAATATAAGCAAAGAATAGCCATTAGGAAGCAAACCTACAAAGGAAGCAAAGATTGCAATTATATTAGCAATACAATGAAAAAATACCTAGGAACGAGTATAACAAGATATATACAAAGCTTACGTGAGGAAAGACTGCTCGTCTGAGCTTTTAGTAAGATTTCAATGAATGATAATATTTTCCATATTTGTAATTTTAAAAACTAATTGTACAAAATAAGAGAGAAGCATTGCCTAAAACTAGTAAAACATGAATTGAGTATTTAATAGGTTATTAAACCACACAGGTGATGTGTGAGAAAAGTAAAAATAATAACTATCAAAACATGGGAATATAGCAGAATCCAGGTTGAAGTAGAAGAGTAAGATGGAGAAATACAGAGTAAACTTCCATCTTTTTTAAGTTTTATTTTAATTTCAGGGGTACATGTGCAGGTTTGTTACATAGGTAAACGTGTCACGTGAGTTTGTTGTACATATTATTTCACAAGCCAGTTATTAAGCCTAGTACCAATTTGTTATCTTTTCTGATACACTCCTTCCTCCCAACCTCACCCTCCAATCGGCCCCAGTGTGTGTTGTTCCCCTCTATCTTTTCCAGAGATAATTTAATAAGTTGCTAGTAAAGTGGTATAAATATATTGTTTAGATTTTCACAGGTAGCCACCAGAAAAAAACAAAACAGAAATGCTGAAACAGTTTACCTCTGGGAAGTCCTAGCTAGAGCAGTGAGGCAAGAAAAGGAAATAAAAGGCATCCAAATAGGAACAGAAGTCAAACTATCTCTCTTTGCTGATGATATGATTCTATACCTAGAAAACCCTAGTGACTTTACCAAAAGAATCCCGGTGCTAATAAATGAATTCAGTTATGTTTCAGGATACAAAATCAATGTACAAAAATCAGTAGCATTTCTGTACACCAATAAGGTTCAAATCAAGAATGCAATCTCATATACAATAGCCGCAAAAGAAAATAAAGTACATAGGAATACATCCAACTAAGGATGTGAAACAGCTCTATGAGAAGAACTACAGAACACTGCTGAAAGAAATCACAGATGACACAAACAAACGGAAAAGTATTCTATGCTTCATGGATTGAAAGAATCAGTATCATTAAAATGGCCATACTGCCCAAAGCAATCTACACACTAAACGCTATTCCTATTAAGCTACCACTGTCATTTTTCACAGAACTACAGAAAACTATTCGAAAATGTATATGAAACCAAAAAAAACAAAAAAGCTTGAATAGCCAAAGCAATCCTAAGCAAAAAGAACAAAGCTGGAGGCATCACATTACCCAACTTCAAACTATACAATAAAGTCTGCAGTAACCAATATAGTACCGGTACAAAAGCAGACACATAGACCAGTGGAAGAGAATAGAATACCCAGAAATAAAGCCACACACCTATAGCTATCTGATCTTCGACAAAGTCAACAACAAAAAAGCAATGGGGAAAGGACCGACTATTCAATAAATGGTGCTGGAATAGCTGGCTTGCCATATGCAGAACAATGAAACTGGATCCCTACTTTTCACCACATATAAAAATTAATACATGAAGGATTAAAGATTTAAATGTAAGTCCTCAAATTATAAGAATACTGCAAGAAAACCTAGGAAACACCATTCTGGACATTGGCCTTTGTAGATAATTTATGACCAAGTCCTCAAAAGCAATTGTAGCAAAAACAAAAACTGACAAGGGGGACCTAATTAAACCAAAAAGCTTCTGTTCACCAAAACAAACTATTGACAGAGTAAACAGATAACTTACAGAATGGGAGAAAATACTTACAAACTATGCATCTGACCAAGGTCTAATATCCATAATCTATAAGGAATATAAACAAAATAACAAGCAAAAAACAAATAACCCCATTTAAAAGAGGGCAAGACATGCAAGGGAAAACAAACATATTTTTAAAAGTTCCATATCACTAACCATCAAAGAAATGCAAATCAAAACCACAATGAGATACCATCTCACACCAGTCAGAATGACTATTATTAAAAAGTCAAAAAATAACGGTTGCTAGTGAGGTTGCAGAGAAAAGGGAGTGCTTATACACTGTTGGTGGGAATGTAAATTAGTCCAAACACTGTGGAAAGCAGTTTGGAGATTTCTCAAAGAATTTAAAACAGAACTATCATTCAACCCAGCAGTCCCATTACTGGGTATATTTTCAAAAGAAAATAAGTCATTCTACCAAAATGACACAGGAAATCTTATGTTAATCATAGCACTATTCACAGTAGCAAAGGCATGAAATCAACTTAGGAGCCCATCAACAGTATATTGGATGAAGAAAATGTGGTACATATATATCATCAAATATTATGCAGCCATAAAAAAGAACAAAACTTTCACTCGCGTCTGTGTGAAGCGACCACCAAACAGGCTTTGGGTAAGCAACAAGGCTGTTTATTTCACCTGGGTGCAGGCGGACTGAGTCCGAAAAGAGTCAGTGAAGGGAGATGGGGTGGGGCCGTTTTATAGGATTTGGGTAGGTAAAGGAAAATTACAGTCAAAGGGTGCTGTTCTCTGGTGGGCAGGGGTGGGGGTCACAAGGTGCTCAGTGGGGGAGCTTTTGAGCCAGATTGAGCCAGGAAAAGGAATTTCACAAGGTAATATCATCAGTTAAGGCAGGAACAGGCCATTTTCACTTCTTTTGTGGTGGAATGTCATCAGTTAAGGCTGGAACCATGTATGTGCAGGTCACAGGGGATATGATGGCTTAGCTTTGGCTCAGAGGCCTGACATTCCTGTCTTCTTATATTAATAAGAAAAATAAAACAAAATAGTATTGAAGTTTGGGGGCGGTGAAAATTTTTTTGGGGTGGTATGGAAAGACAATGGACGATGCTTCTCAGGGCTGCTTCAAGCGGGATTAGGGGTGGCTTGGGAACCTAGAGTGGGAGAGATTAAGCTGAAGGAAGATTTTGTGGTAAGGGGTGATATTGTGGGGTTGTTAGAAGAAACATTTGTTGTATAGAATTATTGGTGATGGCCTGGATATGGTTTTGTACAAATTGAAAAACTAAATGGAATAAGACAAGGAGAAAAACAGGTATTAAAGGGCTAAGAATTGGGAGGACCTAGGACATCTAACTAGAGAGTGCCTAAGGAGGTTCAGCATAGCTGTGCCAGCAAAGATTATTTATTTACTTTGAGAGAGAGTTAAGAGTGGCGGTTTGGGGATAGCACCAGGAGATATCAGCTGTGATGGCTTAGAGAAACAGTGAAAACTGGCAGTGTAAACAACAGCAAGGCATTTATGAGTAGTTGAGAACAGTGAATAGGAGTATGACTAGACAGAAGATAGTAAGGATGACAAGTTTTTTTGGGCTCAGTCCTAGTTGGTCTGGTGTCTGGAATGAGGCTGGGGCCTAATAAAAAGAGCATCTATACAGGAGCTTAAATGGGCTGTACCTTGTAGCATTCCGAGGACAGGCTTGAATTATGAGAAGGGCAAGTGGTATTGTCCAGTCCTTTTTCAGTTGGTGACTGAGCTTGGTGAGGTGTGTTTTTAAAAGACCGTTAATTCACTGAATACTAAGAGCCTGAGAAACTGCTTGGGTGATTTGACTAATAAAGGCCAGTCCGTTATCGGACTGTATAGAGGTGGGAAGGCCAAACTGAGGAATATGTCTGACAGAAGGGAAGAAATGACGGTGGCCTTCTTAGACCTTGTGGCAAAGGCTTCTACCTATCCAGTGAAAGTATCTACCTAGACCAAGAGGTATTTTAGTTTCCTGACTCGGGGCATGTTGAGTAAAGCCAATTTGCCAGTCCTGGGCGGCAAATCCTCAAGCTTGATGTGTAGGGAAGGGAGGGGGCCTGAATAATCCCTGAGTAGTAGAATAGCAGATGGAACACTGAGAAGTGATTTCCTTCTCAGGATAGATTTCCACGATGAAAAGGAAATGAGAGGTTCTAAGAGGCGGGCTAGTGGCTTATACTATAGCATAGCCTGCCTTTGCTGGTGTGTGGCGATTAGGCCTGGTGGAACTGCCATCAATAAACCAAGTGTGATCAGGGTGAGGAACAGGAAAGAAGGAAATATGGGGAAATGGGGTGAATGTCAGGTGGATCAGAGAGATACAGTCATGGGGGTCAGGTGTGGTATCAGGAATAATGTGGGAGGCCGGATTGAAGTCTGAGCCAGGAACAATGGTAATTGTGGGAGACTCAACAAAGAGTGAGTACAGCTGAAGGAGCCAGGGAGCAGAAAGTATATGTGTCAGGTGTGAGGAAGAAAATAGATTTTGGAAGTTATGAGAACTGTAGAGAGTGAGTTGAGCATAGTTTGTGATTTTAAGGGCCTGTAAAAGTATTAGGGCAGTGGTGGCTGCAGCAAGCAGACTTGAGGGCTAGGCAAAATGGTAAGGTCTAGTTGTTTGGATAAAAAGGCTACAGGACGCGGCCCCGGTCCTTGTGTAAAAATTCCGACTGCACAGCTCTGCACTTCAGCTGTGGGTAATGAAAGGGTTGGGATGAATCAGGGAGAGCTAGGGTGGGGGCAGTCTCTAAAGCTGTCTTCAAGAAATGGAAAGAGGAGTGGGGAAAGGATTTAGGATCTATGGGGTCAGCTAGGTTTCCTTTTGTGAGTTTATATAATGGTTTTGTTAGGATGGCAAAATCAGTTATCTAAAGTTGAAAGTATCTAACCATGCCTAGGAAGGAAAGGAGTTGTTGTTTTTGTAGAAGATGTTGGGGTTTGAGAGATCAGTCAGACACGATCGGCAGGTGTTTTTACGAGAATTATGCTGAGATAGGTAACAGATGAGGAAGAAATTTGGGCTTGACTGAAGTAATGGGGGCTGTCTGTGAAGCCCTGTGGTAGTACAGCCCAGGTAATTTGCTGAGCCTGATGGATGTCAGGGTCAGTCCAAGTGAAAGCGAAGAGAGGCTGGGACGAAGGGAGCAAAGAAATAGTAAAGAAAGCATGTTTGAGATCTAAAACAGAATAATGGGTTGTGGAGGGAGGTATTGAGGATAGGAGAGTATATGGTTTTGGCACCACAGAGTGGATAGGTAAAACAATTTGGTTGATAAGGCGCAGATCCTGAACTAACCTGTAAGCCTTGTCTAGTTTTAGGACAGGTAAAATGGGGGAATTATAAGGGGAGTTTATAGGCTTTAAAAGGCCATGCTGTAGCAGGTGAATGATAACAGACTTTAATCCTTTTAAAGTGTGCTGTGGGATGGGATATTGGCATTGAGCGGGGTAAGGGTGATTAGGTTTTAATGGGATAGTAAGGGGTGCATGATTGGTCACTAAGGAGGGAGTAGAGGTATCTTATACTTGTGAGTTAAGGTGGGGAGATATAAGGGGAGAATGTGAAGGAGGCTTTGAACTGGGGGAAAAGGCGGTAATGAGGTGTGGCTGTAGCCCAGGAATTTTCAGGGAAGCAGATAATTTAGTTAAAATATCTCAGCTTAATAAGGGAACTGGGCAGGTGGGGATAACTCAAAGGGAGGGCTTAAAAGAGTTGTCTAAGTTGGCACCAGAGTTGGGAAGTTTTAAGAGGTTTTAGAAGCCTGGCTGTCAATATCCACAACAGTTATGGAGGCAAGGGAAACAGGCCCTTGAAAAGGAGGTAATGTGGAGTGGGTAGCCTCCATATTGACCAAGAAGGGGACAGACTTACCCTCCACTGTGAGAGTTACCTGAAGATCGGCGTCCGTGATAGTCTAGGGGGCTTCCGAGGCAATCGGGCAGCATCAGTCTTCAGCCGCTAAGCCGAGAAGATCTGGGAAGGAGTCAGAGAGCCTTGGGCCAGAGTTCCAGGGGCTCTGGAAGTGGCTGCCAGGTGAGATGAACAGTCCAATTTTCAGTGGGGTCCTGCACAGATGGGACACGGCTTAGGAGGAATCCCAGGCTGTGGGCATTCCTTGGCCCAGTAGCCAGATTTCTGACACTTGTAGCAAGCTCCTGGGGGAGGAGTTCTGGGGGAACACTTGGCAGCTGCTGTTCAGGTGTTTGGAGTTCTTGTTTGCTGGAGATGTGGCTAGGGTTTGTCTCACAGTGGAGGCGAGGAATTGCAACTCAGAAATACATTGCTAATTGGCTGCCTCTACTTTATTATTGTACACCTTGAAGGCGAGGTTAAGTCCTGTTATGGGGTGTGAGGGCTGGAATTTAATTTTTGGAGTTTTATTTAATGTTGGGAGCAGATTGGGTAATAAAATGTATATTGAGAATCAGATGGTCTTTTGACCTTTTAGGGTCTAGAGCTGTAAAGCATCTCAGGGTTGCTGCCAAATGAGCCATGAACTGGGCTGGGTTTTTATATTTGATGAAAAAGAGCCTAAACGCTATCTGATTTGGGATAAAGAAAAAGGAGCATTAACTTTGACTATGCCTTTAGCTCCAGCCACCTTTTTAAGAGGAACTTGCTGGGCAGGTGGGGGAGGGCTAGTCACGGAACGAAACTGTAAGCCGTACCAGGTGTGAGGAGGGGAGGTGATGAAAGGATTATAGGGGAGGCTGAGGAAGAATTGGGACCTAGCTCCGCCTGGCGAGGGGCAGCCTGGGGAGGAGGGGAGAGGTCAGATGGATCTGTAGAAAAGGAAGATTGGAAAGAGGAAAGACTCAGTGATGCTTGGGGTTGGGACTGAGGGGACAGGTGGGAGGGAAAGAAGGAAGACGTGGGGCGAGTTGCACGGGGAACAGAGACTAGGGAGGGACCGATGTATAAAAGAATGCCTGGACATCAGGCACCTCAGACCGTTTGCCCATTTTACGACAAGAATTATTTAGATCTTGTAGGATGGAGAAATCGAAAGTGCCATTTTCTGGCCATTTAGAGCCATTGTCAAGTTTGTATTGGGGCCAAGCGGTGTTGCAGAAGAAAATAAGGCATTTAGGTTTTAGGTTAGGTGTGAGTTGAAGAGGTTTTAAGTTTTTGAGAACACAGGCTAAGGGAGAAGAGGGAGGAATGGAGAGTGGAAGTTTGCCCATAGTGAAGGAGGCAAGCCCAGAGAAAAGAGCAGAGACACGGAGAGATGGGGTGGGGGGTGCTTGTCCCCCAGGAAAGTGGAGAAGGGTTAGAGACACAAAGAGAAGGGATCAGGTTTTCTTGCCCCCGAAAAAGCGGTACTTCCCACTAAGGGTGAAGGACCAAGGCAGGCATCCCCACGTGGTCAGACACCTCTGAAACATGGGTGAATAATCAGGCAGGCATCCCCACGTGATTAAACACTAAGGGAAAACTGTCTTCCCAAGTCCGTGACCGGAGCCGGAGTTTTGGGTTCATGGAGAAAACGTGTCTCCTTTGTCTCTACCAGAAAAGGAAAGGAATTGAAATTAAGAGAAGGGAGAGATTGAAGTGTGGCGCCAAGATTGAAAGGAGAAAGAGGTTGAGGGATAGTGAGAGAGGTTGGAGAAGAGAGTAAAGAGAGGCCGCTTACCCAATTTAAAATTGGTGAGATGTTCCTTGGGCTGGTTGGTCTGAGGACCCAAGGTCGTAGGTGGGTCTTTCTCATGGAGCAAAGAGCAGGAGGACAGGGGTATTGATCTCCCAAGGGAGGTCCCCTGATCCAAGTCAGGGCACCAAAATTTCACTCTCGTCCATGTGAAGAGACCACCAAACAGGCTTTGTGTGAGCAACAAGGCTGTTTATTTCACCTGGGTGCAGGCAGGCTGAGTCCGAAAAGAGAGTCAGTGAAGGGAGATAAGGGTGGGGCTGTTTTATAGGATTTGGGTAGGTAAAGGAAAATTACAGTCAAAGGGTGTTGTTCTCTGGTGGGCAGGGGTGGGGGTCACAGGGTGCTCAGTGGGGGAGCTTTTGAGCCAGGAGGAGCCAGGAAAAGGAATTTCACAAGGTAATGTCATCAGTTAAGGCAGGAACAGGCCATTTTCACTCCTTTTGTGGTGGAATGTCATCAGTTAAGGCAGGAACCAGCCATCTGGATGTGTATACGCAGGTCACAGGGGATATGATGGCTTAGCTTTGGCTCAGAGGCCTGACAAAATACACATCCTTTGCAGCAACATAGACATACATGGTGACCATTGTTCTAAACAAATTAACACAGGAACAGAAAATCAAGTACAGCACGTTCTCACTTATAAGTGGGAGCTAAACAATGGATACTCATGAGGATGGGCGTGGTGGCTCATGCCTGTAGTCCCAGTACTTTCAGATGCCAAGGAGAGGCCCAAGAGTTTTAGACCAGCATGGGCAACATAATGAGACCTCCTTTTTATTTATTTATTTATTTATTTATTTATTTATTTATTATTATACTTTAAGTTTTAGGGTACATGTGCACATTGTACAGGTCAGTTATGTATGTATACGTGTGCCATGCTGGTGCGCTGCACCCACTAACTCGTCATCTAGCATTAGGTATATCTCCCAATGCTATCCCTCCCCACTCCCCCCACCCCACCACAGTCCCCAGAGTGTGATGTTCCCCTTCCTGTGTCCATGTGATCTCATTGTTCAATTCCCACCTATGAGTGAGAATATGCGGTGTTTGGTTTTTTGTTCTTACGATAGTTTACTGAGAATGATGATTTCCAATTTCATCCATGTCCCTACAAAGGATATGAACTCATCATTTTTTATGGCTGCATAGTATTCCATGGTGTATATGTGCCACATTTTCTTAATCCAGTCTATCATTGTTGGACATTTGGGTTGGTTCCAAGTCTTTGCTATTGTGAATAATGCCGCAATAAACATACGTGTGCATGTGTGTTTATAGCAGCATGATTTATAATCCTTTGGGTATATACCCAGTAATGGGATGGCTGGGTCAAATGGTATTTCTAGCTCTAGATCCCTGAGGAATCGCCACACTGACTTCCACAATGGTTGAACTAGTTTACAGTCCCACCAACAGTGTAAAAGTGTTCCTATTTCTCCACATTCTCTCCAGCACCTGTTGTTTCCTGACTTTTTAATGATTGCCATTCTAACTGGTGTGAGATGGTATCTCATTGTGGTTTTGATTTGCATTTCTCTGATGGCCAGCTATGATGAGCATTTTTTCATGTGTTTTTTGGCTGCATAATGTCTTCTTTTGAGAAGTGTCTGTTCATGTCCTTCGCCCACTTTTTGATGGGGTTGTTTGTTTTTTTCTTGTAAATTTGTTGGAGTTCATTGTAGATTCTGGATATTAGCCCTTTGTCAGATGAGTAGGTTGCAAAAATTTTCTCCCATTTTGTAGGTTGCCTGTTCACTCTGATGGTAGTTTCTTTTGCTGTGCAGAAGCTCTTTAGTTTAATTAGATCCCATTTGTCAATTTTGGCTTTTGTTGCCATTGCTTTTGGTGTTTTAGACATGAAGTCCTTGCCCATGCCTATGTCCTGAATGGTAATGCCTAGATTTTCTTCTAGGGTTTTTATGGTTTTAGGTCTAATGTTTAAGTCTTTAATCCATCTTGAATTGATTTTTGTATAAGGTGTAAGGAAGGGATCTAGTTTCAGCTTTCTACATATGGCTAGCCAGTTTTCCCAGCACCATTTATTAAATAGGGAATCCTTTCCCCCATTGCTTGTTTTTCTCAGGTTTATCAAAGATCAGTTAGTTGTAGATATGCAGCGTTATTTCTGAGGGCTCTGTTCTGTTCCATTGATCTATATCTCTGTTTCGGTACCAGTACCATGCTGTTTTGGTTACTGTAGCCTTGTAGTATAGTTTGAAGTCAGGTAGTGTGATGCCTCCAGCTTTGTTCTTTTGGCTTAGGATTGACTTGGTGATGCAGGCTCTTTTTTGGTTCCATATGAACTTTAAAGTAGTTTTTTCCAATTCTGTGAAGAAAGTCATTGGTAGCTTGATGGGGATGGCATTGAGACCTCCTTTTTTTTTTCTTAAAAAATAAAAAAAAAAGTACTCATGGGCATAAAGATGGCACCCATAGGCACCAGGAACTACTGGAGAGGTAAGGGAAGGAGGAGGTCAGGGTTGAAAAACTACCTGTTGGGAACTATGCTCAGTAACTGGGTGATGGGATCAATCATACCCCAAACCTCAGCATCATGCAATATAGCCTGTTAACTAACCTGCACATGTACCCTCTGAATCTAAAATAGATGTAGAAATAATATAAAAAATAAAAAAAAACAAGAAAGAGTTTATTTCTGGGATATGGGCCTGGAAAGAGAGGAGGGAACCTCTTATTTTTCTTAGCTCTACTGTAATATTTAATTTTTTACTATATGCATAATTTCCTTATAAAAAATACTAATAAAATGAGAAATTAAGTAAAAAAAGAAAACATAAAATATGTATCCTGGAGAAGGTGAAAATTCATTAAGCCACTCACTTTTTAGACATCCTTTGTAAATCATAAGTCTTCATAGCTAAAGTAAAATCAAAGAGAAATGAAACTATGAGCTACTGAAGCTATGTGTTGCACAAAAAGTTTGGGAAAATAAGAGCGACAGTGCCACTCAACATCTTGATATTCTTTATGGTTGATATGGTTTGGCTGTGTGTCCCCACCCAAATCTCACCTTGAATTGTGATAATCCCTGCATGTCATGGGAGGGATGTGGTGGGAGGTAATTTAATCATGGGGATGGGTTTTTCCCCTGCTGTTCTCATGATAGTGCATAAGTCTCATGAGATTTAATGGTTTTATAAAGGGGAGTTCCCCCACACATGCCCTCTTGCCTACTGCCATGTAAGATATCCCTTTGCTCTTCCTTCATCTTCCACCATGATTGTGAGGCCTCCCGAGCCATGTGGAACTGTGAGTCCATTAAATCTCTTTCCTTTATAAATTACCCAGTCTTGGGTATGTCTTTATTAGCAGCATGAGAACACACCAATACGATGGTGTTCACAGGTCATAAGACTGAAGCTATGCAAGAAGCCCCATGTAAGAATTCCCAGTGCTCTTGCTGACCTTTTTATAATGTGATCTCTTTCTACTTCTAACTTTGTAGTTCTTATTTTACTTCGCATTTCTACACACAGAAATTCAATCTTTGTGAAGACCATGAATTTGTAGGTCAGCTTGCAATCAGCTCAATTTATTTCTAACCTTAAAGTACAAAACATTTCTCTGGAATTTTATTTAAAACGTAATTTTTATACTAGGTCTTATGACGTTCAATTGTCTTATGAACTTTAGAATTGTTGATTATGTTGTTCTACCTCCCTAAACTTTTCTTTCTGGTTTTGCGTTTAAATGGAAAGAACCTACCCTCTGAAACTCGGCGGGGCAGTAAATTTATTGAGTGTTTTGACAGGCATAAGGAATTTATTTAATTACAGTAATTTTATTGAAATTATTAGGAAATGGAAAATGAATAGGAATAGGGAAAATTGGCAAGATTTTATTATTTCTAGTTAGTCAAAAGATATTTTAAATTAAATAAATAACAAAACTGATGCACCCCTAAATGCAATATGGCAACCCGGGTTGGATATTGGCATAGAAAAAAAAGATTAGGATGGGGGAAAAAGTAGATGAAATCCAAATAAGTCAGAATTTTACTTAATAATAATGTGCCAGTGTCAACTTCTTAGTTTTGAAAAATGTACCATATTTATATAAAATATTAACATTAGAGAAACTGGGTGAAAAGTGTTTAGAAACTGCACTATCTTTGCCAATACCTGGAGTCAGGGAAATGGGGGAAGGAACTAAGTATTAGTGTAACTTTGTAAAGAAAATATTTAATACAAGGGCAAAATAATTAGCCTGTCAGATCCAACAGAAGCAAGAAACACAAAGCTTTTCGATTTGGCCCAACATTTACATCTGCCCCACTTAATGTGTACAATAAAAGAAAAACAAAATCACTTATGTAGAAACATTTATTTTCCTATAGACAATAAGTGTCATGAACCTTCCGATCTTGCTGTATCATTGGTATTGCTGCTATATCATTGGTATTGGAAACATAGTAGGCATTCAGTTATTTGATAATAAAAATTAATTTCTCATTGCTATTGTCTTTATGATCATGGTGTATTAAGCTTCTAACATATCCCAATGACTCAGTCAATTGACTAAATGGAATTGGTTCTGATTTGTATGGTCAAACCACAGAGACAGAGTTAGTTATTACGTATTATAATTATTAGTGAATTTCCATCTAGATAGGGTGGTATTATCAGGGTTTTTAATGATAACAAAAAGTCAATCTGCAGGAAAATATCTCTAAAGTTTTTCAGTTGCTACTTTCTCTATGAAAAATCAATAGCAAAAACAGTCTATGTCAGCCGGCGTGGTGGCTTATGCCTGTAATCCCAGCACTTTGGGAGGCCAAGGCAGGCAGAACACGAGGCCAGGAGTTTGAGACCAGCTTGGCCAACATGGCGAAACCCTGTCTCTACTAAAAATACAAATATTAGCTGGGTGTGGTGGTGCACTCCTGTAATCCCAGCCTACTCGGGAAGCAGGAGAGTCGCTTGAACCTAGGAGGCAGAGGCTACAGTGAGCTGGGATCACACCACTGCACTCCAGCCTGGGCTACAGAGCAAAAGCAAGACTCCATTTAAAAAAAAAAAAAAAAAAAAATTTCCTATGGTAATAAAGAAATATTAATAGTTTTTAAATATGAAAAGATTTAGCTTTGTACTATGCTGGTAATTTAGTGCCTTAGACTGAATATTTAACACATCTCTGAAAAGTAACTATACATGTTATTACCAAAAATAATATAACTATGATTTGATTACCTTTGTTAAGAAAGCTGACTTTAGATTCTGGAAAATCATTTCTTCATTAGGGTTAGACATTCATACACTTAAAATGACAACATCTAATTTAATATATCCCTTTGGAAAAATAATGGAAAATATCTGGCTTTGCAACCGTTAAAGCAGTTTAATTATTCAGAAAATTTTTAACAGTACAATATATTTCAATGATATAGAGATTATTAAATGTTTTAATGGAATTCATTTGGAAGAAAGACTTTCATCTTACAATTAATTTTCCAGTTACCAAAATGTTAAATTAATAAAATGTTCAGATCTTTTTCATGTAATTAATTATGTAATTGAAATTCACAAAGCCCAATATCTAGTGCTTTTGTTTTTGTATGGTTTACTTATTGATTGAACCAAGAATATATGGTTATATATGAGAAATTGAAAGGATACACTGTTCAGTGGAGAGTGAGGATATATCTATGGTTCTTCATTTCTGGTATACTATATTTGTGTCCACTCTTTATCTTATTGCTGTCTTTATAAGCGATACTCCAAACTACTTGAAAGAAAGTGTTGCTACTACTAGGTACTTCCAACATTTGGAAAAAAAATAATAATTGGCACATAAAGGTTTTTGAGAAATATTTTATAAATGTCCTTTTTATTTCATTCCTCTAAGTTAGAACAAAATTCTACATCTGGTAAAATGCCTTTAGACAATATTTTCTTGTTTGTTTTTGTTTTTACCAAACAACTAATTTTGATCGTTCAGACCTTTATCCACTAAAAATAGTACTTAAATACAATCACTCCTAGTCTTCCCTAAATATACTAAAACAATAAATCTCTACCCTTAATCATTGGATGGCATAATTATATTTTTATGGTCCAAAAGTTAAAGAACACAGCAGGATACCTTATATTTTTAGAAATCTACAAGCATATAATGTGAGACCTAAAGACATGTACCAATTTCACTGGAGAAAAATAAGTGACTACGGATTGTCTAGGGAGTTTAAATTACTTCAGCATTGATAAAATGCAATAAGAACAATTCAAATGCAGCATTCTTCTTTAATCCTGAAAAGGAAAGCTCTTTCAAATAAGAAGATAAAGGTAAGGTATAAATACTGAATGGCAAACGGCTTCCAAAGCATCTTAAGGAAAAAGTAATGAAGAAAAATTTAGATATAAGAGTCTCGTATTAATTTCCTAAGGTTGCCATAACAAATTAACACAGATTGCATGATTTGAAAAACAGAAATTTATTTTCACAGTTCTAGAAGCTAGAAATCTGAAATCAATAAACATGTCATCAGTTCACACTCCCTCTGAAGACCGTAGGGGAGAATCCTTCTTCTCCTCCTCCTAGTTTCTGGTGGTTGCCATCAATCTGTGGCTACATCCCTCCAGTCCCTGCCTCCATTAATCTCATGGCTTTCTTTCCTATAAGTGTATCTGTCTCTGTTTCTCTGTTTCCATGTCTTTTCTTACAAGGACACCAGTGATTGGATTTAGGGCCCACTCAAATCCAGTATGACTTCATCTTAACTTACATCTTAATTATATCTGCAAAGACCCCATTTCCAAATGAAATCACAGTCACAGTCACAGGGTTAGAATTTGAACACATCTTTTGGGGGAATACAATTCAAACCATTTTAGGCTCTGAAGGAAAGTAACATCTCAAAGCTTTTTCTTAAGAAAGATGTGCCATGCCAAATAGAAATAAACTTAGGTATGAGACCCATTCTGTGAGTATTATTCTTCTTCGGCCATTTAACTCAATGTGATCATCAAGAAAAGAACTGAAAATATTTGTTGGGCCACAGATCTCTCCAGGGAAAAACTGTAAGGCTATGGTAGATATGATGCATCCTGGAGTGGTAGCATTCAAAGTGTGTGCCTCAATTTCAAATCCTTTACAGGAGCTAACAGATAATCTAAAGGAATAAATCAAGTCAATGATAGAGCAATAATGGGAGTGTTGGAGACTGGATAAAATTGGAATGTCCTGTCTAAAGGGACAGTGTTACTCAACTCCTTCCTACTACTTCCTACTGTTGTCATGCAGAAATATGGTTCAGTGCTACCAGGCAACCCATTTTCGAAAAAGAGAAGTATAGGGCTAGGTGTGGTGGCTCCTGCCTATAACCCCAGCACTTTGGGAGACAGAGGCAGGAGGATTTCTTGAGGTCAAGAATTTGAGTCCAGCCTGGGCAATGTAGTGAGACTCCATCTCTACAAAATTAAAAAAAAAAAATTGTAGGATGTGGTGATTTGTGCTTGTAGTCCAGCTACTTAGAAGCCTGATTCAAGGCTGCAGTGAGCTGTTATCGAGCCACTGACTCCAACCTGGGTGACTCTAAAGAGACCCTGTCTCAAAAAAAACCTTAAAATTAAAAAGTTTCAAGAGAAGTGTGAAATTTTATTTTAACATAAAATTCTCTGATATTTAAATAATAAAAATAAATTGTATAATGCTTAAACTACAGGATGACTTCAGATGCTGAGTCTCTAATTTGCAATCTCTGATCCAAGTATATCTTCCTCACATTATGAGAAATAGTTTCTCATACTAACAATTCTGATCTTAAATGGGAAAAATTAAGAAGACTTTAACCCAAATGATGGCATAAGCTATATACTTTCCACATAGGCATAAGTGTGCACTAATGACTTGCTTTTAATTTCACTGTGAAATGGAAGTAATCAGAAGAGAATTCCTCTAGTGCTTACCACAAAACTGCCATCTGTCCCTGTTTTCCTATTTCTTCTGCCTTCCCTCCTGTTACAATGGATGAATGATTTATGCTGCTCTCTAAGGCCATCCCCTCCACCTGTGTCATGTATCATATCCCCTTTTTACCACTCAAAGCCATTGCCCTTTGCAATGCAATGATACTTTTCTCTCTCTCTCCCTCTCTCTCTCTCTCTCTCAGCCAAATTCCTTAGAAGAGCTGTTCTTCCCTCTGTAAAGATTTTATTCCCAAAATTTACTGAAAATGCTAATATGCAAGGTCAACAATGACTTCTACTTTTCCAAGTTTTATCAATTCTATGGCTTCATTTTATTCAATCTATCAATACTTATCATCCCTTTTTAAACTCATTTTAACTCGACTTCGATATCACCTTGGTTATCCTCCCATTTCTTAATCTATTTTGACAGTTTCTCCATTTCATGTCACAGAATGTTCAGGGACATGAAAATAAATGTTCAGTCACATCTTTGACTTGCCTGGGGCCCAGGAGTCCTGTGGGTAAGAAACTTGAACACAGCTCATAAATAAAATGTAGGTACATAGAGACCTATTTAATGAACCAGAAACCCTAACGGAAGCTGATTTAGATAAAGAGGGGAAAAGAGAACTCAGAAAATTACATATATAATTTAATTTCCCCTCTTACCCTGCATCTGAGCAAGACAATAAGAAGGCCCAGGAACTCTGTCTCCTGGTGCCAGTGGGGAAGTTCAAAACATATTGGGCTGGGCCTTGTGCAGAAATGCTCACAGCAGCCCCACTCTCTAACCACAATAAAAAACAAAGCCATTAACTATCCCTTTGCTCGAGCCATTCCAAACTGGTTTGAGTGTCCACCCTGCTCTCCCCAGAAAGTCTCATTATGTGAGAAATAAACCTTTTCATACTGTCTTGGTACATGTGTGGCATCCTCAGTCTCTAGTTCAAAAGAAATTGTGAATGGGAAAGATTGACCCCCGCCCTCCACAGGTAACCACAAAACAGCAGTGATTTTGATAGAGCTACCAAAAAGTCCCATAAAATATAATATCTAAAAATAACAGGTAAAAGACAGAAACTGAGAGAAAATAAAACAATATTTGGCAGAAAGTGAAATATAACGGTCAGTTCCTAAATTCCCCATCTCTTTCCATTTCTGAAGGATATCTTCTGAAGTTATACCTCCCTTATTAGTGTTAAGTTATAAATAAATAAACTCTTGGGAAGTTTGTCAATGAGCCCTTATAAAGCCGAAAGCATCTTTAGGAATTCACAGGATATTTTCACTCAAATGCCGTCGGTGTTCCTAATACACTTAGAAAGAAACAGTATGTAATGAAATAAACACTTTGAAATGACATTTTATTACCTCAAGAAGCATCTCCCTTTAATCTCTAGCACGTAATCATTCATCAGGTGCTATTCAACATGAAGCACTCTGATTTCTGAGAGTGTTCACGACTCTTTGCATATGAGCACAGTCTATACTTCCCAGTTGACAATTGTTGCAGAAATCTTGCTGTCTCTAGGGCAGATAGAGTGAGCATGGCAAAACGATTAAGGGCTCCTTGCCTAAGGGAAGAGAGAATTCCATTGACAAATCCTTAGAGATCATTGATTTTAAGTGAAAAACCAAAAAGAAAAAGAAAAAAAAAAAAAAAGAACGGGACAGAAAATTAAAGCCTGAAAACAGATGTGGAACATTGTTTGCATGTAAAAAAATACATGTTTTCACTCAGAGGATCAACCTCTCAAGGCTAAAATGTTACCGGCTTTTGGTAGATTCTTAGTTTCTTACAGAATGAAACCCAGCATTCTGCTTGCCGTGAGCTACATTCTGAATTTTATTGACTATTTTAAAGTTCTAACATGATTTTGATCTTTACTTAGATGTTTAAAAAGATGTCTGAGCAAATAGCAGGGTAAAATTCACTCTTTAACCTCTGAACTGAATTCAGATTTGGTAAGACATCAATTCAAGGGTAAAACAACTTTAAAAGTCCATTAACAATGGTTGCTAGTTAAAAGCATCTTTAGGGCTATGACAGGATGTATACTGTGTCTGGCAGAGAGAAAGGAAGTAAAATAAATAATTTATCTTCCCCAAAATTTTCATTCTGTATCACTGAGGAATTTTAAGAACTAGAAGACTTTTTGGAGATGGTATTTCACTCATACTTAAGCACTACAGTATTTACAACCCCTTACTTTTAGCCACGATGTGAGCTCCCAAGTACATTATATTTAATTAGAGTAATTTATACTATTATCAAAAGTCTTTCACACACGGTGCCCTTATTGGATACCAAATTACTCTACATACTTGATACTCTCCTAGAACAGCAATGTGGGAAAGTACTTCGCTTAGTGTTTTGAAAATACACAGATTGTTAATAATAATAGATAATAGACAGATCCTAGCAAGTGAAGAGTAAGATGGTGAACTGGTTAAGCTGCACTCCATTAACAACCCTTGAAAGACCGATACATTTTATGGTATTTTAATAAATGTGGCTATTGGAACAGCCTCTAGAAAGCTTCCCTTGGATTTTTTTTTCTTAGTTGAAGAGGAATGTATAAAAGCTTCTGAGGATTCAGCAAAAAGCTATTTCAGCTGTCTCTTTTCCTGGCTCAGTACATCACTCCCCATAATTGTGTCAGCAAAACCAAATTGTAGTTGTGGGAATTAAGGAAGAGGAGTATAGGTTTTCACAAAAGACTAAGAGACTAAGACTGAGACTTTTCTGTTTCTGGACAACGTTTGATGGGAGCAGAGGTTTGCCTGCCATCTCCATCAACTAGGCATGGCAAAGAAGAAAAGAGGGAAACAGGAAACTATTATAGAAAAGATCTATTGTTCCAGGGTAAAAGTCTTCTCAATTATACAGAAGTATTTCTGGTTTTGTTTCATTTTTCCCACTTCAGCTACAGAGAAAAAATTAAAAAGCTTTTCTAGGATTCCAAGAAGGAAGAATAGCAAACTAAATAGAACAAGAGAAAACACAGGCTGTGGTACTGGGTCCTACAAAAAAAAAAAAAAAAAAAAAGTCAGTATAAGGCTATTACTGGCCATAAAGCTTTAACTGATGATTTAGACGTCTGTTGGTGGCCTCTCCAGAAATCTTCCTACTCTACCATTTCCCGAATTATTCTAGGAAGTGAAGTAGAAGCAGGAAAATGGACTTCAATCCTCACATAAGCTCATTGCCTCCTGCTGAGCTAGGATTTAGTTCACCATCAGGCATGTGACCAAACCCAGTGCCTAAACTATGATTCTCCTTGGCCTTGTTTCAAGAATTCTAGACCCAAACTTGCCCCTTTGTCCACTGGACATAAAAGAAGGATGTCCATAGTTCTGGTAGCTATTCAAAATCATTTCAAGACTGTGGGAGAACCATTACTGGGGATATGTTGACCGTGCAGAGGGCTGGACAGAGAGACAGGGAGAGAAACTGATCCTTGGTAACACCTAAAACCTGCTCTACTTTTCAGTTGGACTTTTCAGTTATATGAATCAACAAATTTCCTCTTTTAAGTGTGTTTCAGGTAGGTTTTCTGCTATGGGCACAGAAATATAGTAAGAAACTGGCAACACAATAACTCCATTAAATTTTTCAAAAAATATCTCTTTACACAGCATTTACTTATTACATGTGCTAAAAATCTGTGCTAAGTCCAGAGGATGCCCGACATGATAAACAAGACAAACGTGGTCTTTGCCCTTCCAGAATTCAGAGCCCAGTGAAGTATCTACAGATATAGCAAGGTAAAATGTTAAGTGCCAAGATGTGGAAAGCTTAGAGTACCATGGAACAATGAGAAGGTACAGCAATGTGGACATTTATAATTATAAAGGCTCTTACTTTATTTCCCCTTCCTAAAGCTTCTGGATTTTTTTAGAGAATTATTTTTCCACTGAGTATTGGTAGAATTGTAAATTCAGATGCCTGACTCATACTACATAAATGGAAAAGTTCAAGTTCTTTTTTTCCACAGCCCAATTAATTCATGGCATGGGTGTATTAGCTTAGCTCAGCTCATCAGCTGCTTTCTCCCAGAGCATACATCTTGAGTGAGTATCACAAATATAGAAGAAGCAGTTGGAATTCATTATTCATCCCCATGAAGCAGCCAAAACAAATGGTTCCTGCTACAAGATAGTTGCTGAGCTTCCTGCTTTCTTAGCCTCCAACACTTCTTTCCTATTGGTAAATTCTGAGAACCTTAATAGTCATCCCATAAACTCTGTAGTGCTTAAATTACTTAAATGTAGGTGTTCTTGTTTGTGACCAAGGAATGCTAACTGGTACTTTGGATGTTAAGGAAGGCTCTCTGATGAAAGTGACAACTTGGTTGATACCTTTTTGTTGAATATTAGATATTTATCAAATATTTATCTGTCTTTGAGGATGTGGCTGATTAAAGGGCAGATATGCCTAAGATTGGTTTGAAGTGATCCAGGTAGAAGAGTGTGTGCTTGTAACTTTGTGAATTTAAGCAAACAGAAAGGGGCAAAGGGAAATAAGACCCTATACAGCGTAAAGAAATGCAATATATACAGAGTTCAAGAAAAGGAAAGGCATCAGGAATAGTGAAGTTGTTATGGAATAATTTGGAACTATGAGAAACTGTGAGAAAATGCAAAAAGAATTCAGAGATCTGTGGGACTCAGTTAAAGAGTAACAGAATATTCCACAAGTAACAGACAAAAATAAATGGTGTAGAATAAAAAGGGAAAGGTGAAACTAAGTCACTGGCTCTAGCCATCAATAATCAGAAGAGTTTTTTAATCCCTTTGTGAAGGAGGACTCATGATGAATCAAGAGCATTTTTATTATTCAAATGGCAGAAAGAGTATGTGTACAAGGACATATTTAGCTACAATGTGTAACATATGGACATAGATTGGTTTTTAAATAAATATGCACATAGCCCATAGTTTGTTTGGGACTCTTCTCAACAAATGTATTCCTTATGTTCCAGAGCTCCAAGTTTAAAAACCACAGTGTATCAGGATTGCATATACCTAAGATTTGGATCCAAAAGGCCAGCTAGTCGCGGTTTGGTGCCAAGATTAGGATAATTATGTTTGATTGACTCTACCAGGTCTCCTGTTATGGTGACATTTGTAATGAACCTGGCAGATGTTACTATATAGTAGCACCATCCCTTGTCTCTCACTACTTCCAGTGAATTCTCTTCAATCAGGTCAAAGCTGCCTGACTTTTAAATAATAATAAAAACAATCACAATTGTTCATCCGAGCAGTTAAAATTTCTCTGGCACTGAATTCTAGGAACAATTTGTGTCAAGAATTCTTAACATAAGAGCCACAGAATGTGTCCCCAACAATAATTTTGTGATTAAGGATTAATACTAGAGGGAATGAAACGTTTTACCTACAGACATTTTTATGTCATATATGACTAAGATGTTTTTGTTGGTATTTCTAAATGTAAACTTCTTTTATATGTCCTAGTTTCTCTCATTTAAATCTTTAACCACTTACTAAGGATGTAATTTGTGCAAGGCATTATGCCAGGTGCTAAATGAGAGTAGCATCCCACTGTGGATCATCAACTTGGTGAAAGTTAACTGTATCTAAATAATTTTGGAAGGCTTTGGAAATACAGATTCCCAGGTCTTCATGAAGGCATTCTGATTCAGAAGTTCTAGTGTAAATAGGGAGCATCGGCATTTTTAAAAATTTCCCAAAGCGATTTTCATGCAGAGGTAGGTTTTTTTTTTCCTTTTTTTTTTTTTTCTGAGAGTGAGTTTTAAGAATAGTGCTGTAAGCCAGAGATATAGATGGCATTGTTCTCTCCTTTAAGAAGCTTACAATCTATTTATCAAAGTGTACTACATAGTTTCATATTCAGGTTATGGAAATACTTTAGTAAGTGCTTTAAGAAAATTACAACTGAATCTCTGAGCTTGTAATCCTTCATGTCATAGGTTTTTGTTGATTTCCTAAGACAGTCCCCTATGACAGTGATTTTTAATCTGGAGTCCAGAGAATCCCAAGATGCCTGTGGATAGAAATCAGTAGATTCATGGACTAAGATAGAGAAAATAATTACATCCTTATTTTTATTAATTTCTAACTGATATTTGTAATTTTTTGAAATTATTAATGGAGGCAAAAATCCACAGTATCGTTAGCAATGTCTGAAATAGAGATCTCAAACTATTGTTTACTCTTATCACTACTTCAAAGTTAAGAGTATTTATTTTTATATAACGTGTCACTAAAAACCACAAAGTTACTATACATAATATTTTGGTGTTTCAGTAACTACATGCTGAGAAGGCATTTTTACTTTGTAATTATTTGAGTTGTCCATAGGCTTTACCAGACTTCCAGAGAGTTGCTGAAAATGGTTGATAATCTCTGCTCTCTGAAAGAAAACCACAGAGTATAAGGGCTAGAAAAAAAAATCAATTGTTTAATCCATCCTCATTTTATAATTGAGAAATAAATTATGTGGTGAATACTGATATTAGGTGATGTCCTAATATCCTCTCCCTTATGAGAAATAGCAGTGTAGTTTTTGTAATTGACCTCACATGAAAAGTAGAATCTGATTTCTTAAGAGAAAATCACTCCTCCTATCAGAGATTCTTCTGGAGTCTGCTAGTGGGCATTTCAGAAAAGAGGAATGTTAGCGTTTTCTGGAAAAAAATCTATATTATTTCTGAAATAAAAGAGAGGGAATACCATGCTCCCTCTTCTTCTTAAATGAGTGTGGGAAAATGTTCTTTTGCTTTTGTTGGTAGTTAGTTTTCAATTATGATGGGAGTCATCCTAAAGACAAATCTACATACAAAACAAAACAGTAATACCAAGAGAGAAGAGAGAAAAGGAACTAGAACCCTGAACAAACTGAATGGTGCTGACTCAAGTCCACTTTCAAATTCCCAGATACAAGTTAATGAACTCTATTTTGTTTTTTAAGCCACTGTGAGCTGATTTAAAATTGCCAACACAATTGGTGTAGCATCATTTTACTTGCATTTTTAATTCAATATTAACTGAGCTCTTACTGTGCACTAGATACTGTCTGTATTAGTCTGTTTTCATGCTGCTGATAAAGGCATACCTGAGACAGGGTAATTTATAAGGAAAAGAGGTTTAATGCATTCACAGTTCCATGTGGCTGGGGAGGCCTCATAATCATGGCAGAAGTTGAAAGACACATCTCACATGGCAGCAGACAAGAAAAGAGAACTTGTGCAGGGAAACTGCTCTTTATAAAACCATCAGATCTCGTGAGACTTATTCACTATCACAAGAACAGCATGGGAAAGACATGCCCCCATGATTCAATTATCTTCCACCGGGTCTCTCTCATGACGAATTGTGGAAGCTACAATTCAAGATGCGATTTGGGAGGGGACACAGCCGAATCACATCACTGTTCCAAATAATTTTTTTGTCGAATCTTATTTTTTTCCCACAAAAAAACTATTATTATACCCATTGTTTACAGACAAGGAAATCAAGATGTTGAACAGTTAAGTCACTGCTGAGGTGGCCAGTTAGGAAGGGATAGAATTGGGATCTGAAATTCCCTGAAGACGTCGGATCTATATTGGTTATGGAGCTTCCTGCTGTCCACCCAACATGACACTATACCGAGAATAAAATAGTATCATAATATGAAGAAAATGACAGTAATTATATTAATATAAACTTTCTGTCTCTCAAGGAACTTATTGTGATGTTATGTAGAACCATGGGGAAATATTCAGTTATTTTACTTATGCATTTAAATTCCCTGAGAGGAGACTATAATTGAAAGTGAGAAAAATCTTGCATTTACTTAAAATGCAATAGATGCTTTTATATAGTGCCAGCATCTATGCTCCCACACGAATTGCTGTTTTGTGACTCAGGAACAGCTGGACATGAAGTAAATTAAAAAGCTGCATTCTGCATTCTGCATTCTGCATTCTGCATTCTGGGAAGTGAGGGGCTTCATTGAGTTGAGGTTTAATTTTGGAGTATTAGTAACAAGGGGGAAAAACAAATCAACACCAAGCAGGGTCAGCTTCAAAATGGTGATGTGGTGAGTCCAAGAAGGAGTCACCATGTGAACACATGAAAGAGTTCTGGAAACTGGGTTGTGAGAAAACAGAAAACAGAAAACAGACTGCTCAGCCATAAATAAGGCATCAGAGCTAGTTCTGGGCAATTCTAGCAACAGGGTCATTAATGTAGTTTGATTTAATTGGTTTTACAGGCAGACTAAAGCCAGGAGGTAGGATTCACATGTGCCAAAGTCAATCCTATGTAATCATTTTAAGCTACTGTTTCCAGACTTATTGAATCAAGAAACTCGCAAGAAGTATTGGTTAAAATAAAAGTTTCCTAGGTCTTCCTCTGTAGAGCGTCACACAGTGAGTATCAGATAGGTAGAAATATTTGAATTTTAAACAAAAATCCATAATAATGAATTTTGAAGACTGGCAATTTAGGAAACACTGATTTTAGACAAATCGAATCACAGAAAAATCATGGTCATAACTATAAAATGGAGGATAGAACTTCAATCAGTTCAATGGAGATTTGTGTATTACTCCTTTTAGTTTGGAAACATACAACTTCCATTCATGAGATATTTATTGACTACTAACTACATGATAGCCATTGTACTATGTGTGGAAATTTAATAATGGAGAAATTGTGGCTGCTCTCCCCAGAAGTGTTTAGTCTATAGAAGAAATAAACAAGTCAATAGTCAATTACAATACTCTTTGACGAATACAATGTTAATTAAACAGTATCACAGTAGCAAATAGAACAAGCTTGTAACCTAAATTTAGGAAGCCATGCCTAAATTGAGAATTGAAAGGCAACTGGGAATAAATGGAGCATTGCACAAAAACTGAAGAAGTCGTACCATGGGGTAAAGCATCATTTGAGGTGGGGGCAAAGTCGTGAGCAGTAGGCAGGAGAGGTACATAGGAAAAAGTTGGTAAAGGCTCTGCACAAGGAGTATGCAGAGTCACTAAAGAAATTTAAGTAAGGCAGTGACATAATGAGATTTTTGTTCTAGAAGGAATAGTGACTACAAAGGGGAGGGTGAGAGTAGCCAAAGAGGTCATTTAGGGAGCTAGAGCAGTAATTTAGCCTTTGATGATAGACACCTGTTGCATTAGCTTTCTTTTGCTATCTAATATTGCCACAAATGTAGTGGCTTTAAATAACACATAACTATTTCTGTGGTTTAGGAGTCTGAACATGGCTTAGCTGGCTTAGAGTCTTACATGGTTGCAATCAATGTGTCAACTAGGACTGTGTTGTCATTTGGAGGCTACGAAGGGAAGGATTTGCTTCCCCACTTTCATAGTTGTTGGCCACCCTTAGTTCCTTGTGGTTGTAGAGCCAAGAACTTCAGTTTTTGCTGACTTTTGGCCGGAGGCCACCCTCAGCTCCCAGAAGCTACCAGCATGTCCTTGCTATGTGGAGATCCCCAATGTAACTGGGGTGGTAGGAGCATCTTCAGATGTGTCCCCCACACCTGAGTTAAGAAAAGGCTAGTAGGGATGAAGAAGTAGATGAGTTTTAGCTATATTAGACGGTGTTGGACAAGATTACATTGTTTGCATCAATTACCAGTACAATTGGGTCACTTAAGAACCTGCATCATATTTACTAAACTGAAAAACAAAAACATCAAGACCTTGCCTTTGGGGAAAAAATTGGCTCTGCAAATTCTGGTATTATATAGAATAATTGTCTTCGCTACCATGCAATGATTATAAATTAGGTGTTTGTTCTAAGTAGAGAAATAGTCTTGGGAGGAAAATTCCACCCTATGGACAGTGAGTTTGAAGATATTATTTAATTACCAAGAAAAAATACTCAAAGAATGACATCCTTTACCAGCAGCAGTAACAGCAGGCATGAGTCAGAGTCTTGGCACATGAGCAGATGCTCAAGCCCTGAAACTTCACTTGTAAGCAGTTGAAACCAAGCACATCATTTCAACATGTCACAGTTATTTGACATTTCAGGAGAAAGATTACCAATTAGTTTAAGTAATTTAGCCAAAACCTTAGGAAATTTTTTCACATTATTTCCACCTTGTAGCATTATCGTGTGTCTCCAATTTCTACTTTTCCTATATACTTCCCAAGTGTGTTATTCAGAGAGATCCAAAGCCTGTTCAAATAGTTCACGGAAATCCCATAAGCTCCAGCAGTATCCTGGGTAGGTAATAGGACTAAATTAGGAATCTTTCATTTATCTTCAGTGCTGAAAGTTCAGATTCTCAAGTGTTGATCTGATTGCAAAATATTCCCTGCAAAATGTTCCTTGACAGTCACACAGGTCAAGTATTATTTTAAACTACAATCCCACATTATTGTTACTATACAAGAATACAAATGGTCATTTCTGGATATTGGCATTGCTGGATGATGTAAATTTGAACTTTAAATGTATTCTTGGTCACAATGTGTTCCATCAGACATGTAAATTGAATTGGCCCACATGAGCACCACCCCAGCAGGTGAGTTTAAACTGAAGACAGAATGCTGCCCACTGGCATGTTGGCACTATACAGAGCAGCTGCCAAATAGCTTTGTGCTTGCTTCTCTTGTTAGAGTTTTATTTTCTCCAGCTTGTTGTTCCCTCAGGCAAGACACATGGGCAAGGAAAGCAAGAGATGCTTTTAGTCTCCAAGAGTAAATTAGACTATAAAGTAATAATCGATACAACTAATCAAATAATTATAAGAATGTAATTAATTATAATACTAAATACTAATAATGATCAATATAATAATTATAATTGTTATAATAATATAGTTAACAATAATAATAGCTAATGTTTTGATAGTATATATGGACAAGTCAGGATGTTGAGGTAGTTAGCCACTCTAAACTTTTTCTTATCCACATTTTAGAAAAGAAACTGAAGCTTGGACCTATTCAAATATTTTATCCAAAGGATCTCACTCCTGTCAGAGGCAGAATGCACATTCAATTGTATCTTCTTTGAAGTTCCTTGAAGTTTTTAAATATACATATATGCCCAATTTTATTCTAAAGGTGTGGGAAAAAATAAAACCATAACAATCTGAATATACTGCTGGTTAAAATAAAAGAGAATAATTTTGAAGAAAAAATATATTTAAGATTCAGTTCTTATTGTTCATAATTTTATGCTATCGCTAAAATATGGCATTGATGTAATAGAAATCACAATTAAAACAAGAGTGCTATCTCCCATTCTGTAACATGGACAAATGGATCTGGTGTCCTGTAACTAGTTTAGTTATTCATTCTTTTTATTTTTCTATGGTGTATTATTTCCTTTAAAGGTCTAAGATGATATATTTCCCAGGGTTTAAAAATAAGTTTCATCTATTGGGTTGATTTCACCTTGCCCTTCTTTGTTTTCACCCCTAGTACACAGCGCACAATGGTCTCTTTATTCATATCTGTGGAAAAGAACACTTACTGGTAGAACTGATACCTCCTAATCTCAATGAAGTCTAAGCCAGCAGCACTCCAGCGATGATTTTCTTTTTCCTTTTTTTCTTTGCTTGAATTCTGGACACATAATCATGCCATTATAAATACTGCCTATGGGATATGAGAAAGCAAAGTCATTTGTGTGCTACACCAACTGACATACCAGATGACATCCAACTGCGTAACATTCAGGCTGGTAAAACAAACAGAAACTATGATGAAGCTTCCATGCATGCAGGAGAATTGCAAGCATATGCTTGCCATGCCTTTCTTAATCAAACATGCTCAGATTATTCTAAGTATTTTATGTATTATGTTCCACTCAGAACACTACAGTGAGTGTGAGGCATAGGGTAAATACACAGAAAGTGTATGATGTTGGGGAAGTGAGGACAACTTGCTCTGTGAAATGATCGCCTATCTTTCTTCTCTCTTTTTATCATTTTTTTCTCATTCCCTACATACTGAGAACTTGGCTAACTAATCTGCAATATTATCTCAAGTTGAAAGTGAAATCAATGCTTACCACATATCTACATATCCCTCCAAAGACCTCTCCTCTTCTTTTCCTTTTCTCTTCTTCACTCTTGGATAATCTAATGGTCCACAGTACAGTGGGGAAATATTGTACCCATTATCATTTCAATACAGTTAATGAAAGAAGGACAGAGCTCTGCAGAGAAAATGATGATGCCACTTATTAAGTTATTGTCTCTCACCTCCAAACCCACGTCTCCAGCTTTGCTTTGTGATGGGACTCTGCAAACAATTTTCTTATACACAATCTACTGCCATGCTTAGTTTGACAATGTGGAGTGCTAAAAAGGAAACTGCTGTGTGGAGGAGGAGAAAAAGATTTTCTCTTTCTTGGTTCTCTGTTGGCTCCTGATGGGCTTACTGAGTACTATGGTTCCTGGCAGAGGAAAATGGTTCCTGACTTCTTCACCCTGACAGAGGCAAATCCTTCTCATTGAAGGATAGAAGACTGAGAAGCTAGAGATAGAAAAGGAAACACGCTCCTTCCATGGGTCCCCTTTGTGCTTCTTGTGGGATTCCTGTCTGCTTTGGTGTTGGGGGAGCATCAATTCAGCAACACATCTCAACCCCGGCAGAGGCAGTTCCTTCCCATAACAGCAACTGAATCCAGTTTTCAGCTTTCCCAGCACAGAATCAGCTTCATTGATACCAACACCATCTGACTGGCACCCCCTCCCCAAAAGTCTGGGTTGCAGCCCCATGGGACCCTCTTCTCAGCTCAGAGATGGCAGCACCAGCTGAATAGCACCCTTTCTTCAGAGAGGTGTGGCATGTCAGATCCTATCTTGCCAAGGGCCATGAGAAATATGACTGAATGACAAGTTAACAGACTCTCTCCAAAAGCTCTAAGGAACTTCAAGCTTTTGTGGAGTGTTCTAATAGAGCAGATGGGAGATGTGGGTCATAGCTTTAAAACTGGATAATTAGTTTTTCAGATGCCCTTAGTTGAGCGTTTTTGGACTCTATTTTTAGAGCCTGTTTTATTGCTGCCTTCACTAATTTTAACTGCTTTTTTTCTAAGAGCTTATATATCTTCGAAGGTCAATATAGTAAGCTTGTAGAGGGTAGGGTACTTCTATTTTGTATGCTCAGTACATTGACAGTACTTAATATGTCTGAAATGAAGACAACAAAGGGATAGCTTGGCTTCTGATGTATTCCTGATTTGTGTGTCGTGAACAGCAGGTTGCCAGAAAGGTTCTACGTACAGTGTATAGAGAGATAGGATTGTCCCAAAGGAATAGAATGGTAACTTAATAACAACCTTAATTTACAGTGTCAGCAGGGGAGAAAATGTAAGTAGCAGCAAGAAATGGCAAATTGCAGCTCTATAGGGCAAAGGGAAAAAAGAACCAAACAAAATTTTAAAAAACCAAGAAACTCAGGAGAGTTCTACTAAGATTGCTATAGTACAGCCTTCTTAAAACAGCACTCTCTAGGGCCTGCCTATTGGCATCATTAATATCATAAGCTTGGAATAGATGCTGTGAAACCCTATGAAGCTACCAAAGAATGAGGAAAACTGAAGGGATGAATAATACAATGAAAACACAGAAGTCCTAAGCTTATGAGGCTATTTATTCCGCAGCAATTTCATCACAGAGCGAGCAGATCACTTTTCCAGTGCCTTAAATCAAACAGCAGGTATCTACAGCCTCAAAGTAAAAAGTATTAAGTATTAACCAACTTTCAGATTTGAGACATTGCAGAGGCAGAGATGGAAGATTTCTCAGGATGGTTTCTCTCCCACTTTTTTTTTTTTTTTTTGCTTTCTTTACCTTCATATCTTCAAACTTGATAGTAATAAAATTTGGTACCATATCTTTCCTATGTGGATGTCATTGTTATCTTTCCTGTGAAGAACAGAACAGTTCTCATATGAGTCATGGCCTAAGTTTTAGTCCAAACCAATGTAAGTATTTTGGAAATGTTTACATTGAAGACACTTCTGTTGCTTTTTTTTTTATTAATAGAAGTATAAAATAGAGACTCAAAATCAAGACAAAGGAGGCTAAGGTATTTTTAATTTCTCCTTATAAATCAAAATCTTAAGGAAGTATTAGCATTAGTTCTGGAGAAGTCTCCAGAGGAAAGTATCCTGGACCTCAGATTCATAAGATCATAAAATCTCAGTATTGGAAGAGAACCAAAAGGTCATCTATACAAGAAAACAGCAAGCTTTTTCTATAAAGAGCCAGTTAATATTTTAGGCTTTGGGTGTCACAGTATCTGCCATAATATTCAACCCTACCATTGTAGCTTGAAAGCAGTGTATACAATATATGGAGCATGGTGAGGTTCCAATAAAATTTGATTTACAAATATAGGCAGAGAGATAGATTTGGCCAATGGGTTTTGGTTTTGCCACCGATGATCTAGACTATCCAGCTATGAGAAGGAAAAAAAAAAAAAAAAAAAAAAAAACGAAGGAAAACTTCTTTAAGATGAAACTCAAAATATGTCTGCCAGTATTGAAAACAGCATGGAGGAACTTCAAAAAATTAAAAACAGAACTAAAATATGATCCAGCAATCCCACTACTGAGTATATGTCCAGAGGAAATGAAATCAGTATGTTCAGTATGTTAAAGAGATATCTGCACTCCCACGTTCACTGCAGAAGTATTCACAGTAGCTAAGATAAAGAATCAACCTTAGTGTCTGTCAATGGATAAATGAGTAAAACAAATACTATATATATATACACACACACATAAGCACATATGTATGTATATACACATACACACAACAAAATACTATTCAGCATTAAAAGAAAAAATCCTGTCATTTGTGACAACATGGATGAACCTATAAACATTACATTAAGTGAAATAAGCCAGACACAGAAAGACCAATAGCACATGATCTCACTTAAATGTGAAATCCAAAAAAGGGGAACTCATTGAAATAGAGAGTAGAATGGTATCTACTCTCTACTGGGGCTGGGTTAGGAAGTAGTGGGTTGCAAAGATGTTGGTCAAAATATATAAAATTTCAGTTATGCTAGATGAACAAGTTCAAGAGGTTGATTATGCAACATGGTGACCATAGTTAATAACAATGCATTTTGAAAACCACTTAGAGAATAGACTTTAAGGGTTCTCACTACAAAAAAATGTGTCCCCACCCAAATCTCACCTTGAATTGTAAACCCCATAATCATCATGGATCATGAGAGGTATGTGGTGGGAGGTAATTGAATCATGATGGTGGTTTCTGCCATGCCATTCTTGTGATAGCAAGTGAGTCTCATGAGATCTGATGATTTTATAAAGGTCTATCATTTTCCTTACTGACATTCTCTGTCCTGCTGCCCTTTGAAGAGGTAAGTTCTGCCATGATTGTAAGTTTCCTGAGGCCTTCCCAGCTGTGCAGAACTGCTAGTTAATTAAATCTCTTTTCTTTATACATTACCCAGTCTCAGGTATTTCTTCATAGCAGCATGAGAACAGACTAATATAGTAAATGGGTGTATTAGTCTTTTTTCACACTGCTAATAAAGACATACCTGAGACTGGGTAATTTATAAAGAAAAAGAGGTTTAATTGACTCACAGTTCACATGGCCGAGGAGGCCTCACAATCATGGCATAAGGCAAAGAAGGAGCAAAGTCATGTCTTACATGGTGACAGGCAAGAGAGAGCATGTGCAGGGGAACTCACTTTTATAAAACCATCAGATCTCATGAGACTTACTCACTATCACAAGAACAGCACAGGAAAGACCCACCCCATCATGATTCAGTTACCTCCTATCAGGTCCCTCCTATGACGTACGGGAATTATGGGAGCAACAATTCAGGATGAGATTTGGGTGGGGACACAACAAAACCACATCAATTGGTGCTGAGGTAGTGGGGTGCTGCTGTAAAGATACCCGAAAATATGGAAGTGACTTTGGAACTGGGTAATAGGCAGAGTTTGGAAGAGTGTGGAGGGCTCAGAACAAGACAGAAAGGTGAGGGAATGTTTGGAATTTCCTAGAGACTTGATGAATGGTTTTGACCAAAATGCTGATAGTGATATGGAAAATGAAGTTCAGGCTGAAGTAATCTCAGATGGAGATGAGGAACTCTTGGAAACTAGAGCAAATGTGACACACACTATGCTTTAGTAAAGAGATTGGTGACATTCTGTCCCTTCCCCAGAGATCTGTGGAACTTTGAACTTGAGAGAGATGATTTAGGGTATCTGGTGGAAGAAATTTTTAAGCAGCAGGCATTCAAGAGGTGACAGAGGGCTGTGTGTGGTGGCTCACACCTGTAATCTCAGCACTCTGGGAGGCTGATGAGGCCAGATCACTTGAGGTCAGGAGTTTACTCAAGACCAGCTTGGCCAACATAGTGAAACCCCATCTCTACTAAAAATATAAAAATTTGCTGGGCATGGTGGCACACACCTGTAATCCCAGCTACTCAGGAGGCTGAGGCACAAGAATCGCTTGAACCCGGGAGACAAAGGTTGCAGTGAGCCAAGATCATACCACTGCACTCCAGCTTGGGTGACAGAGTGAGACTCTGTCTCAAAAAAAAAAGGGGGTGGGGGTGACAGAGCATAAAAGTTTAGAAAATGTACAGTAGAAAAGAAAAGCAGTAGAAAAGAAAAACCCATTTTCTAGGGAGAAATTCAAGCCTGCTGCAGAAATTTGCATAAGTAACTATGAGCCAAATGCTATTCACCAGGACAATGGGGAAAATATTTCCAGGGCATGTCAGAGACCTTCAAGGCAACCCCTCCCATCACAGACCTGGAGGCCTAGGAGGGAAAAATGATTTCCTAGGCGGGCCCTGGGCCTTCCTGCTTTGCGCAGCCTCAGGACTTTGTGCCTTGCATCCTAGCCATTCCAGCTGTGGCTAAAAGGGGCCAAGATACACCTCAGGCCATTGCTTTAGAGGGTGCAAGCCCCAAGCCTTGGCAGCTTCCATGTGGTGTTGGCCCTGTGGGTGCACAGAAGATAAGAATTGAGGTTTGGAAACCTCTGTCTAAATTCCAGAGGATGTATGGAGATGCCTGGATGTCCAGGCAGAAGTTTGCTGCAGGGGCAGAGCCTTCATGGAGAACCTCTGCTAGGGCAGTGTGGAAGGGAAATGTGGAGCTGGAGCCCCCACAAAGAGTCCCCACTGGGGCACTGCCTAGTGGAGCTGTGAGAAGAGGGCCACCATTCTCCAGACCTCAGAATGGTAGATCGACTGACAGCTTGGACTGTGCTCCTGGAAAAGCAGCAAACACTCAATGCCAGCCCATGACAGCAGACAGGAGGGGGGCTGTACCCTGCAAAGCCAAAGGGGTGGAGCTGCCCAGGGCTGTGGGAGCCCACCTCTTGAATCAGCATGCCCTGCATGTGAGACATGGAGTCAAAGGAGATCATTTTGGGACTTTAAGGTTTAATGACTGCCCTGTTGGATTTTGGACTTGCATGGGGCCTTAGCCCCTTTGTCTTGGCCAATTTCTCCCATTTGGAACAGGTGTATTTACCCAATGCCTGTATCCCCATTGTATCTCAGAAGTAACTTACTTGCTTTTGATTCTACAGTCTCGTAAGTGGAAGGTGTTTGCCTTGTCTCAGATGAGACTTCAGACTTGGACTTTTGGGTTAATGCTAGAACGAGTTAAGACTTTGAGGGACTGTAGGAAGGGCATGATTGTGTTTTAAATGTGAGGACATGAGATTTGTGTGGGGCCACGGGCAGAATGGTAGGGTTTGGCCATGTCCCCAACCAAATTTGATCTTGAATTGTAATCCCCATAATCCCCAAGTGTCATAAGAGGGACCTGGTGTAAGGTAATTGAATCATGAGGATGGTTCCCCCATGCTGTGCTTGTGATAGTGAGTGAGTTCTCACAAGATCTGATGGTTTTATGAGTGTCTGGCATTTCCCTTGCTGGCACTCATTCTCTCTCCAGCCACCCTGTAAAGAGGTGCCTTCTGCCATGATTGTAAGTTTCCTGATGCCTCACCAGCCATGCAGAACTGTGAGTGAACTAAACCTCTTTTCTTTATAAATTGCCCAGTCTTGGGTATTTCTTCACAGAAGTGTGAGAACAGACTAATACAGTATGTGAGACAGTGGATATGTTAATTTGCTCAATTTAGCCATTTCTTAATGTATACACATTTAAAAATATCACATACAGGATAAATATATACAATTTTTATTCATCAATTAGAAAACAAATAAATGCATAAATACATAAATGCATAAATAAGAGGTCTGAGATATCAGACCTCCATTTGATTATTCATCTTTTTATATTTTAAGTATAATAGTCCAACCGTTAAGGGCATAAGTCTTAAATGATACATTTCTACATATGTATATACCCCTGTAAACACCAACCAGATCAAGACAGAACACTTCCAATACTGCCAAAACACCCTCTTGTTCCCCTTCAGAATCAATTATACATAAAAATAATGCCTATTCTTACTTTATCCATATGAATAAATGTTGTTTCTTTTTTAACATTATATAAATGGAGTTGGGCAATTTCTCAATTGTTGTATGAGGTTTCTGTTGCTCAACATTATGACTGAGGAATTACATCATTTTATAAAACTCATATTCTAAAATGTGCAATTTCAAACGTTTATTAGAGCATTATCTATCATAATATACTAAATATTCAATGATAGGACAATGTTTTCTTAAGTGAGGTAGATATTTTTGTGTCCACAGTATTTATTTATAACTTAAATTATATTAGAATTGTCTTGAGCCCCCATCTAACACACTGGCAAAATCCTTATTACTGAACTCTTGGGGCTCCTGCCCTTCCCATCATCCAGGCCCTTTACCCCTCATCTAAGATCCATAACTGCTTTATGAAGTACAAAAGAGGGGTAAGTCAGACATCCTTTCCCAGACTAGAAAGAAATCAAGTGTATACCAGGCTACAGCTGTCATCACTGCAGTTTGTCCTCCCCACCACAAAGGTGAGCTTTGCAGAATGTTTCACCCCAGCCCTGCTGACCCATGCCACAGGGAATTAACTGCCCAGGTCTGTCTAAGTCTCTATTGCTGAACTCCCTAATCATAATCCTTTGAAAAAGAGTCCCTCTGCAGGCAACTCCACACTCTACATTTTGAGCTGAGCCACAGGTGACCCTCACTTAAGGAGTAAAAGCTTTGTAGTGCTAAGTTTTTTAAGCATCCACACAATTACAGCATTTGCTTTCTCAGAACACCCACCTAGAGAAGAGTTGGGCCTCTGAGAGGTAGTTGGGTGTAATAGTTAACATGAACTCAAGGTTCAGATAGCTCAAATTCAATTTCCAACCCTTTAACTTACTAGCTGTGTGACTTTGGAAAGCCGTAATCTCTCTGTGCCTGTTTTTGCATATGAAAAATGGTGAATTGTAGTAGCACCTACCTTATAGAATCAATGTTAGGATTAAATGAATTAATCATGTAAAACTCTTGGAATAATGCCTGACATGTAATAAACTACATTATATAGTTATAGTAATTAATTCTGAAATGCAAAACCTTTCTACCCTACCCTAGACATTATTGTCTACCCTAGACATTATTATTCTAGTCTCCATAGGAATAAAACCTAATTGCCCAGAAAGTTCTAGTCAAATGTACCAAACTGGGCTGACACAGAAATGAAAAGACCGAAGACAAAATTGAATATATTTTATGATCTTTACTGAAAAAAGATAAACATATGCATAGAAATCGTACTGGAAAGAAATATATAAACATGTTAGCAATCATTTCTAATCTGTGAAATTATGAATAACTAATTATCTTCTTTATAAATGTTTATAATTTCTATTACAACAAACAAGTGTAACTTTTTTTTTTTTTTTTGAGACTGAGTTTTTGCTCTTTCTTGCCCAGGCTGGAGTGCAGTGGCACAATCTCGGCTCACTGCAACCTCTGCCTCCCGGGTTCAAGCGATTCTCCTGTCTCAGCCTCCCAAGTAGCTGGGACCACAGGCACTCGCCACCATGCCTGGCTAATTTTTGTGTTTTTAGTAGGGACAGGGTTTCACCATGTTGGCCAGGCTGGTCTCGAACTCCTGACCTCAGGTGATCGCCCACCACAGCCTCCCAAAATCCTGGGATTACAGGCATGAGCCACTGCGCCCAGCCAAGCAAGTGTAACTTTTAATATTAACTTTAACAATGAAATCACCTTTGTGTGTAGCTTATTTAAAATAATGAATAAAGCTTGTATATCTGTGCCAGAACTTCATCCAGTAGATTTATATCCACAGGATTTAGATGTCAGTACTCGACTGACATATCCAAACTATGTTTTGCTAGCGTGTAAAATAAGAATGATATCCCTAGTTAAATTGGTTGTCAAAATTAAATGAGAAATTGGATGATAAAGCCCTTTTATAATGTAATATACTATGCAAATGTAAGAAATTTCATTGATTTTATTATTAGATTTTAAAAAGGCATATAAGGTAATATTTTCAGAAACTCAAAGTGCTCATTTATACCAAAAACATTAGGGAAAAATGAACAAAACTTCCAGCTAAGTAAGTGATTTAAAACTTACTGAGACAGTGCCCCTTTGCTTGTATTGTGAATGAACACAGTGGGCTATTGGCTAGCTTGTATCTGCTCATATAAGAGACAACCTACATGAATATACACCAAGTGCTAGAAGATTCCATTACCACAAAAAATTATTAAAAGCTGGGTATTGTGCTAGCCATTCGGGACATAAAAATAAGTCAGACGACTGTTGTCCTCAAAAATTTCACAGTGCAGAAAATTTGGAGACAATGTCATGCACATTTATGCTAACTTAATCTAAGATCGTACATACTTTTTAATCTTCATGCAATATTATCTTATTATAATTACTTTTGTTTTTCACAAACGTAAAAAATTTACTTGGATGTTGTACACACACACACACACACACACACTCCTATTGTTTTTGATTATTAATATTGGTAGACAGATCAATGAATGTAGGCTCTGCTGCTTAATTCGATGTTCAGTTTCAGCTCTTGTGGACATCAGTTTGTTAAACAATAAGATAATGAGTCCGGAAAGTAGTTGAGTTGAAGTTGGAGGGAGCTAATAAAATAAATTTCCCAATTCCCTCTGCTCTATTTTTTTTTCTTTTGTTTTCTTTTTTTTTTTTTTTTTTTTTTTTTGACAGGGAGTCTTGCTCTGACTCCCAGGCTGGAGAGTAGAGGCGCGATCTTGGTGCACTGCAACTTCTGCCTCCTTGGTTCAAGTGATTCTCCTGCCTCAGCCTTCAGGGTAGCTGAGATTACAGGGAACCACCACCACACCGTTCTATTTTTCGTATTTTAGTAGAGACAGAGTTTCACCATGTTGGTCAGGCTGGTCTCGAACTTCTGACCTCAAATGATCCACCCGCCTCAGCCTCCCAAAGTGCTGGGATTACAGGCATGAACAACTGCAACCAACCTTTACTGTAATTTTTTAACTCTTTCCAGAATTCTTCTTTCTTTGGTCTTTCTTTTATTTTTCTCACAAAGCCAAATGTAGAGACTACCACACCAAAATTTAAGACTGGAATTTCAAGGAGGAATTAAAATAATTCTTCTGTTTGTTTTACTTATTACCACACTACCTTTTGTTACAAACATATGATCAACAGAAGTAGATGACTCTCAGAAAAGTACAGTCAATGTGTAGCCAGAGGACTGCACTTCATTGACTGGGAAGACAGTAGGATTAAATAAAATAATTTTGGACACAGAGTCACAAGACATAGGTCCTGATCCCATCCAGTGGTCCCTAATTTCCTTAGTGCAAAGTTGAATGTTTAATAAATACAAGGCTGCTGAAATACATTTTCTTTTACTCTTATCCAGATTAGTCATTGGTGATGCATATAAAATACCTTTAATCTATCCATTTTCCTCGTAATAGAGTTAAAAAATAGCAAAGAAGGAATTAAAAGAGCTGGGATGGGATACATTCACCTCCTTCATGAGGAAATACCCCTGAGGAAAAGGGAAGAAACAGGCGACCCAGTCAGTTTAAACCTTTTGTCAAGTGAACCTCTGGGTAAATAGACCATTAACATATATTAGAAAGAAGAGATTTTATCTCTGAAATGCCCTTATATTTCATTAATATCCCTGATATCACTGGATTGATTACCTGCAGTAAATAGGACCCAGGTTCTAGGAGGCATAACCCCCTGAGGGATGTCATGTAAGCTATGCAATTCCCTGGGGTAGAGAGAAAAGACGTTTTGTAATTGCAGCACTTGCCACCATGTGAGGAGACAGTTAACCATACTTAAAGACCTCATCTGTTCTGGGCCAGGGGGATGTCCAAGGCGGAAAGGAAGGATTCTGAGAAACACACTTGATATTACACACCTCTCTCTGCTTTCTCTGAGCCTTTTTCTGGGCCTTCATCTTCATAATTTTGTAGCAAATATTGATACCAGGTAAAATCTCTTAGTCCTTTGAATCTAATTTGGCAATGCAGTACTCTGTGTGAGCACATAAATATTTCAGAACTACTATATCAATAGCAATAATAGCAATTATTAAGAACTCAAACATCATTTCCTCTGAGAGAATACTCTGACTTCACCAGTATTTTGACATAATACCATAATCATGAATGTGTCCTTTGTTTTCATCAGGCTCTATATTAAGTAGTGCAATTGTGCCATAGTTAACAAAGAGGTTCCCCAAATTTAATAGTTTTAGGAACAGGAAGTACATTTATTTCTCTCATAAAAGTCTCAAAGAGGTGTTTCCTGTTGGAATGGGGAGGAAAGGTCTGCTCCATATATTGATTTGAGGACTCAGACTTATGGAGGCTCTCCCATCTTCAAAATATGTGGCTTCCAGATTCACCCTGGGGCTTGTGATCCTGTTCAGCCAAAAAGCAGAGAGAGCATGGAAGAGCAATTTGAGGTATTTTATGTGCCAGGCCTAGAAGTACATCCATCACTCTGGTCACTTCCTTGGCCTCAAGCTTAGTCACATGGCTTCACCTAACTGCAAAAGAGGCTATTAAATGTAGTCTAGCTTTATTCTAAGAAAGAAAGGGGAAATCGATTTCAGAGGACAGCTAACAGTCCCTGCCACAGGCCCTAGACATGGATTGATTCTTTTCTGAAAGTTTAAAAAAAAATCAGACAATTAAGAAAGGTCAGGCCAAGGATTTCTTGAGAAGTCTCTATTTTATATCAAATATAATATTAAGTAACAACCATATATTTATTTCACTGTTTGCTTAGCCCTCTGCTAATGAGGTTTCCTCATTTATTTAAATGGCTGAGGAGTGCAATCTTCTCCCCAACCTTATTCACCTTAGAAAAAGGAGAGATGACTATGGCTAGTCATTTTCTACAGATATCACCTGGCAGCTGCATTCAAATAAAAAATATATCCTCAGTTCTTCTAATACTTGACTCTGTCTTTTATAAACAGGTTGATAATTGGGTATAATGATGCAGGACAAGCAAGTCTCAAAAGTGTGGCTTAACTCAGGAGGGTTCTTGGCTTTGCCTAGGAAAGAATTCAAGGGCAAGCCAGTGCTATTACACAGCAATCTTTTTTGAATGCCACTGTTCTTTGCAGGGCGGAGCTAACTCACAGGCAATGCGCCCAGAATGGGCAACATATGGGCTGTTGGCAACTGTATTTATACCCACTTATACCTACTTTCAGTTACATGCAAATTAAGGGGCAAGCTAATGCAAATTGATGGGTGGGTTATTTAGAACTTTTTAGGAAAGGGGAAATAACTTCTGGGTCATTGCCATGGAAAGGGTTGGTAACGTCTATGTTACAAATGCCATGGCATTTGTAAACTGGCATGGCATTGGGTGGGAGTGTCTTATGCTAATGGACAATAAGGGCAGCTATGGATATCTTCCATTGCCATCTGCTGGTTCTTGCCAGTTTCTTCACTTCATCCTGTTGGAATTAAGAAATAAGTCCTGTTGATCCTCTACCTCAATAAGATCCAAGAACAACCTCTTTTTAATATTCGAGGCACTGTAAGGCAGTGGCATAGTTTATATTCTCTAATGGAAAAATAGAAAACTAGAAAATAGCAAAGGTAAATTCTGACTAGAGGGAGATATAGAAATTTAAAAGAAAATGACTCATTTCTTTTATCCTTTTGTTGTAACATGTACAAGTTATTTTTTAAGATGTAACAGCTGGAACCTATAGTACCTAACTCCAGGAACAATGGTGACTATTTTTTAATGTTGAAGGTGAAGGAAGAGCTATCACAAGGCAAAAATCCAAAAAGTTTCTCAGCACATGAGTAGCATCTTCCACGGACCCCTTGGGATCCAGAAGAGGTCAAATCCCTCAGTTATATATTATAGCTCCACGTAGCTTGCTTTATGACAACCACAAACATGCAATATATTTTGTGGTTATTTTATTTGTGCCTTTCACACCTCCTCAACAGTAAGCTTCATAAGAGCAGGAACCTGTTTGTTTTGGCTTACCATTTAATCCCCAGTTTCTAGCAAAGGAATTGACATATAATAGAAACCCAATAATAGTTGGTAAATAAATAAATGGAAAAAAAGAGATAATGGTAGTTAACATTTATTGACTCTTTCTATGCCTACAGCAACCATGGCTTATGGTCCCAAGAAGCATCTGACATTGTTTGCAGCTCCACCATGGGATTCTGGATAAACTGACTGGTGTGTTTGCTTCTTGTCCATTTACTAGTCCCCATAAGCTGAAACAGTCTCTCCCCATCCTCACTTTTCCTAAGGAAGAGACTTACATATACCCTGACAATGCTCCAATTAAAAGACACAGATTGGCAAATTGGATACAGAGTCAAGACACATCAGTGTGCTGCATTCAAGAGACCCATCTCACATACAGAGACACATATAGGCTCAAAATAAAGTGATAGAGGAAGATCTACCAAGAAAATGGAAAGCAAAAAAAAAGCAGGGGTTGCAATCCTAGTCTCCGATAAAACAGACTTTAAGCCAACAAAGGACAAAAGAGACAAAGAAGGCCATTGCATAATGGTAAAGGGATCAATTCAACAAGAAGTACTAACTATCCTAAATATATATGCACCCAATACAGGAGCACCCAGATTCATAAAGCAAGTCCTTAGAGACCTAAAAGGAGACTGAGATTCCCACACAATAACAATGGGATACTTTAACACCCCACTGTCAGTATTAGACAGATCAACAAGACAGAAGGTTAACAAGAATATCTAGGACTTGAACTCAGCTCGGCACCAAGCAGACCTAATAAACATCTACAGAACTCTCGACCCCAAATCAAAAGAATATACATTCTTCTCAGCACCACATCACACTTATTCCAAAATTGACCACATAGTTGGAAATAAAGCACTCCTTAGCAAATTTAAAAGAACAGAAATCACAACAAACTGTCTTTCAGACCACAGTGCAATCAAATTAGAACTCAGGATTTAAGAAACTCACTCAAAATTGCACAACTACAAGGAAACTGAACAACCTGCTCCTGAATGACTACTGGGTAAATAATGAAATGAGGCCGAGCGTGGTGGCTCATGCCTGTAATCCCAGCACTTTGGGAGGCCAAGGCAGGCAGATCACGAGGTCAGGAGATCGAGACCATCCTGGCTAACACAGTGAAACGCCGTCTCTACTGAAAATACGAAAACAATTAGCTGGGCGTGTAGTCCCAGCTACTGGGGAGGCTGAGGCAGGAGAATGGTGTAAACCCAGGAGGCGGAGCTTGCAGTGAGTGAGCAGAGATTGTGCCACTGCATTCTAGCCTGAGTGACAGAGTGAGACTCTGTCAAAAAAAAAAAAAAAAAAAGAAATGAAGGCAGAAAAAAAGATGTTCTTTGAAAACAATGAGAACAAAGACACAACGTACCGGAATCTCTGGGATACATTTAAAGCAGTATGTAGAGGGAAATTTATAGCACTAAATGCCCACAACAGAAAGCAGAAAAGATCTAAAATCGACACCCTAACTTCACAATTAAAAAAACTAGAGAAGCAAGAGCAAACAAATTCAAAAGCTAGCAGAAGGCAAGAAATAACTAAGATCAGAGCAGAACTGAAGGAGATAGAGACACACACAGAAAAAAACCCTTCCAAAAATCAATGAATACAGGAGCTGGTTTTTTGAAAAGATTAACAAAATAGATAGACCGCTAGCAAGACTAATAAAGAAGAAAAAAGAGAAGAATCAAATAGACACAATAAAAAATGATAAAGGGGATATCACCACCGATCCCACAGAAATACAAACAACCATCAGAGAATACTGTAAACACCTCTACACAAATAAACCAGAAAATCTAGAACAAATGGATAAATTGCTGGACACATACACCCTCCCAAGACTAAGCCAGGAAGAAGTTGAATTGCTGAAGAGACCAATAACAGGCTCTGAAATTGAGGCAATAATTAATAGCCTACCAACCAAAAAAAGTCCAGGACCAGATGGATTCACAGCCGAATTCTACCAGAGGTACAAGGAGGAGCTGGTACCATTCCTTCGGAAACTATTCCAATCAGTAGAAGAAGAGGGAATCCTACCTAACTCATTTTATGAGGCTGGCATCATCCTGATACCAATGCTGGCAGAGACACAACAAAAAAAGAGAATTTTAGACCAATATCCCTGATGAACATTGATGCAAAAATCCACAATAAAATACTGGCAAACCAAATCCAGCAGCACAGCAAAAAGCTTATCCACCCAGATCAAGTTGGCTTCATACCTGGGATGCAAGGCTGGTTCAACTTATGCAAATGAGTAAACGTAATCCATCACATAAACAGAACCAAAGACAAAAACCACACGATTATCTCAGTAGATGCAGAAAAGGCCTTCGACAAAATTCAACAGCCCTTCATGCTAAAAACTCTCAATAAACTATCTATTGATAGAACACATCTCAAAATAATAAGAGCTATTTATGACAAACCCACAGCCAGTATCATACTGAATGGGCAAAAACTGGAAGCATTCCCTTTGAAAACTGGCACAAGACAGGGATGCCCTCTCTCACCACTTCTATTCAACACGGTGTTGGAAGTTCTGTCCAGGACAATCAGGCAAGAGAAAGAAATAAAGGATATTCAATTAGGAAAAGAGGAAGTCAAATTGTCCCTGTTTGCAGATGACATGATTATATATTTAGAAAACCCCATCATCTCAGCCCAAAATCTCCTTAAGCTGATAAGCAACTTCAGCAAAGTCTCAGGATACAAAATCAATGTGCAAAAATCACAAGCATTCTTATACACCAATAACAGACAAACAGAGAGCCAAATCATGAGTGAACTCCCATTCACAATTGCTTCAAAGAGAATAAAATACCTAGGAATCCAACTTACAAGGGATGTGTAGGACCTCTTCAAGGAGAACTACAAACCACTGGAATGAAATAAAAGAGGACACAAACAAATGGAAGATCATTCCAGGCTCATGGATAGGAAGAATCAATATCATGAAAATGCCCATACTGCCCAAGGTAATCTACAGATTCAATGCCATCCCCACCAAACTACCAATGACTTTCTTCACAGAATTGGAAAAAACTACTTTAAAGTTCATATGGAACCAAAATAGCCCACATTGCCAAGACAATCCTAAGCAAAAAAAACAAAGCTGGAGGTATCCTGCTACCTGACTTCAAGCTATACTACAAGGCTGCAGTAACCAAAACAGCATGGTACTGGTACCAAAACAAAGATATAGACCAATGGAACAGAACAGAGCCCTCAGAAATAACACCACAAACTTACAACCGTCTGATCTTTGACAAACCAGACAAAAACAAGAAATGAGGGAAGGATTCCCTATTTAATAAATGGTGCTGGGAAAACTGGCCAGCCATATGTAGAAAGCTAAAACTGGATCCCTTCTTTACACCTTATATAAAGATTAATTCAAGATGGATTAAAGACTTAAATGTTAGACCTAAAACTATAAAAACCCTAGAAGAAAACCTAGGCAATACCATTCAGGACATAGGCATGAGCAAGGACTTCATGTCTAGAACACCGTAAGCAATAGCAACAAAAGCCAAAATAGACAAATGGGATCTAATTAAACTAAAGAGCTTCTGCACAGCAAAAGAAACTACCATCAGAGTGAACAGGCAACCTAGAGAATGGGAGAAAATTTTTGCAATCTACCCATCTGACAAAGGGCTAATATCCAGTATCTGCAAAGCACTTTAACAAATTTACAAGAAAGAATCAAACAACCCCATCAAAAAGTGGGCAAAGGATATGAACAGACACTTTTCAAAAGAAGACATTTATGCAGCCAACAGACAAATGAAAAAATAAATGCTCATCATCTCTGGCCATCAGAGAAATGCAAATCAAAACCACAATGAGATACCATCTCACACCAGTTAGAATGGTGACCATTAAAAAGTCAGGAAACAACAGGTTCTGGAGAGGATGTGGAGAAATAGGAATGCTTTTACACTGTTGGTGGGACTGTAAACTAGTTCAACCATTGTGGAAGACAGTGTGGCGATTCCTCAAGGATCTAGAACTGGAAATACCATTTGACACAGCGATCCCATTAATGGGTATATACCCAAAGGGTTATAAATCATGCCACTATAAAGACACATGCACACATATGTTTATTGTGGCACTATTCACAATAGCAAAGACTTGGAACCGACCCAAATGTCCATCAATGATAGACTGGATAAAGAAAATATGGCATATATACACCATGGAATACTCTGCAGCCAAAAAAAAGGATGAGTTTATTTCCTTTGTAGGGACATGGATAAAGCTGGAAACCATCATTCTCAGCAAACTGTCACAAGGACAGAAAACCAAACACTGCATGTTCTCACTCATAGGTGGGAAATGAACAACGAGAACACTTGGACACAGGGTGGGGAACACTACACACCGGGGCCTGTTGTGGGGTGGGGGAGTGGGAGAGGGTTAGCATTAGGAGAAATACCTAATGTAAATGATGAGTTAATGGGGGCAGCAAACCAACATGGCACATGTATACATATGTAACAAACCTGCACATTGTGCACATGTACCCTAAAACTTAAAGTATTATAAAATAAAATAAAATAAACAATTTACAAGAAAAAGAAACAACCCCATTAAAAAGTGAGGAAAGGACATGAAGAGACACTTCTCTAAAGAAGACATACATGTGGCCAACAAACATATGAAAAAAAGCTCAACATCACTGATCATCAGAGAAATGCAAATCAAAACCACAATGAGATACCATCTCACAGCAGTCGGAATAGCTAATTAAAAAGTCAAAAAACAACAGATACTGGCAAGGTTGTGGGGAAAAAGGAACACATTTACACTGTTGGTGGGAATGTAAATTAGTTCAACCATTGTGGAAGACAGTGTCGCGATTCCTCAAAGACCTAGAGGCAGAAATACCACTTGATGCAGCAATCCCATTACTAGATATATACCCAAAGGAATGTGAATCATTCTATTATAAAGGTACATTAACACATTATGTTCATTGCAGGACTATTCACAATAGTAAAGGCATGGAATCCACCTAAATGCCCATCAATAATAGACTGGATAAAGAAAATATGGTACATATACACCATGGAATACTATGCAGCCATAAAAAGGAATGAGATCATGTCTTTTGCAGGGGCATGGATGGCACTGGAAGCCATCATTCTCAGCAAACTAATGCAGAAACAGAAAATCAAACACTGCATGTTCTCACTTATAAGTAGGAGTTAAATTATGAGAACACATGGACACACACTGGAGCATGTTGGAAGTTGCAGGATGAGAGAAAGGTGAGCTTCAGGAAGAATAGCTAATGGATGCCGGCTTAATACTTAGGTGATGAGATGATCTGTACAGCAAATCACCATGGCACATGTTTAACTGTGTAACAAACCTGCACATCCTGCACATGTACCCCTGAACTGAAATAAAAGTTGGAAAAAAAAGAAAGATTTGCATGCAGTGGTTCATTAAGATCAATGGCAAGGTCTGAACTGATATAACCTATCCTGCTGGATTCATGAATGTCATCAGCATTGATAAGACTGAAAAGAATTTTTGTCTGTTGTATGACACCAAAGGTCACTCTGGTGTTCATCATACCACACCTGAGGAGGCCAAGTACAAGCTGTGCAAAGTGAGAAAAATATCTGTGGTCACATGATGGTTCATGATGCTCACACCATCTGCTACTCGGATCCACTCATCAAGGTAAATGACACCATTCAAATTGATTTGGAGACTGGCAAGATTACAGATTGCATCAAGTTGAACACTGGCAACTTGTTGACACTGGTATCCTGTGACTGGAGATGCTACCTTGGGAAGAATTGGTGTGATAATGAACAGAGAGAAACATTCTAGATCTTTTGATATGGTGAATGTGAAAGATGCCAATGGAAACAGCTTTGCCACCCAGCTCTCGGACATTTTTGTTTTTGACAAGGGCAACAAACCATGGATTTATCTTCCCCAATGAAAGGGTGTCCACCTCGCCATTGCTGAAGAGAGACAAAACTGATGGCCAAACAGAGCAGTGGCTGAAATGGTCTCTAGACATGTTAGAGAGATCTTAGTACTTAATTAAAGTTAATACAGCATGAATAAAAAAAAATTGAAAGTTTCCTACATACCAGACACTGTACTGAGTAGTTCACATGCAGCTGAATGATAAAACAGACACCTCATTATCCTCCTTACTTAGATGATGAGATAGGCTGGGTCACTTGTCCAAGGTCACTCAACTAGAAAGGAGCAGAGTTGGAGAGGTTCAAAAGTTAGTCTTGATTACTCTGGACACATGCTCTATGCACTCTGTTCTTTGTTGTTCTTGTTTTTAATCTCATCTTATTGGCTGAGTAGCCCCTCTTCTACTGTAATAGCACATTATAGAAAAGAATAATGGTGGGATTTCATAAGTTGTATTCACATCGAGAAAAGTGATTTCAAGCTGTAATGTTGGTTCTTTCTTAATTATGACTTCAATCCTTAGGAGTGAGGAGAAAAGCTCAACCTATCTGACATTCTCTCTAAGAACCTAAGGCCACAGACACCTTGTAGAACGCTGACACAGGAATTTCTGACGAAGAAAGGACATATGAGTGTGTCCATAAGTATTAACACCTAAGTGTAAAGAGTAAAAACAACATTCTGAAACCAAGAACCACTCCAAAAGGAGTAAAACTTGCAACTATAAAAGGGGAACATTGGGAAGGTTTTCTCTCTCTCCTGTGGTTTGTTTACCAGGTTCAGTGTTTATAGAAATACGATCATCCCAGGCCTAATAACACTTACATTATAGTTTTTTATTGTTTAAATAACACTTTGTGACAGGGGTTTTCAACTTTTGTAGTACTGACATTTGAGACTGGGCAACTCTGTTGTGGGGGATGGGGGCTGTCCTATGCATTGTAGGATGTTTAACAGCAACCTTTAGCCACTAGATGCCAGTAACACTCCCATAATTGAGACAATCAAAATGTTTCCAAACATTGCCAAATATTCCCTAGGGGAGCAAAATTGTTTCTGGTTAAGAACAAATGCATCTGGGGAAATTTATACCAAATTTTTTTTTTTTTTTGAGAGAGAAGAGTCTCACTCTGTCACCCAGGCTGGAGTGCAGTGGCGCGATCTCAGCTCACTGCAACATCTGCCTCCCAGGTTCAAGTGATTCTCGTGCCTCAGCCTCCTAAGTAGCTGAGATAACAGGTGCCTGCCCCCACTCCCAGCTAATTTTTATATTTTAGTAGAGACAGGGTTTCACCATGTTGGTCGGGCTGGTCTTGAGCTCCTGACCTCAAATGATCCGCCCACCTCAGCCTCAAAATTCTGTGTCTAGAAGAGACAGGGAAATATGATTGAAGGGAGAAACAATGTGTAACTGATTATACAGATGAATAAAGTAAGGGAAAAATGGGGACCTTTGAGTGAGTGCAGATAATGTGTTTTAGTAGTTATGGTACTTTGTAAGTACACGTTCATAATTTGCCTTCACGGTTTTTTGGTCTATTTAGTCTATTGTCCTTCAAGATTTCAGGGCAGTAGATTATTATGTCCTAATATCCCTCTATAATGGTATAAAGAAATATTTATATCCTTCTCTATTCCAAAGAGAAAGCAAGACAGTAATTTTTTACACATAATGACATCATCCTATGAACATTATATTTGTAAATACCATTGTCAAGAAATATACCTTGATTGAATATATTTCTAGCTATAAATAGCAGTTTAATAGAGGATGAAGCTAAAGCAGTACTTGGAGAAACTGTTTCTCTCTCTCTCCCTCTCTCTCTCACACACACACACATGCAGGCAAACACACACACACACACACACACACACACCTTTTCAACTTGCCAAAATAACTACATTTCTCCAATACATAATCCTCCTCATCTCAAATTTAAAACTAGTTAGTTAGCTCCTGACAATTTATCCATGTCAGCAGCTACCTAATTTTTTAACAAGAATCAATATATTACCAGTTTTACACAACTTTATGTGTCTCTTTCACTCATATTCAAATATGTAAACTTTTTTTCTCATCCTCAGGTTTTATTAGTTTTGCTTCAACTCTGCTCTTTCTTCCTTTGTGCCCTATTTCTTTTCTTGTTTTATTTCTTGCATCCTTCTTTATTCCCTGGATAAAAGGAAGATTGTCATTCCTGACGCAAGCATTCATGACCTGCTGGCCCCAACAGCTACACTTGATTTAAGTAGGGCCTCGGGCAGCAACGTCACCTTTGTGAGGAGGCACATACACCAAAGCTGCAGCCTAGTCCTTGGGAGGAGTACCAAATTTGAACTGGGGCAACCTGGGCTGCTCTCCTCTCTACCCTAATGCCAATCATCGCTGCCAGCATGATTTCAACAAGGGCATCAAGAGAACAATATGCCTTGGAGTGTCCCCTGCTTCCTCTGGCTTTATGCTTTTATTTTCAAAAACTGTAGAAGCCCCCAGCGACAACAGAGCTTCTGTGGACCCTTATAAACTGAAATAAATTACTCTTTCTCTCTAAAACCTGTCTTTGATGAAAGGTTATGATTTGTTTATTTTCATTTCTGAAGACTCCTACTGCTAGTGTCAGTGAGTTAGAAGTAAATGTACCCAAATAAAATGTTTTACTGTCAATGCTTGCTAGATTCGTGTTCTATTCCTGTGATCGTCCTGCCCTCTAGTGTTCAGCACACTGATATCTTTCCTCACTTATTTGTTTTTATCTTCTTATCAAGATTTCTTCAGGGCTTTGCCTCTTCTATTAGTGAAATTTGATAAGACGTCTATGCTCAGCAATAAATAAATATTTGTATTTTAATTAAAGAACTGAATATAAGAATTAAGGTTTAGGAACTTTTAAATATATGAATACTTAAAATAGATATAAGCATTTTCAATTGTCATCATAGGAATTCCCTTTGAAGCATCTCAAAGTGGACACAGGTCAAAACCAAACTCCACACTCCTCATCTCCAACCTTCCATTTGTTCAGACTAAAAGCCTTGAGTTAATCTTGACCTCTTTCTTTCTCTCATCCTGCATATCTATGAGAAAACCTGTGGGTTCTCCTACTGAATAAATTGGAATACACCCTTGTCATCACTACCAAGACATGAGTTCTCTCACTAGCGTTACGGTGACAACCTTCTCACTGGTCTCCCTAAGGCCATGGCTCCCCTCCCACATGGAGTCTCTAAGCCTCACCAACCACTGTAGTTCTTTAGAAATGGAAAGCAGATTGCGGCATGACTGCTCAAAACTTGAAATTGCTTTCCACACCTCTCAGAGAAAAGGCTGAAGTCTGTAATTTGGCCTACAATCCCTATCTGACCTGCCTCCACAACCCATTGCTCTGACCTCCTCTTTTACAACACACACACTCTCTCTTTTAGTTTAGTTTGTTTATTTGTTTGTTGGGGTTTTTAAATTGATTTTATTTATTTATTTATTTATTTATTTATTTATTTATTTTGAGCCTGAGACTCACTCTATCACCCAGGCTGGAGTGCAGTGGCACAATCTCGGCTCACTGCAGCCTCCGCCTTCCGGGTTCAAGCGATTCTCCCACCTCAGCCTCCCGAGTAGCTGGGACTACAGGCGCCGGCCACCACACCTGGCTAAGTTTTGTATTTTTAGTAGAGACAGGGTTTCACCATATTGTTCAGGCTGGTCTCGAACTCCTGACCTCAGGTGATCCAACCACCTTGGCTTCCCAAAGTGCTGGGATTACAGGAGTGATCCACTGTGCTTGGCCTGCTGTTCCCTCTTGCTCAGAATGTGTTGACCCTAGGTATACCTAGGAATACTATACCTAGAAATACTACTAGGTATACCTGTATAACTTGCTTCCCCACTTCCTTCACAGGACTCCTTTCAAAATGTTATAAGTGAGCCCCCTTACCCATCATAAAACAGCAAACTCTACTCCATCCCCCCGATATGGTTTGGCTGTGTGCCCACCCAAATCTCATCTTGAATTGTAGTTCCCATAATCCCCACATGTCCTAGGAGGGACCCTGTGAGAAGTGATTGGATGATGGGGCGGTTTCCCCCATGCTGCTCTCATGATAGTGAATGGATTCTCACGAGATCTAACAGTTTTATGAGTGTAGGGCATTTCCCCTGCTTGTACTCATTCTCTCTCCTGCCACCTTGTGAAGAGGTGCCTTCTGCCATGGTTGTAAGCTTCCTGAGGCCTCGCCAGCCATGCAAAACTGAGTCATTTAAAGCTCCTTCTTTTATAATTTCCCAGTCTCAGACAGTTCTTTATAGCAGTGTGAGAACAGACTAATACATCCTCTCTTGCTATCTAGCTAACATGCTTCATCCTTCCCCCTGAATTTGTCACAGTCCCCTGAATTTATCATGGTCAAAACTTATTATAATTAAATGTCTGGTTAATGCCTACTCACAGTTTGCCAGTGGATTCCTGAGAACCATGGGAATTAAGATGGTTTATGGTTCCCTTCTTTTATTTATTTATTTATTTAATAATTTAAACTTTCATTTAAGATTCAGGGGGAACATGTGCAGATTTGTTACCTGGGTATATCGTGTGATGCTGAAGTTTGGGGTACAATTGCTCCCATAACCCAGGTACTGAGCATAATACTCAAAAGTTTTTCAATCCTTGTCCCCCTTCCCTCTTCACTCCTCTAGTAGTCCCCAGTGTCTGTTATTGCCATGTTTATCTCCATGAAAACCCAATGTTTAGCTCCCACTTATTAGTGAGAACATATGGTATTTGGTTTTCTGTTTCTGCATTAATTCACTTAGGATAATAGCCTCCTGGTGAATCCATGTTGCTGCAAAGGACATGATTTCATTCTTTTTATGGCTATGTAGTATTCAGTGGTGTATATGTACCACATTTTCTTTCTCCAATCCACAATTAATGGGTACCTAGGTTGATTTCATGTCTTTGCTATTGCAAATAGTGCTGTGATGAACATAAGAGGGCATGTGTCTTTTTGGTAGAATGATTTATTTTCTTTTGGATATATACCCAGTAATGGGATTGCTGGGTTGAATGGTAGTTCTAAGTTCTTTGAGAAATCTCAACTATTTTGCATAGTATCTGGACTAACTTACATTCCCACCAACAGTGTATAAGAGCTCCCTTTTCTGTGTAACCTCACCAGCATTTGTTGTTTTTTGACTTTTTTTTTTTTTTTTTTTTTTTTTTTTGAGACAGAGTCTCGCTCTTTCGCCCGGGCCGGAGTGCAACGGTGCTATCTCGGTTCACTGCAAGCTCCGCCTCCTGGGTTCACGCCATTCTCCTGCCTCCGCCTTCCGAGTAGCTGCGGCTACAGGCGCCCACCACCACGCCTGGCTAAGTTTTTGTATTTTTTTTAGTAGAGACGGGGTTTCACCATGTTAGCCAGGATGGACTCTATCTCCTGACCTCGTGATCTGCCCGCCTCGGCCTCCCAAACTGACCTGAGATGATATCTCATAGGAGTTTTGATTTACATTTTCCTAATGATTACTGATGTGCAACATTTTTTCATATGTTTTTTGGCCCTTGTCTGTGTTCTTTTAAGAAATGTCTGTTCGTGTCTTTTGCCTACTTATCTTTGTCTACAATTTTAAATGGGGTTATTTGTTTTTTGCTTGTTGATTTAAGTTCTTTATGGATTCTGGATATTAGACCTTTGTTGGAGGCACAGTTCGCGAGCATTTCCTCCAATTCTGTTGATTGTCTCTTTACTCTGTTGATAGTTTGTTTTGCTGTGCAGAAGCTCTTTAGTGTAATCATCCCACTTGATTTTTGGTTTTGCTTCAATTGTTTTTGAGGACTTGGTCATAATTTCTTTCCTAAGGCCAATGTCCACAATGGTGTTTGCTAGGTTTTCTTCTAGGATTCTTATACTTTGAGGTCTTACATTTAAATCTTTCATCCATCTTTAGTTAATTTTTTACATGCTAAAAAGTAGAAGTCTAATTTCATTCTTCTGCATATGGCTAGCCAGCTACCGCAGTACCATTTATTGAATAGGGAGTCCTATCCCCATTGTTTATTTTTGTCAACTTTATCAAAGATTAGGTGTTTGACTTAATTTATGGATTCTCTATTCTTCTTCTTTGGTCTGTGTGTCTGTTTTTGTACCAGTACGATGCTGTTTTGGTTACTGTAGCCTTATAGAATAGTTTGAAGTCAGGTAATGTTATGCCTCTGGCTTTGTTCTTTTTGCATAGGATTTCTCCAGCTGGTCAGGTTCCATGGCTCCATATGAATTTTAGAACAGTTTAGGACACTTTTTTCTAGTTCTGTGAAAAATGACATTGGTAGCTTGATTAGGAATGGGATTGAATGTGTAGATTGCTTTGGGTAGTATGGTCATTTTAATGATATTGATTCTTCCAATCCATGATCATGAAATGTTTTCCATTTTTTTCTGTCATTTATGATTTCTTTCAGCAGTGTTTTGTAGTTCTCCTTGTAGAGCCCTTTCACCTTCATGGTTAGATGTATTCCTAGGTGTTTTTTTGTTGTTCTTGTTTTGTTTTGTTTTGTTTTGTTTGCAGTGATTGTAAATGGGATTGCATTCTTGAATTGGCACTCAGCTTGAACATTACTGGATGTATAGAAATGCTACTGATTTTTGTACATTGATTTTGTATCCTGAAACTTTATGGAAGTTATTTATCAGTTCCCAGATATTTTCATTGGAGTTTTTAGGGATTTCTACCTATAGAATCATATTGTCAGCAAGAGATCATTTGACTTCTTCTGTTCCTATTTGGATGCCTTTTCTTTCTTTCTCTTGCCTGAGTGCTCTGGCAAGGACTTTCACCGTTATGTTGAGTAGGAGTTATTCCAGTTCTCCAGGGTATTGTTTCCAGTTTTTGCCTGTCAATATCATGTTGGCTGTGGGTTTGTCAGAGATGGCTCTGATTATTTTGAGATATGTTTCTTTAATCCCTAGTTTCTTGAGGGTTTTTATCACAAACGGTTGTTGGATTTTATCAAAAACTTTTTCTGCATCTATTTAGATAGTTGTATGGTTTTTGTTTTAAATTCTGTTTATGGAGTCAATCATATTTATTGATTTTTGTATGTTGAACCAACCTGGCATCCCAGGACTGAAGTCTAGTTGATCATGTTGAATTAACTTTGTAATGTGCTTCTGGATTCCGTTTGCTAGATTTTTTGAGGATGTTTCTGTCTATGTTCATTAGAGATATTGGCCTAATATAGTAGTTTTCTTTCTTCATTTGTCTTTGCTGGGGTTTGGTATCAAGGTGATGCTGGCTTCATAGAGTGAGCTCAGGAGGAGTCTTCCTCCTCAATTTTTAAGAATAGTTTCAGTAGAATTAGTACCAGCTCTTCTTTTTACAGCTGGTAGAATTCAGCTATGAATCCATCTATCTGGCCCAATTGCCTCCTTTTACAACCAACAGTAAACTCATACAAATCCTGTGACCAACTTGCCCACTTTAAAGAGATCCTGTTGTCAATGGTAGAGCATCTTTTACTTTGAAAAATAATCCTAATCACTCATCTTGCTTCTGTGAATTGCAAAGCATCAACATGGAAATGTGAACTCTCCATGATTTATACTATTTTGAAAAAACCGAGAAAATAATAAGTATTCAGGAGACTAATTAGGAGTTAAGAACTTATATTCAGTGAGAGGCTTAGGTTCAGAATGGAGCCTAGCACTTACCAGCAACTTACTTGAGCAAGTTTGTGAACAATTTGGAGCTGCAATTTTCTCGTGTGTAAAGTGAGAAGGTAAAATTATTGCATATTGGAAACGATATTATAAGAGGTAAATTCAATAATACTGTATATGTTATTCACTTAACATATTCCCACTTTAGAATAAGCACTCTATAAAGGTTTGCTGATGCTACTGGTATTGGCATTTTCTTTGCAGAATCACAATCAACATATAACATGTTTTTCAATGAAATATAATGTTAGCTGGATGTATTACATTTTTATTAATATAGCATTATGGAATTTTTATGGTTTAACTTTAGGAAACACTGAGACTTAGTAATTATATGATTTAGTTTCCCTATCTCCTTAAAAATCACCTGGTTTAATTTTCTGATAGACTGTGAGCTTGTTGACATTTGAGTCTCCTTTGACTCAAGAAATCTTTATTCATTGTCTGCTATGTGTTAGCCATTATTCTAGGTTTAGAGAAATCAAAAATGAACTAAACTAAAGTCTTTGCCTTCATGAGGCTATTACTCTTGAAGGTGAAAACTGACAATAAACAAATACATATACAATATATATAAATATAGTTGGAGGGGTAACCCCAATATCCTGAATGGAAATTGGTTCGGAATAAGCATTCAATTAATATAAATTAAATTTAAGTTGATCATTTTAAATTATGTCATTGTAATGTGGAGAATACGCAAAGATGTGCTGGAGTGAGCTTTCTCCAGCTCAGAAGAGCCAATTGTGTGCATTTATTCCCAATTTTGAGATCAGTGACTTCACCTTAGTAGCTTTAAATCAGTCACTGTAGGCATTTTTACACTATGGAAATTAGCAATGCTACACACAGGGTCTGCTTTTTCTGAGAACCATTTTATTAAGCATTTACCAGCACATCGCTGAATAAAGTCTGGCAAGGAGTAAATTCTGAATTTTATGCACTTCTGAAAATAAATAATCCTTAGCATATTATATTAGTAAATTAACACATATTAATATAATAGTACATGAAAATATTATATTAATAAATTTCAGAGAGCCAAATTAACAAATTATATATACAATGTTAGTATGAAGATGATCCAGAAAGTGCATAGTTATGTAAATGAATGGTTTCTTCCAATTAATAGCCATCTCTTGATTATTTAGGCCCAGGAAAGAAGTGTAATGTGGATAATGCAGACCATTAACTAACTAAGAAATGTTTGTATTTAATTTAAAATATATTTTTTGATAAAAGTTTGTGTTTCTATTAGAATTTACTCAGTATGTTGTTAAGCAATTTATATCCTTTAAGCATAATAACCCACCAGCTGTGGAGGGAAAAGAGAAGCTTCTGGGTGTCAGGAGGAAGCAAATTTAAAATTATTTTCCTGTGGAAAAACCATGAAAATCATTTAGTTGACTATATGCAGAGCTACAATGCTCTGGGCTAGAAATTTCCCAAGGCTGCATACCTGGAGAGTATACATTATTAAATCAGAATTTTTTGAAAAAGGAAAACCTATTTTAAATTCTGCTACAACCTGTGTTTTGTTGTTTAATTTTTGGTGGTGTATTAAATTTATTTTGTTCTTTTATGTTTTAGAAATGTTTTTCTATCAAAATATTAGATATAGATTTGATTCTGAATCAAAAATGTAAGAAAGGGAAAAATTCATGCATTCTCAGTCATCAGGGCATCCCATGTACAAGGAGCAAGCGAGTGTGAGAATTACTAATCTGTTCTCAAAAACATCTTCAAACTGTATTTCCAACCCATGCCCCAGCAGAAACATCCAAATCTTACTTATATTTAGTTCCTGTTTAATATCAGGCAAATGAAATATTAGATTATGTCCTAAAAGCACAATCATATTACTTCTATTATATTGATCAGTAAGTGATAATAACCTGTCAAATATTTTTCAATAATAATATATGGGTACCATTTACTGAAAACCACTCACTAGCTAGGCACAACTCCTGGTACTTAATATACTATCTCCAATCCCAGTGACAACATTATCAGAAAATTATTATTATAAATGAGGAAATTAATGTTCAGAGAGATTAAGTATTTCCTCCAAGGTCAAACAACTAGCAAATAGCAAAATGAGGACCCTTAAAAAGGCCATTTTGGCTCAAAAGCTCATGGAAGTTTACTGAATTTATTGGCAATTACCCAACCTTCCTGCTAATCGCCTTTAATTTGTTCTATGGCAATCTTTCCCCTGGGGGAAAAGAACATAAACATATCCTGGCAATAGGGGCAATTATCTTCATAAACAGGACCATCTAGCAAAGCCAATTCAAAGCACATTAAATTGGAACCCAGAGTTCTGCCTGCCTTGCTGTGTATAATCTGTTTTGATTAACTTACAAATGGCACAAATTGTCCTTTTGAGTTTATGCCAGGAGCGAAGTAGAAGTTGTGGCTTTTATTTTTGCCAGGCAGTTGAAGCTCCAATTTGTGGCAAACTAAGTGTAAGTAAAAGGAAACTGTTGAGCTAGAACTTTCATCTCCATGTCAAATGGCAGCTTATGGTAAAAGGAGCCAAAAAGCATTTTCAAATAAGTAGCTGTCTATAGTAAACTTTTCTTAAAGATAATGTAGACATATCCTAAAATTAGAGTTAAAAACAAGCTATTTGGGTCCCTCAAGTAAATCGAAGAAAAGAGAATTTAGGTACAAATTTATAATAGTTGTGTTGATAGCTAAGTTATATACAACCAAGAATAATGAATTAAGTAAGAAGATAAATATCACTAAAACACAGCCTGTAAGTGATAAATGCCAGAGGTCTAGTGCCTAATTTCTTAGAAACATGTCCTTGTTTATTTGGAAAGTGTATTTAAGGGGTTCTATGTGACTTTAGGACTGGAACATGTTGGCCTCTCTGTTGGCTTTCTTTTCTTTACTCAAATATTGGGAAGCATAACAATAATTTAATTCAGTGATATGCTTGTAAATTTGCTATAACTCATGTATACATTCAATATATTGTTTTTGTAAATGTTAAAGTTCTGCCCGTGACATTTGAGTGCTTGATTTATCTGAAATTTACCTTTGTGTGAGATTAGAGATTCATTTTCACTTTTTTTCTATATGGATACCCATTTCCCCAACATATTTATTTATGTATTTATTTATTACTTTTAACCAACACATACTAATCATACATATTTATGGAGTACAGTGTAATGTTTTGATACATGTATACAATGTGTAATGATAAAAATCAGAGTAGCATATTCAACACCTCAAACATTTATCGTTTCTTAGTGTTGAGAATAGTCAAAATCCATTATTTCAACTATTTGAAAAATCTACAATAAATCATTTATTGTAGTCACTCTATAGTGCAATAGAACATTAGAACTTAGTTCTCCTACCTAGCTGTACTTTTGTGTCCATTAACCAACCTCTGGCTGTCTCCCCTCTCCCCAGTCTTCCAACCCTCCAGTAACCACTATTCTACTTTCTACTTCCATGAGATCAACTTTTTGTGCCTCCCCGTAGAAGTGATAACATGCAATGTTTACCTTTCTGTGCCTCTTATTTCACTTAATATAATGTCCTCCAAGCTCATCTATGATGCTGCAAATGACAGAATTTCTTTCCTTTTTACTGCTAAGTAGTATTATATTATGTATATGTACCACATTTTCTTTATCCATCTGTTGATGGACACTCAGGTTAATTCCATATCTTGGCTATTGTAAACACTGCTACAATGTACATGGAGTACAGATATCTATTCAATGTACTGACTTTTTCCATTTTTATATATATACCCTGTACTAGCTTTACTGGATCATATGGTAGTTTAGTTTTTAGGAACCTCCATAATGTTTTCCATAATGGCTGTACCAGCTTATATTCCCATCAACAGCATATAACAGTTCCTGTTTCTCTGAATCCTCACGAGCATTTGTTATTTTTTGTCTTTTTTATAATGGCCATTCTAAGATGAGATGATATCTCATTGTAGTTTTGACTTGCATTTCCCTGATGATTAGTGATGTTTAACATTTTTCCACACATCTGTTGGTCATTTGCATGTGTTCTTTAGCGAGATATTTATTCAGCTTATTTGCCCATTTTTAATTGGAATATTTGGGGTTTTTTTCCTGTTGAGCTGTTTGAGTTCCTTGTATATTCTCAATATTAATCCCTTGTTGGGTGAATAGTTTGCAAATATTTTCTGCCACTCTGCAGGTTGGCTCTTCATTCTGTCATTGTTTCCTTTGCTCTGCAGAAGGCTTTTAGTTTGATATAATTCCAATTATTTGTTTTTCTACTTTTGTTTCCTGTGCTTTTAAGAATTTTTCCATAAAATGTTTGCCCAGACCAATTGCCTGAACTGTTTCTTCTACACTTTCTTCCAGTAGTTTCATCATTTCTGATCTAACATTTAAATCTTTACTCCACTTTGGTTTGATTTTCATATATAGTGAGAGATGGGGATCTAGTTTTATTTTTCTGTAGATAGATATTCAGTTTTCCCAGTTCCATTTATTGAAGACACTGTCCTCTACCCAGAGAATGTTTTTGGCAACTCTGTTGAAAATCAATTGGCTGTAAAAATATGGATTTATTTCTCGCTTCTCTATTCTATTCTATTGTTCTATGTCCAATATATTTATTTAATAATATTTCCATTTTTTACTGATCTGTAATACCACCTGTTGTATCAGTTTACATAGATACATAAGTTCATTTTCTGGGGTCTCTACTCTCTTCCATTTTGCCTCAAATATGATAACAATCCCAATACTATTCTGTAACAAATATTAAATATAGCTCTATAATATTAGATAGCTTTAGGATAAATATTGATATTTGACAGGGCAACTACACATCACTCTTCTTTGTTAGTCATGTCTTGAATATTCTTGAGACTTTGGAATTTTATATGAATTTTAGAATAAGCTCATCAAGCTTTGTGAACAGAAAAAAAACCTGTTAGAATTTTGATGGACATGACATTGAATAAGTCAAGTTGCAGATAATTGACATTTTTAATATATTGTGTCTGTCTATCCATGAACATGGTATGGCACTCCATTTATTTTTTTGTTAACTTTCATTAAAGTTTTATAGATTCCGCACAAAACTTTTGCAATTTTTTACTAGTTTTATTCTTAAATGTCTTATATTTTTGTTGCATTTATAAATGTATTCTTTTTTGCCTAAGTTGCTTGTTCTAAATATATGTTAGTGTATAAGAAATACAATTGACTTTTGTATATCAAGCTTATATGCAGAACTAGCTCATCACTCTTGATAAATCTAATTTGTCCATAAATATTTGGGGATTTCCATATAGACAATTATGTCACCTAAAAACAATGTCATTTCTTAATTCCAGTTATTATAGGGTTTATTCTTTCTCATCTTGATAGTAAGCCCCATTGTTTTGATCTTCAACTTAAAGGAATTTTTTAGAATTCACGATTATTTGTTGTGGGATTTTATAGATGCCATTCATTAGTTTAAAGAAGATTAAGAGTTTAAGGGAGATGCCATTCATTAGTTTAAGGGAGATTATTTATATTCCTAGGTTGCTAGTTAGCTGCATTCCACAAATTTTGATATGTAGAACTTTTAACATTGATTACTAAAAATATTTTAATTTTTATTGCTTCCTTCTTTGACTCACAAACTATTTAGAAATATGTCTTTTAATTATTACATAAATGGCTATCTTTATTCATTTTTTGTTGATTCTAACAAAATTGTATTATCACAAAATATGTTGTGCATATAACAAAATTCTTTGAAATTTGTTGAGACTTGCTTTATGGTCAAATTTGTGGTCAGTTTTCATAAATGGCCCATCTGTGTTTTTGAAAAATGTAAGCTCTCCAGCTGTTGAACATAGTAGTTGTACAGTTTGCCATTGCTGTGTAACAGATTGCCATAAACTTACCTACTTAAAACAAAATTCATTTTTTAGCTCATAGTCTGGTTCTGGGCAGAGGTCTATGGTATGGCGAAATTGTCTGAGCAGTGTCTTAGCACACTTGCATTAATTTCTGGAGAATTTAGGGAAGAATCTGCTTCCACGTTCATTCTTATTGTTGACTGAATTCAATTCTTGTTGTAGGACTGAAGTCTCCATTTTTTTTTGTTGGCTGTCAACTGGATGCCACTCTTAGCTCTGAAATATCACCTACATTACTTGCCATGTGGCCTCTTCCATCTTCAAAGCCAGCAACAGAATCTCCCTTGCACTGTTTCCCTTTCGTGATGATAGTTTCATTCTGCAGGATAAAAACTCAGAATCTCTTAAAGGCCTATTTGATTAGATTATATCCACTAAAAGGGTAATATCCCTTTCTTAAAGTCAAATGTGCTATATATCAGAGTGTAATCATGGGAAAGATATTCCATCATATTCACAGTCCTGGGGGCTTTACAGGTCATGTATACCATGAGTGGGAGCAGAAAGCCTGGGGAACATCTTAGAATTCTGCTTACAACAGTAGTCTATGTATTATTAGGTCAAGCTTGCTAATTGGTTGAAATCTTTTATATCTTTATTTATTGTGTACTTGATCAATCAGTTGCTGAGTGTGGTGCTTTAAGTCTTTCACTATGATAATGGTGAAAGGTTAATATCTACTTATAGTTCTGTCCTTCTATTTTTATATATGTTTAAACTTATTGTTAGGTACATATGAACAGCATTGTTTTTGCTTGATGAACAGAAACTTTTATGCTCCTAGTCTAGTCATTTTTTTCTGTCATAATGGTCTGCCATAATGGTCTTTTACATTACATTAATACAGCAATATTAGCTTTTTTCATTAGTATTCATCAATATATATTTTTCTATCACTTTTCTGTCAAACATTCTGTTTTGAAGTTTTACATGGGTCTCTTTTGAATATCATACTGCTGGATATAAAAATATTTATCTATTAGAATTTGCCCCAGTTACATGATGGCTACTAATACATTTTATTTTTGCTACTTTATTTTGTGCTTTTTATACAACTTTTTCTTTATTTTTTATTTCTTTTTTATTCCATTTTCTTTCTACCAATTTAGCAGCAATATGATATGACTTATGTTTTCTTGCAGTTATCCCATAAATTTTGGCATGCATGGTAAATTTAACAACATCAAGATTATATCTTACCCCTTCAGGCTCACTGTGTATAGTTACACAGGTAGCACACTGTGTTTGATTATGATCTATTTCCCCTTGAATGCATACAGCACAATCCACACAACATTGCATGTTCAACTATACAAAGAACTCAAGTTGACTTAATTCTGGTCACCCATTGTTATAACTTGTATGTAAATGGTCTGAGATTTTAATTCTACCTTGTTTTTTTTTAACTTACAAATTAGAAAGTATTATTGTTGCTTTATACAATTGTTGTTTTGTTAAATTAAACCACATGTTACGTTCATTGGTAACTATTCCCTATGCCTCTCAGATTATTTTTGTAGATCACTTTTCTTTTTCCAGAAGAATATAATTCAGAAGTAACTTTAGATTTCGATTTGGGGGAAAAAAAATCTCAGTTTGGATTTTTCTAACAGGTTTTAATTTCTATCAAATTCTTGAAAAATGACTGGACATTTTTCTAGATTGCTAATTACTCTATTTAAGTGCATTGATTATTCCATTACTGTCTGGCTCTGTTGCTCTTGAGAGTTTAAATATCAGCATAATATTTCTTTCTTTGTAGTTAAACTCTTTTCTTTCTGCTGAAGATGATATTTTTGATGTACTGCAGTTTAAAGATGGAGAGTAGAGGTGAGGGTTTCATTTTTATTTTTTGATCCAGCAGCCTTCCTGTGTCTGAAGATGGTGTTTTTCAACAATTTTTACCACCATTTTCTTTAACGTATCTCTCCCGTTTTCTCTTTTGTCTTATCTGGAAGATACAGGTTGATACTCTTACTCCATTCTCCATCTCTCTTTACCTTTCTTTTGTATTTTCCATTTTTAGTCTGTGATACATGATGGCAAATTTATTCAAATATATTCTTCAACATGTACTCTCTTCAGCAGCATATCTAATCTTTTTACCCAATCTTTTATTATCACACCTATGTTATTCCTACTATTTTATTTTCACTTTCAAATGTTCTATATGGTTTCTTTTCAAATATTTCTGGTCAATGTTAATAGCCTTTTATCAATTCTTTATGTTTTCAATGCATTCTTTACCCTTTAATTACTTTTTGCAGGTCTGATTCTGTCATTTGTTGCTACTCTTGACTCAATGGCTATTTCTACATGTTCAATACTGGGGAGTGGGTTATACATTTATGTTATTTGGAACTTTATCTTTGGTAATTCCTTAAGGCCTAAGATTAGAAGCCAGAGACTACAAATTATTTAACTTTGCTTCATCCAGGTACCTGGAGGCATGATCAATTTCAGAATACTTTATACTACATTTTAGGCTTGAAGTTTGTTAGGACATCCTGATCATGTGAATTAAGCTCAAAATTCACCTGAAAAAGTTAAAATCTTTAGAAATGCTAGGAGAAGAAGATATATACTAATACTGCCTCTGTCTGCAAAGTAAGGTTTCATTTTCTACTTCCCTCCTTTGTAGTTCACCATTAATGGGTCCTGGCATTTTGTGGGGTTTGCAATCCTTCCCCCAAGTCTGGTCATGCCCTAGACTTTGTCTCTTATTCCTCTATTCATGGACCATTGAAGTTCAAAATCTATGGCAGAGACGTACAAATACCTGAGGACAAACACCAGCTCTAATTCTTCCTTACTCTTCTGGATTCTCTGTTTGTCATTGTAGCCTCTGAGGTAATCAATCCCTTTTCGCCCCAACCTGTTCTGATACACACTGGAAAAAAGGCTTTTGTTTCATATTGTTTTGTTTCTAAATATGACATATTTGGGTGTGTTGTTCCAGAAAAAAAAATCTCTGAATATATAGTTTACCATATTACTGGAAACTGAAGCCTCATATTTTCATTATTTACAGCTATTTTTTTCATATCATCTACAAGTTACCGGGTAGTTAGTTATTACGTGCCAGGCACTAAATTCTATCTATCTATCTCTCTATATATATATATGAGTGAGTGTCTGTGTGTGTATGTGTGTGTGAGAGACAGAGAAAGAGAGAGAGAGAGACCTTATTTTTACAACAAATAGTAATGTGATAAGAGGAAAGTAGCATGGAAATTATTGAGGAAAAAATAATCACTTAAGAGAATCTTATACTGTCCCTAGGTATAATTTATGAATTTATTCTAGATCTTAAGCCTATTTTTCTATAGATTTTCAATATTAGAGATTATAGACTAAACATGTTTGAATCACTTGTCCAAATCACTCTCTGGTTAATAGCAAAGAACAATGGTATGCGTTACTTTTAGCCGAATGGTACACAGACCTAAGGGTTTTGCCCAAGGCTTCCTTAATAACTACAACAGTTTCATATAACAACAACCCCATAAATTACCTGGGATGTATAGAATAAAAAATAGAAATTATTTAGAAATTATACTTTTGTGTGGTCCATTCTCCATCTGAAATACTCTGGAAATGTAATTAACACAGCCTCTCTGCTCAGCCTAGCTTCTTTGCTATGATGACAAGTCCCTGGCAAAAAGCCAGACTCTTGTTACAGCCAGTCTTTCTCCTTCTGTCCATGGTTTGCATAATAAAAGAAACAAGAAACAACCCATGTGAAAATTGCAAGTGTTACAGAATTGACAGGAAAAAAATGATAATTAGACAGAAAATGTTGCTCTTTTGCCTGTGTGTGCTAAGTGGATTATTTGCAGAGCCTCAGGCAAGAGTAGATATGAAGACTTATATACCATATACCTAAATATTTTAAAGTTATAAATAAAGCTACCAAATATACCCACATAATGTTATAGAAAACTAGGCTTATATTTAGAATCCTGGGACAACTCAGAGTTCTACTCTAGGAAGTAAAACATGAAAAGCCTCAGGCTCCTGGGATGAATGGCATCCTGTTTCTCTTCCCATTCCCTGCTATAATATGTCCCAAGGCTCAAGAGACCCTGTGCACATGTATGGACAGAACAGCCCACATTCTCTACCTCCTTTGACATCCTGCAAACAGTTTCTCCTTCTCCACCCATCTGATAGCAAGGTTTACACTTTGAAGCACTATTTTGGGGGAAAGGCTCATATAGCACTGCAAATGACTTCAGAGTAATTACAACAGAGGAATCCAGCATCCCTGGTTCTAGAGCATGCCCTAGAAGGAGGAGCATATCTCCATGGCCCTGAGGAGTTCTTAGCCAGTGCGAATCACTCAAAACACAAGGTTCATGGCAATTATCCACATTTCTATTGACTGTTCTGGTTGATCCAAGGAAAAGAAACTTCAGTGACAGGTATTAGATCACTCAATAAATATTAAGTATCAATTATATGTCAGGTACGAGAAATATAACGAGGGAAAGACATTGTTCTTTTCTTGAAAACACTCATAGACTAATGGGAGAATAAATAAGCTAATCACTATGCATAGTATAATCACATAATGGAATGCAGGTGGGTGTCCAAGTAGAAAAGTTCACTCTAAAACTAATGTTCTTAGCAACATTTCTCTGAGGAACACATGAGCACAAATTCTCTGTTTTAAAGCAGAAAGGAAGTGCTCCTTAAAATTTAGCAATTCCTCCTTTATCCCACAGTAGTCCCAGTGTCCGGACAGGCCACCACCACATGCAGGACTATAAGTCGACACAACTCCTCGTATAGAGGAATGCTAGCAGCAAGAAAATGTTTAAGAAATCTTGCAAACCACACAAAGCCAAGCAAGACTGTCAGGTGAAATATCTGTGAAACATGCCTTCTCTTATAGTCCCATAGCACCTATTCTGTACTTCCACTATGGCACACAGTACATCACATAAATGCTTAAATCACTTGTTTGCATCACTCATTATATTAGAAGCATTTAGAGAGAAAGACCTGATTTATCTTTGTATCTGTAACATGTAGCCGAAGGCTTGATCTCAAAGGTGCTCTTTTAACATTTATCGAATGAATTTCAGTTAGGTCTACACAAAATGTGTTTCATTTCAAAAGTAGTACTATAAAAAAAGGCTTTTGTGGAGCATTAGAATAATTTTCTGATATAACTATGTTTTCTTTCTTGTCTTGGTTGCCAGAAAACTCAAAATTAAATGTAATATTCACAAGTTGTATATTTTGATGTGTGCTTGAGGAACAGATAGGAAGATAAACAGCATATCTACACTACTCTTACAGAAGCGAAAAGGGAAGGTAATGGGGAACAAGCCTTTTATTTATTTATTTATTTATTTTTTAATTTTTTATTTTTCATTATTATTATACTTTAAGTTTTAGGGTACATGTGCACAATATGCAGGTTAGTTACATATGTATACATGTGACATGCTGGTGCACTGCACCCACTAACTCGTCATCTAGCATTAGGTATATCTCCCAATGCTATCCCTTCCCGCTCCCCCCACCCCACAACAGTCCCCAGAGTGTGATGTTCCCCTTCCTGTGTCCATGTGTTCTCATTGTTCAATTCCCACCTATGAGTGAGAATACGCGGTGTTTGGTTTTTTGTTCTTGCGATAGTTTACTGAGAATGATGATTTCCAATTTCATCCATGTCCCTACAAAGGACATGAACTCATCATTTTTTATGGCTGCATAGTATTCCATGGTGTATATGTGCCACATTTTCTTAATCCAGTCTATCATTGTTGGACATTTGGGTCGGTTCCAAGTCTTTGCTATTGTGAATAATGCCGCAATAAACATACGTGTGCATGTGTGTTTATAGCAGCATGATTTATAGTCCTTTGGGTATATACCCAGTAATGGGATGGCTGGGTCAAATGGTATTTCTAGTTCTAGATCCCTGAGGAATCGCCACACTGACTTTCACAATGGTTGAACTAGTTTACAGTCCCACCAACAGTGTAAAAGTGTTCCTATTTCTCCACATCCTCTCCAGCACCTGTTGTTTCCTGACTTTTTAATGATCGCCATTTTAACTGGTGTGAGATGGTATCTCATTGTGGTTTTGATTTGCATTTCTCTGATGGCCAGTGATGATGAGCATTTTTTCATGTGTTTTCTGGCTGCATAAATGTCTTCTTTTGAGAAGTGTCTGTTCATGTCCTTCGCCCACTTTTTGATGGGGTTGTTTGTTTTTTTCTTGTAAATTTGTTGGAGTTCATTGTAGATTCTGGATATTAGCCCTTTGTCAGATGAGTAGGTTGCGAAAATTTTCTCCCATTTTGTAGGTTGCCTGTTCACTCTGATGGTAGTTTCTTTTGCTGTGCAGAAGCTCTTTAGTTTAATTAGATCCCATTTGTCAATTTTGGCTGTGGTTGCCATTGCTTTTGGTGTTTTAGACATGAAGTCCTTGCCCATGCCTATGTCCTGAATGGTAATGCCTAGGTTTTCTTCTAGGGTTTTTATGGTTTTAGGTCTAACGTTTAAGTCTTTAATCCATCTTGAATTGATTTTTGTATAAGGTGTAAGGAAGGGATCCAGTTTCAGCTTTCTACATAGGGCTAGCCAGTTTTCCCAGCACCATTTATTAAATAGGGAATCCTTTCCCCATTGCTTGTTTTTCTCAGGTTTGTCAAAGATCAGATAGTTGTAGATATGCGGCATTATTTCTGAGGGCTCTGTTCTGTTCCATTGATCTATATCTCTGTTTTGGTACCAGTACCATGCTGTTTTGGTTACTGTAGCCTTGTAGTATAGTTTGAAGTCAGGTAGTGTGATGCCTCCAGCTTTGTTCTTTTGGCTGAGGATTGACTTGGCGATGCGGGCTCTTTTTTGGTTCCATATGAACTTTAAAGTAGTTTTTTCCAATTCTGTGAAGAAAGTCATTGGTAGCTTGATGGGGATGGCATTGAATCTGTAAATTACCTTGGGCAGTATGGCCATTTTCACGATATTGATTCTTCCTACACATGAGCATGGAATGATCTTCCATTTATTTGTGTCCTCTTTTATTTCCTTGAGCAGTGGTTTGTAGTTCTCGTTGAAGAGGTCCTTCACATCCCTTGTAAGTTGGATTCCTAGGTATTTTATTCTCTTTGAAGCAACTGTGAATGGGAGTTCTCTCATGATTTGGCTCTCTGTTTGTCTGTTGTTGGTGTATAAGAATGCTTGTGATTTTTGCACATTGATTTTGTATCCTGAGACTTTGCTGAAGTTGCCTATCAGCTTAAGGAGATTTTGGGCTGAGACAATGGGGTTTTCTAGATATACAGTCATGTCGTCTGCAAACAGGGACAATTTGACTTCCTCTTTTCCTAATTGAATACCCTTTATTTCCTTCTCCTGCCTAATTGCCCTGGCCAGAACTTCCAACACTATGTTGAATAGGAGTGGTGAGAGAGGACATCCCTGTCTTGTGCCAGTTTTCAAAGGGAATGCTTCCAGTTTTTGCCCATTCGTTATGATATTGGCTGTGGGTTTGTCATAGATAGCTCTTATTATTTTGAGATACGTCCCATCAATACCTAATTTATTGAGAGTTTTTAGCATGAAGCATTGTTGAATTTTGTCAAAGGCCTGTTCGGCATCTATTGAGATAATCATGTGGTTTTTGTCTTTGGTTCTGTTTATATGCTGGATTACATTTATTGATTTGCATATATTGAACCAGCTTTGCATCCCAGGGAAGAAGCCCACTTGATCATGGTGGATAAGCTTTTTGATGTGCTGCTGGATTTGGTTTGCCAGTATTTTATTGAGGAATTTTGCATCTATGTTCATCAAGGATATTGGTCTAAAATTCTCTTTTTTTGGTTGTGTCTCTGCCCGGCTTTGGTATCAGGATGCTGCTGGCCTCATAAAATGAGTTAGGGAGGATTCCCTCTTTTTCTATTGATTGGAATAGTTTCAGAAGGAATGGTACCAGTTCCTCCTTGTACCTCTGATAGAATTCGGCTGTGAATCCATCTGGTCCTGGACTCTTTTTGGTTGGTAAGCTATTGATTATTGCCACAATTTCAGCTCCTGTTATTGGTCTATTCAGAGATTCAACTTCTTCCTGGTTTAGTCTTGGGAGAGTGTATGTGTCGAGGAATTTATCCATTTCTTCTAGATTTTCTAGTGTATTTGCGTAGAGTTGTTTGTAGTATTCTCTGATGGTAGTTTGTATTTCTGTGGGATTGGTGGTGATATCCCCTTTATCATTTTTTATTGCATCTATTTGATTCTTCTCTCTTTTTTTCTTTATTAGTCTTGCTAGCAGTCTATCAATTTTGTTGATCCTTTCAAAAAACCAGCTCCTGGATTCATTAATTTTTGAAGGGTTTTTTGTGTCTCTATTTACTTCAGTTGTGTTCTGATTTTAGTTATTTCTTGCCTTCTGCTAGCTTTTGAATATGTTTGCTCTTGCTTTTCTAGTTCTTTTAATTGTGATGTTAGGGTGTCAATTTTGGATCTTTCCTGCTTTCTCTTGTGGGCATTTAGTGCTATAAATTTCCCTCTACATACTGCTTTGAATGCATCCCAGAGATTCTGGTATGTTGTGTCTTTGTTCTCATTGGTTTCAAAGAACATCTTTTTTTCTGCCTTCATTTTGTTATGTACCCAGTAGTCATTCAGGAGCAGGTTGTTCAGTTTCCATGTAGTTGAGCGGTTTTGAGTGAGATTCTTAATCCTGAGTTCTAGTTTGATTGCACTGTGGTCTGAGAGACAGTTTGTTATAATTTCTGCTGCTTTACATTTGCTGAGGAGAGCTTTACTTCCAAGTATGTGGTCAATTTTGGAATAGGTATGGTGTGGTGCTGAAAAAATGTATATTCTGTTGATTTGGGGTGGAGAGTTCTGTAGATGTCTATTAGGTCCACTTGGTGCAGAGCTGAGTTCAATTCCTGGGTATCCTTATTGACTTTCTGTCTCGTTGATCTGTCTAATGTTGACAGTGGGGTGTTAAAGTCTCCCATTATTAATGTGTGGGAGTCTAAGTCTCTTTGTAGGTCACTCAGGACTTGCTTTATGAATCTGGGTGCTCCTGTATTGGGTGCATATATATTTAGGATAGTTAGCTCTTCTTGTTGAATTGATCCCTTTACCATTATGTAATGGCCTTCTTTGTCTCTTTTGATCTTTGTTGGTTTAAAGTCTGTTTTATCAGGGACTAGGATTGCAACACCTGCCTTTTTTTGTTTTCCATTTGCTTGGTAGATCTTCCTCCATCCTTTTATTTTGAGCCTATGTGTGTCTCTGCACGTGAGATGGGTTTCCTGAATACAGCACACTGATGGGTCTTGACTCTTTATCCAATTTGCCAGTCTGTGTCTTTTAATTGGAGCATTTAGTCCATTTACATTTAAAGTTAATATTGTTATGTGTGAATTTGATCCTGTCATTATGATGTTGGCTGGTGATTTTGCTCATTAGTTGATGCAGTTTCTTCCTAGCCTCGATGGTCTTTACATTTTGGCATGATTTTGCAGTGGCTGGTACCAGTTGTTCCTTTCCATGTTTAGCGCTTCCTTCAGGAGCTCTTTTAGGGCAGGCCTGGTGGTGACAAAATCTCTCAGCATTTGCTTGTCTGTAAAGTATTTGATTTCTCCTTCATTTATGAAGCTTAGTTTGGCTGGATATGAAATTCTGGGTTGAAAATTCTTTTCTTTAAGAATGTTGAATATTGGCCCCCACTCTCTTCTGGCTTGTAGAGTTTCTGCCGAGAGATCCGCCATTAGTCTGATGGGCTTCCCTTTGAGGGTAACCCGACCTTTCTCTCTGGCTGCCCTTAACATTTTTTCCTTCATTTCAACTTTGGTGAATCTGACAATTGTGTGTCTTCGAGTTACTCTTCTCAAGGAGTATCTTTGCGGCATTCTCTGTATTTCCTGAATCTGAGTGTTGGCCTGCCTTGCTAGATTGGGGAAGTTCTCCTGGATAATATCCTGCAGAGTGTTTTCCACCTTGGTTCCATTCTCCCCGTCTCTTTCAGGTATACCAATCAGACGTAGATTTGGTCTTTTCACATAGTCCCATATTTCTTGGAGGCTTTGCTCGTTTCTTTTTATTCTTTTTTCTCTAAACTTCCCTTCTCGATTCATTTCATTCATTTCATCTTCCATCGCTGATACCCTTTCTTCCATTTGATCACATCGGCTCCGGAGGCTTCTGCATTCTTCAAGTAGTTCTCGAGCCTTGGTTTTCAGCTCCATCAGCTCCTTTAAGCACTTCTCTGTATTGGTTATTCTAGTTATACATTCTTCTAAATTTTTTTCAAAGTTTTCAACTTCTTTGCCTTTGGTTTGAATGTCCTCCCGTAGCTCGGAGTAATTTGATCGTCTGAAGCCTTCTTCTCTCAGCTCGTCAAAGTCATTCTCCGTCCAACTTTGTTCCGTTGCTGGTGAGGAACTGCGTTCCTTTGGAGGAGGAGAGGCGCTCTGCTTTTTAGAGTTTCCAGTTTTTCTGCTCTGTTTTTTCCCCATCTTTGTGGTTTTATCTACTTTTGGTCTTTGATGATGGTGATGTACAGATGGGTTTTTGGTGTGGATGTCCTTTCTGTTTGTTAGTTTTCCTTCTAACAGACAGGATGCTCAGCTGCAGGTCTGTTGGAGTACCTGGCCATGTGAGGTGTCAGTCTGCCCCTGCTCGGGGGTGCCTCCTAGTTAGGCTGCTCGGGGGTCAGGGGTCAGGGGTCAGGGACCCACTTGAGGAGGCAGTCTGCCCGTTCTCAGATCTCCAGCTGCATGCTGGGAGAACCACTGCTCTCTTCAAAGCTGCACCCACTATCTGGCACTCCCTAGTGAGATGAACCTGGTACCTCAGATGGAAATGCAGATATCACCCATCTTCTGCGTCACTCACGCTGGGAGCTGTAGACCTGAACTGTTCCTATTCAGCCATCTTGGCTCCTTCCCCCAGGGAAGAAAACTTGATGAGGAAACTTACCATGATGGTGCCAAGATTGACATCTCTAGCCCAGGGTGGCCCAGGGTGGCTTCTTCCTATCTCATTGTTTGTTTAGGTGAAGAAGAGATTTAATTTTTTAGTGAGTTATTTGATGTAGTATAGTTTCTGCTACATAGTAACAACTATTTTTTATTACGCATATGAAAGGTAGTCGTGTTAGGCAGAAAAAAATGGCTCCCCAAAGATGTCCACATCCTGATCCACAGAACCTGTGAATATATTAGGTTATTTGGCAAAGGGAAACTAAGTTTGCTAACCACCTGCCCTTATATAGTGAAAATACCCTGGATTATCCAGGTCCAATGTGATGGTTAATTTTATGTGCCAACTTGCCTGAGCCATGATGCCCATATATTTAGTCAAACATTATTCTGGATGTTTCTGTGAGGGTGATTTTGGATGTGATTTACATTTAAATTGGTGGGCTTTGAGTAAAGCAGCCCACCTTCCATAATGTGGGTAGGCCTCAACCAGTCAGTTGAAGGCCTGATTAGAATAAAAGACTTGACTTCTCCCCAGCAAGAAGGAAGTTTCCAGCAGACTGCCTTCAGATCTGGACTACAACTATCTTCTGATTCTCCAGCCTGTTGGCCTTCCCCATGAGATTTTAGACTCACTAAGCCTCCACAATCGCACAAGCCCATTTCTTAAAGTGAATTTCTTCCTATACATGTACACACATCCTATTGGTTGCATTTCTCTGGATAATGCTGACTAATACAGATTTTCGTACCAAGTGTAGTTCTAGTGGAGTATAATCCTAAGGATGAGTTTTCTGAATCGGTTCTAGGGTTTCTGGAATTGGCTCTATAATCTGATTAAACACACTAATAACTCTATTTCCAGTTGTAGAAAGAAGATTACTAGTTCATGACATGATGTGGCAATAGAAATAGGCAAAATATCACCACTGGAAACTCCTAATCAACCACTTATAAGAGGCAAGGATCTGTTGACATGTTTACGATACCTTTGAATATTTTTGTCAAACGAACAAGTATAATGAGCTTTGCTGCTTGCCGCTAGTACCCCTGAAGACAGTGGAGAAAGAAAAAGATGAGCTCAAGGATTTGAATTTCCAGTTCAGGTCATTTCCATTCCATAAATGACCTGAAAGTTACATGCCTACCCTGAAAAGAGAGTGTTATTTCCTGTAGCCACAAGGCTGGAATTGCTGAAAACCAAACCCAGGATTTCCTCTTGCAAGTGACTAACTTACAATGCAAATAGAATTCCCAGGCTTGCAGGGGGTGTCAACTAGTGAGGACATTGATTGGGAAGGAATGTGATCCTGAAAGTTGAAATAGGGATATTTAGCAAGACTCTGATAAAGATGGGGACGTTCTGAGTCTTCTTCACCATTAAAAATAGTAGATCCACTCCCAGTAGAAGCAACCTCTCCACCCCTATCTGAGATTAACCCTGAAAGTTGCCTTAAAAGATGCTAATTCCCCTCAAGATCCACCCCACCATCCTTCTTTGATACTAGACTCAGCACCCTAAAGATGAGGTACAAAGTGTGATCCATGAGGAAGTATGCTACACTCCAAAAGAAGTACTTGAGTTTTCTAATTTATACAGATTGAAATACAGAGAATATGTCTGAGAATGGATACTAAAGGTGGTGAATAGTGATGGAAAGAAAATAAAGTTGGACCAAACCAAATTTGTTGACATAGACCCATTGTGCAAAGATTCTGCATTTAATGTGGCAGCTTGGGGAGTTAAAAGGAACTCTAATTGGCTGGGCATGGTGGCCCATCTCTGTCATCCCAGCAGTCTGGGAGGACAAGGTGGGTAGATTTCTTGAGCTCAGAAGTTCAAGACCAGCTTGGACAACACGTTGAAAACCTGTCTCTACAGAAAATACCAAAATTAGCCAGGTGTGGTGGCACATGTCTGTAGCCCCAGCTACTCAGGAGGTGCAGGTAGGAGGATCACTTGGGTCCAGAAGGCCAAGGCTGCAATGAGCCATGAACCTGCCACCGCATTCTAGCCTGAGTGGCAGAGCAAGATGCTGTCTCAAATTTTACAAAAAGAAAAAGGTAGAAAGAAAGAAAGAGTTCTGTTTGGTTTGTTGGCTTAAACATGGGCCCAAAACATGACCAAGAGTGAATGAGTTAGAAATGCCAGATCTGCTTTGTTTACTGTAGATGAAAGGATTTAAAGGCATAGGGAGACTGGAATGTTAACAGTGAATTTGTCTAAGATCTACTCAAAACTATGTCCCCCTCAAAACTCATATGTTGAAGTTCTAATCCTTGTTACCTAAGAATGTGACATTTGGAGACAGGGTCTTTAACAGAGACAAGTTCAAATGGGGTCATTAGGATGGGCCCTAATACAATATACTGGTGTCTCTATGACAAGGGGAAATTTGGACACAGAGACATATATAGAGGGATGATCATGTGAAGAGACACAGGGAAAAGACAGCAATCTACAAGCCAAGGAGAGAGGCCTGGAACAGATCCTTCCCTCACAGCCCTCAGAAAAGAACAACCCTACTAGCAACTTGATTTCAGACTTCTAGCCTCTAGAACTGTTGCTTAAGACACTCAATTTGTGGTACTTTGTTACAGCTGTCTTAGCCAATTAATATACTAAGCATTTAACAGATGCTACCTTTATTATCATTTTTATCAATGCTGCATGTTGAAGAGTAGAGTCATGGAACTCTAGTGAAATGTATCAAAAGCTTTTAGATGTGACACAAAAGCAATTATCCACCCACTGGCATTGTGAAACTTAACTTTAAATGCACTATTTGCATGTTCAGGAATCAGCAAGAATAGGTTTTTGCTAACTAATTTTTTGGTTGTTCACTTATTTTGTTGTCTCCTATATATTCTTACTTTGGGGTTTGCTACCTTCTTCCTCCCTGGTTTGTAATTTACCCCCATTTAAACCAATTGCCTTTTTCCTAAATCACACATATAGAAACACAGTTCGCTAATGCTGTCATCTATGTGTTCCTTTAGACAAAGCTTACCATAATGAACATTTCCATTTATTCAGGAACAACATGTGTACAATCACGTTCAGGACTTCCTTCAGATTTTTCTCATTCCCCATTGATTCTTCAGCATTTAATATACAATAAAGATACACACTAAGAATTTGTACTTCAGGAAGGTCTTTTGGATTATCTTCCTAAGAACTTTTCCTCTTCATAACTAGTTGAAGTTTTAGAAGGACAGAGATCTGTTCATTAAATAGAATTATGTCTCCCATCAGCTTCAATCTAGACAGCCTGTCAACTCAGCTATTTTCTTACATCCCTCTCAAATCTATCTCACAAAGATATTTTGCTGGCAAAGTTTTCATTTATTTTATTTATTTATTTATTTTGTTTTTTGAGACAGGGTCTCACTCTGTCACCTAGGCAGGAGTATAACGGCACAATCTTGGCTCACTGCAACCTCTGGCTGAAGTGATCCTCCCACCCCAGCCTCCCGAGTAGCTAGGGCCACAGGTGTGCACTAACACACCCAGCTAATTTTTGTATTTTTGGTAGAGACGGGGTTTCACCATGTTTCCAAGGTTGGTCTCAAACTCCTGAGCTCAAGCCATCCACCTGCCTCGGCCTCCCAAAGTGCTCTGATTGCAGGCATAAGCCGCTGCACTCAGCCCACAGTTTTCATTTCTATCTGCTCCCTTGTTAAAAAATAAATGACTATATCCCCATTTTCTTGAAAGTGTGTACACAGAGCACCATTAGAAGCCAAAACCTAGGCTTTATTACTCCACATATTATAAAGATACTCTAAAATAAAGTATTTCTAAGAACCCTGATTCCTTCCCTCCAATAAATATTGAAAAAGATGGTATCGATAACCACAAAATTCATGCAAATATAAATATGAGATATCCCAAAGTCTTAGTGAATTTCTAAGCTTTAATAAACTCAGAAGTATAAATACTACACTTACAAAGACATCATTTTAAATGTTACATCATTTTAAATATTAATTACTTATATTGCTTTCAAACATGTTTTTCAATTTAAAGAATAAATTTTTAAGTTTTTGTTTCAGTCACTGCGGGTGGTTCACTTTGATGAAAATTTTAAAAATTAAATTTAAAAGTACTATTCAAAACACAATTCTAAAAAGGGCAGAAAGAAATCAAAATTAGTTTTCAAATGATGTCTCTCTTTCACTTGTAAATATTTATGCTTCTGGAGTTACTAATGCCTTAAAATATCACTAAGACATTTGGAACACCATGTTATTAATACACTTTTTTCTTAAACATGTCCTTTTCTCCAATATAATCATATAATTTTTATTTTCATGGTAGGAAAATGTTTATTTTTCAGTTTGAATCTAGCAAACCTCAGCAGACCGATTTTGTAGCTGCCAATTAAAACATTGTTCAACAACTGCCCTGAATAATAGGCCAATCTTTGTCTCTTTCTACCATGCATTAAAGTGTATTTCTATTGGAATTCCTCTAACATATTCATCACCAAACTGTAATGCTGAAACTTCATTCAATGTATTTACATTTTATATGTTATCATTGCTGAGGGCCCAGCTTAAAATCCAGGTAAAGAAATAAGAAGTGAGGTTTCTTCCATAAGGAATATTGCAAAACAGAAATTAAAGGCACAATTTTACTTCTCAATCTGTGTAATCTAACTTGGTTTACAATTAAAGAATGATTTTAATTGTCAAACTTTTAAATTTTATTAAAATGTTTGGAGTAATGCACGGAATGAATTCCAGACCTACATAAATACACTGGCAGCTGTTGGTAATTTGCATTTTTATCAGTTTTGAAAGAGCACAATGTACTTCCTGCATCTTATTTTCAGAATTTGCATTTTTATCATCTTTGGCTATCCACTACATAACATGGAGTACTTGAGTATCTCATTCTTTGAATTTTCATTTTTGATTGTAAATCAGATGATGTCTGGCAATTTTTTCTCATTTTTCTCTCTCTCAACCTCCAGGTTTACTTGCTCCCATTTCTTCTTGGCTCTAATAATAAAATACACAAAATATTTCAATTATTTTCTTGTTTAGCGCACTGATATTTTGTTCTTCTTTTGCTAATTACTTGCCGTAAATCTAAAGGCAAAGAAAAACTAATCTTACTGTTTTAACTTATAAATTTTCAAAATGCCATTCAAATAGTCCACTTCTTTTTGATTCTTACTATGTTTTGCATTTGGATGGAGGGGTGGAAAAGAATGGAAGTGACACCGTATATAAGGCTGTGCTATGGGACATGCAGAATGAACAGAACGAAGGCTCCATCATATGGAGACAAGCACCTTCACTCGCACCAGCAATATCCCTATTACAAAGGACTTGTGGCCTCAAGAGAAGGTCACCAATGAGAATGACATCTCCAGTTGCCTTCAGCTTCTGCCCCTAATTCCCACAGACATGTGCATTCTCCTCTATTATTGCATTATCCCCACAGTATCCAACAACATTTTTCCAAAAGGCTTCTCCTGTCCGCCAGTGCCCTAGAGGAACAGACTCATGGCAGCTTGTGTTTTCTGCCTCCTTTCCTCCAGTAGTCCATCTGTCCACTGGGAAATGTTGAAAATGTTGCTCTGTGACCTAGCAGGAATATGTGCAGGAAGAAACATAAGCTAATCTTTCTCTTCCTATTCTGGTGATGACAACAATTGGGAAGGATAAGCATTGTGAGGTTATGCATTTCCCAATCAAAAGAAAATAAGAAAACAAACTATTTCATTATAAAATCTAATTTCTTAAGTCCTCATTCTTCCTCTGCATGTAAATTTAGTCCAATTCAGTGATTTATTAGGCATCTCACTTTTACATTTCAGTCACATTCAGATTTAAAATTTTTTCTCAGGGTGTTCTCTGTACCCCACCTCCCTGCTACTGATCCTAATTTCTGGGAATTGGAACAGGAGAGAATGGTTGTGGTTGTGAGAGAGCTAGTAAGAGAATATAATTTCAACAGTCCTGACATGGATGGGTCCTGTGCTGGGCTCTTATTTTTCTTTAATGGTGGCCTAGATACCCAGTCTAAGGTTTCTTGAAATTTAATGTGTATCTTAATCACCTGGGAATGTTGTTAAAATGCAGATTCTGATTCAGCAGGTCTGAGATGGAGATCCTACATTTTAAAAAAGCTCCCAGGTGATGTCATTGCAGCTAGTCCTCAGACCATAGTTTAGTTAACAAGGATTTGGTCAGTGGATGCTGGCTCAGTTTCTCCTTGGCTCTCTGACAGAAGCAATCTGTCAAGATTACAGCTAAATACTGACCCACCCCAATATGGCTCAACAAAGTCCTCTTTCTGGTGCTTATCCTTTTAATCCCAGCCAGAAGACTTCATTTGGACCCACTGTTCCTCTCTCCCATGAACCTTCTCCCACTTGAGGCTCACAGGAATGTGAGATGCCCTCCCACGCAACCTTAGCACTTGAAAAATCTCAAGAAGCTGTCTCCAGTCCTCTCATATTAGACATGGCTTGTCTTCCCCCTAACCCAGATAACAGCAAAAAATTTCTCTTCAAAGCTTTTCTCCCTAGATTGCATCTGGGAACTGCAACACAGCCATACCTCTATGCATTGATTCAGTGCTACACATAGATGGTACATGTATTATGTGCTGAAGTGACCCTTCCTTTCCTAAATGTCTTCTGTAATTCATATTTAACTATCTGGTATGGGAGGTGAGAAGGCTACTGAAAGACAAGAGAAGTCATTAAGACAGGGATAAGGGAGGAGCACATCCCTTAATACTCCAAATATCACTTCACCCATAGGAGGATCATAGGAGAAAAGGCTATAGAGCTCAACAATTTCAAGTTTCACCCAGGATTTTCATCAACTCTTCACCTCTTTCCCCACCCCCCAAATTCAGTGCTATCACATGTGAAAATTCACACAAAGTTAAAAGAAAGTATGATCAATTAAATAGCACTGCAGCAGGGTTCTCTTGCAGCACAGTATGATTTGGGAAAGATGGGGGGAAAATGGAAAACAGTTATCCCCAGTATATAAACATATAACACATATCTGTGCCTTGAGTCACAGTTGTAGTCAGTAGGAGTTCCCTAACTGGAAATTTTTCTGAAATGTTCAGTTGTCTGAGAAGTAATCGAAAGCATTTTATCCCCTGTAGATTTCCAAACCTACTGAACCAGCCCAGGAGAGTCTGGGAAAAGACACCAAGCTGTTTAGCAAAAGAAAAACCTGAGGTCAGGGATACAACAAACCTCTACCCTGAGGAGGTTCCAAGGAACCCCAGTCTCCCAGAGCGCAGAGTTCCACAAGGAGGAGACCACAGTCCCTCAGAAACTACTGGCTGAGAAATTTCATCTTGGATGTCCTGTCAGCCTATACCAGCCAATATTTGTCTATGGTAGATATAGTAAAGCTTTAATGTCTTGTGTTAAAATACAGTTTTACACATTTGCTTCGCAGCACAGCAAAAAAAAAAAAAAATGCATCTTAACGTATTACATGATTGCTGCAATTACTGTTTATTGTCCAGGAAAGAACTGTATAAAAACGTTTTTGGGTAACACATAAAAATAGGCAAAGAGGAACACAGTAAAACAGTAAAATTACATTACTAGTAGACAAGATATCTACTAAACTCCAAGTAATTAAGTGTGCATGTATATCTTGAAATTTTTATTTATCTTCATGTTTTCTAAAACACTCCTTGCACTTGAAAACTTATTCATTTTCAGAATTGCATGATACATTAAAACCACTTATAAATAGTTACCTGGATATATCTTTTCACTTTTTGAATATGTTTTTGAAAAAGGAATTCGTTTTCGCCAGGCTGAATCATTATATGATGTTGACGTATATTTGTCTGAGGGAAAAAAATCCAGAATTAAATATTTTATAACTTTAAAATCATATTCCAAGGGTGTTTCAAAGTTATAAACATCTCAGGGGTGAAGCTATTCTCTAAGTAATTCATTTTACCATTTCAAAGCTAAGGCATCAGGGATACAAGTGAGTTTATTAAGACCATTTAAGTTATAAGTGAGCATGTTTTTTTTTGTTTTTTTTATTATTATTATACTTTAAGTTTTAGGGTACATGTGCACAATGTGCAGGTTAGTTACATATGTATACATGTGCCATGCTGGTGTGCTGCACCCATTAACTCGTCATTTAGCATTGGGATATCTCCTAATGCTATCCCTCCCCCTTCCCCCACCCCACAACAGTCCCCAGAGTGTGGTGTTCCCCTTCCTGTGTCCATGTGTTCTCATTGTTCAATTCCCATCTATGAGTGAGAACATGCGGTGTTTGGTTTTTTGTCCTTGCGATAGTTTACTGAGAATGATGATTTCCAGTTTCATCCATGTCCCTACAAAGGACATGAACTCATCATTTTTTATGGCTGCATAGTATTCCATGGTGTATATGTGCCACATTTTCTTAATCCAGTCTATCATTGTTGGACATTTGGGTCGGTTCCAAGTCTTTGCTATTGTGAATAGTGCCACAATAAACATACGTGTGCATGTGTCTTTATAACAGCATGATTTATAGTCCTTTGGTATATACCCAGTAATGGGATGGCTGGGTCAAATGGTATTTCTAGTTCTAGATCCCTGAGGAATCGCCACACTGACTTCCACAATGGTTGAACTAGTTTACAGTCCCACCAACAGTGTAAAAGTGTTCCTATTTCTCCACATCCTCTCCAGCACCTGTTGTTTCCTGACTTTTTAATGATTGCCATTCTAACTGGTGTGAGATGGTATCTCGTTGTGGTTTTGATTTGCATTTCTCTGATGGCCAGTGATGATGAGCATTTTTTCATGTGTCTTTTGGATGCATAAATGTCTTCTTTTGAGAAGTGTCTGTTCATATACTTTGCCCACTTTTTGATGGGGTTGTTTGTTTGTTTCTTGTAAATTTGTTGGAGTTCACTGTAGATTCTGGATATTAGCCCTTTGTCAGATGAGTAGGTTGCATGGTGACAGATTCTTAATTGGCTGTTCAATGCTTCAAATAAGGGTAAGCTACAGGAGGGTATGATATCTAAATGTAATAAAAATTTTGACTGCATCACTTCATCATAGTTTTGCATAAATTCTGCTAATGTTTATTAGAGCTTTTATTTAAAAACTGTGAAACTATGAGGTACAGCCCAAGTCCCATGTCCTTCCATGAAGTGACTTCCATGTTCGCAGTAATTGGTGTGATGCAATACCGACCTCACTGCCCCAGATAGCCGAAGCATTTATATCCTCACCTGGTCCTTAAATACTTATTTTTCTCTGACATATCTACATTTCTGCTACTGTCTAACAATGTTATATTTGTGTTTTCAAATATTACTATGCAGCTGTGTTCTCAAAGCATGATCCGTAATACCAATAATTTGCATTTCTCTTGTGTTGACATTTGCACTAATGGTGCAAAAGCAATATAGAGTATGAATTCTGGCACCTTCACACAAACCTAGACATTGGCAGCTCTTCTAGTACTCATTGTATTCTTCACAGACATCCAGTTGCAGTAAAATGATAATAACAATAACAATATCAGTAAATAAGATAATAGTAATAAATAAAATTAAAAGCACGTTTCACCTAAGAATATCCTTATTTACAAATACACATCCATATATCATTCTATTTTAAAGCAAAAAGAAAAATAATTTAAATAAGCTAATGTATATTTAAATTGTAAAAGAAATATATATACCTACTGTGTACTCATAATTTTAAAAAATTTATTAAATTATAAAAGAAACTTAGAAAGATATAGTCTTATGTTTCCATAAGTTCAAAATATTCAGAACTCCACTAACTAAACCGTGAACTTAGAAAAATACAAACATGAAATCATATAGAATTGAGCAGCATTTTGTTAAGTTTAGAGAACTGAAACCCAACTTCAAAAGAACAAAATCCATCTGAGACATAGGAAGAAAAAGAGATAAAGAGATTCGGTTCTCTTCTCCCCTGTAACCTTGTACTTCCTGACATATACTATGACTTTGCCTATTACATGATGAAATGATTTAGAAGCAATCTATCCATGGTGAGAGAGATGAGAGGTTGTCAAAAATATGGCAGTTAATCCCCAAACCAACCCTTTCAGAAAATAATCATGAAGGCCTACAGAAAAGTCAAGGCACTAGCCTGACAGTGAAAATTGAACAATGCAGTTAGTGGAACAAGAAAATGTCAGCCATTCAAAAACAGTCCTCCTGAGTGACATGAAGCTGTCCTGGAGGAACAAAGTGCAGTGCTCTGAGAAAAAAACTCTAGGGAGGTGCAATCTGAAGTCATCTGCACACAACATGAGTTTTCTTCCATATCCTTTAAATCATGTGCAGGACTGCACATGGAAGAAATCCTCTCACTAGTTTCTATGGTGGTGATGGCCAGGGTAAAGAAGAGGGGAGTAAGTAGTAGTGAAGTTTAGCCAAGCTGTCAAGAAATTCCATGGGAATGCAAACCACAGACAAGAGTAAACCACATCAACAAAGGACCTCACCTGGACTGAGGTTGGGTTTGGGTTCCCTGTTAGCATGGACTTTATTGTAGGACCCATGCGTGGGCCTGCTGCGGGAAGGTGCATTCAACGCGACAGTCCTGACAGCATCTCTTTGAACGTGGATATAGGATGCATTCTCCGCATTTCGATTTTTATTATTGCGGTGATAACTCATTTTATTTTGGGGTCTTGGGGCCTGTACTGCTGTAAAGAAAGGTGGGAGGGAGTGAGGAATAAAACAGGCTGGTTTCACACCCATAAATAACATATTGCACTGCAAATACTTCATAGCATAATGGAAGCCAATAGAAGCCAAAATAATTAAGTTTAGAGAAGTTGAGTTGACCCCTAAAGTAACATTTACGTCACATGACAGTAATTTGTTTTTCAGGTAGAAGATATTTGATATTTAATCTCTTTTAAAATTACAATTTAGAAATATCAAATATATAGACACCTTACCTCTCTGCATTCCAGAGTTAGGAAAGTTCTGTGGTTCATCATAAATCCATTTTCTTTTCTTCACACCTTTAAAATGAGGCTTCTTCACTGGCTGGACATCATTCACTTAGAAAAGATACAAATTTTACAATTTTTTAAGAGATGCTTTCATCTCTGAAATTACTGTAGGTGATAATTACATATCTGTGCATTCACATGTCAAGCAAGAGGAAAAAATAAATGCACCATCCTAACACTTTACTTTTTAGAACAAAAGGTGATTTATTTTTAAGTGCCAAAAAAATCTATCTTGGAAATAGATTGATGAAATAACTTTCAATAAGTAGCTTTCCTCAAAGAAAAACACTTTCCTCCAAAGGAATGTGTGGATTCTTTTAAAGGAACATAAAATTGCATTCAAAATATAATTATAAATCTCATTATAATGCTATTGTTAAATAGTTTTAGAACTCTTATTTTCAACATGAATTTTTTGTACTTTTTTAGCCAAAACTACTACTTCTTAAGAAGTTGGATTAATGTAAAATACTTTCAGTGAACTTTACCTTATTATTTTAAGCTCTTAAATTGGGTGTACAGATAGTTTGGTCAAGATTGAGCAATCAGAATTTATAAGTTCTAAGAATATTAAATTTTTCACTTTGTATATTTTTACATCAATATTTTATATGTATTCTCAATTTTTCAGGAATTTCTATGGTACATATCTCCAGAGAATCTTAAAACAATTTTGTAGAGGGGGCATTCTGTTACTTCACTGTGCAAGGCTCCTGAAAATTCACAAGTGACCGCTGCACAGAGAAACTGAACATCAAGTGTACAGTGTAGACTACATTAGTTCTCTACAGTAAACTAATTAATCTTTCTGTGCCCTAACTTTCAGCTTTAGCTTTAAGCCCTCAATAAAGCTCTGATTCACTGTCTCCTCCTCAAACATCATGCCCCTGATCCACTCCCAAGCTCCCAGTGCAAGGATTTGGAATCCATATTTTTAACAAGTGCCACTGAACTGGGCTTCTTGAGGGCAAATCACAAGTATTCCCATCAGTGCCAGGCTGCGATCCAAGAATATTATAGGGGTTCAATAAATAAAACAAGGAACAGAAGGAAGAAGGGAAGGGATCAGGAAGATTCACAAGTCTTAACTGTATCAAGAGAAGTAGCTCACTGAACCGAATGTCAGTGAGAAGCCAAACTAATAAAAAATAATCCAAAACATAATAAAAAGCTGCCAATGTATTATTCCACTATGGGCGCAATTTAAAAGGTTATGCTAGTGAATCTTCCAAAAAGGTAGTGTATTATTCATTTTAATACCAAAATTAAACTAGTGGGAGAGCATATAATTTACTAGGACCTACATCACAGCTCATTGTCAGAGTTAGTTAGTAGAGGATATTGTGTCTTTAATTCTTAGTTCTGAATAATTTTTAAACCTTTTTTCTTTCTTTTTTAAAATTCTATTTTAAATAAGCAAAACAAATCCATGGTAAGACAAATATATCTGAGGCCAAAAAGTGATAGAGCTAATGTCTCACTTGAAGAGGGGTCCTCTCTGCACTTCATACTGATATTCTCAGTAGCATTTAATACATGCGTTGTAGGTACTAGTCGGGTAGTTAGGGAATGCTTTGGATGAGGACTGTCCTTGTTATCTTTTAAAGCAAATTAAGAAAATAAAATGTCAATATTAGTTTTTAAAAAAAGCATTTCAGTTGTTATTTCACTATTCAAACATTACATAATGGGAACACCTCTTTAAAATAATATATATATTTATGAATTGAGAGAAAAGCATCATTAACATTCCCTAGTTGCCACGTGGATTTCAAAATGTCATGAGTAACAAAACAAAACTCGGAAACTATAGCCATTATTTTCAATATGTAAATAAAAAATCGTGGCAGTATTTTTACTATCTCCATACAAAAGATTTAAAAGGTTTTACATTTTTACATTGAATGGTCCCATTTAAATTGGGGTTCTGAAAATATTTCAAATGTAACAACTTTAACTTGCTATATGCTTTGGAGCAGGACTCCTTAGTAGGGCTTTCCACAATGATGAAAATGTTCTAAATCTGTGCTGTTCAATATGGCAGCCACTAGCCTCCTGTGACTATTGAGCGCATGGAATGTGGCTAGTGCCAATGAAACACTGAATTTTTTATTTTATTCAGCTTTAACTTAAATTCAAAGAGTCATAAATAGCTGGTGGCTACCATATTAGTATAGCTTTAAGAGTTTCTTTGATGGACTGGGGAAAACCTTTCCATCTCTGACTGAGAAAATGAGAGAAAGATTTACAATTTTCCACGAAAATGATTTGATCACAGGCAACCTTTCCTATGCTTGAGATATTTAATGGTAGAGATGGTAGATAAAATGGGTTTACATTTTGATTGAAAGTATGTGAAGCCCCCTAATTACAGGACAGCTGTACTTTTAGTCTGCGACTGAGAGGCACTCAGCAGAGAGATAACAGCTGGTGGATTTTAAGTACAGTTAAGGGCAGTGTAAAACTATAGAGGATGTATTTTATCATATCTCTTGATTATTCACAGACTAGTGTTAGCAACAATTATAAAATACAAAAGTCTTTTTGAGATTAAACTCTTCACAATGTTCACAAACAACGTTTTCTAACAAAATTCATTTATACTGATATTATAAATTAAAGGACTTGGTATTGCCATTTAAGAGAACCAGTAACTTTAGAACTAGCAATACTAGAAATTATACAGTCCAACAGGCTATTTTTCAGGTAAGAAAACAAAAAAATGGTCATACAGTTAGGGGCAGAGCCAGGACTGGAACCTTAGAGCTCTTGACTCCTATTCAGTGTATATTTTGATTTATTACCATTCCTCTATTGGTTTTTATAACAAGCAAGCTTGTCTTTAACTTGCCTAGCCAAATTACAAATGAATCAAAATTATATAATATTCATTACCTTTAGTATTTGAACATTTTGATATGGTGATTTCTTTCTCTTCAGTTAAAGCTTCACTTTCATCGACTCCAAGAAATATGACCCTCTGTGGAACATAACAGTCACCTCCTATGACAAAACCTTACTGTCAGTGGCAACAATGGCAGAAAGTGATACAAACTAGCTTTCAATACAGGAACATTTTCTACAATACCCCTTTTGTTCACCTTTCTTTGGACACTTCTCAGTGATACCATATCCATCTCCATACATTTATATGCTTAGATTAATACATGAGTATTAATATATATGTATATGAATATGCAGTATGTAAACTTACATATAGATAATTGCAAGAAAATTCAGAGTCAACAAAATTTTCCTTAATGTATAATAATCTTTAGTCCCACCCTTTAGAGATACTCAGAGTAAATGTAATTTATCTTCCATATAACATCTTCAGATATATTAAAGCAGTTTCCATATTTCCCCAAGAACTTCTATTTTCCAGGATAAATATCCATAGTTGCTTTAAATGTTACATACAAAATTCCAAAATTCTTCACCATACATTACCTTTTCTTAACATATTTGTTTCAAATAACCTTATTTTAAAATGACACCCAAATGTGAACTAAGCTGTGGAGAAATCAGCAGAACTAGTAAAATAATACTTGCCATTCATGGAGTAATTTTCTAGGAATCTGACCCTTTACTGAGTACTTTAAATCACATTTAACTATCTTTCTATACTGCCTCTAATAATCCAATGTGACTTTACCATCGCTATTTGGTAGTGAAAACACACGCCTAAATTGTTGTAAAACATTGTGGCCAAAAAAACTCACTCTATTTTCCCCTCAAAAACGCCATCATACTGGGTTTTTCCCAAATTAAAGAAAAGCCACTATTTAATGTTTTGTACCTAAATGTAAGAATGTATGTTTATCATTGCTTGAAGTTACCCTGTAAGATTTGGCTCATTGTTCCAACAGATTAACCTCCAGTTAACTGTAAATTTTATAAACATGTCTACATTCACCCAGTCATTCAATGCATTTGAACATATCATCCTTTATTCTACAAGTATTTACTGAGTGCACATAATGTGCCAGGCATTCTACTACAGAGATTTATCTATAGTGATTGATTATACACAGTTCCTAGCCTCAAGGAGCTTACACAAAACCAGTGATAAAAATGTCAAAAAGATTTTTGGTTTCTACCATGACCAAAATGGCTTTTATTAGAATAACTTTCATCCCAAAAACAACTATAAAATACCAAAACAAACTGATTGGAAAACAACCCAATGCATGTGACTGCAATGCCTGAGAGCAATGGAAGGACACAAAGTCAATTGTATGTTCACATTCACCCTGGCTTTTTTCCCTGAAGGAGTTACGCTCCACACTTACTACGGATTTTTCCCTGAAAGCATGTCTAATTCATCATGTAAGGAAATAACAAGCAGAAAGCGACACCAAGGAGGTGAAAAAGAAAGAGCCGAAAGTCTGGGACTATCTAATTGGTTTGAAATTGAGGGGGAAATGAAAAAAGAAGAACAACAAAGAAGTTCCTCTGAAATAGGCATAAAACTCCCTTTAAACTGTTATCTGACTCCCATACTTTTCAGGTACAGTGTGGAACCCTAGGAAATAAGCAAAAACTGCATCTGGGAGGCTAAAAACTGGTCAGAGATTTCAGCATCTACATACTGCTTGGGAGGTAAAATTTGGCATTCGAGCTTTGCCAGAGTAGAGGTATCTTGGTGAACATCCCATGTCTCAGTTGATAACCCAGTAAAGCAATGCTTTAGGGGTAAGGGTCTTGTCCGAGGAATAAGGACTATACCTTCAAAGAAAGGAAAAATAATGTATCATCTACGGCATCATCCCTAATAAAGCCCAAAGCTAGTCCTTCACAGAATCAAGGTGGTCTGCTGATAGTCTAGCTGCCTGCCAGGAGAAAAGTTTCTCTGTGGAGAAATAACATCATTCATACACTATGTAATTTTTATCCATATTGTTCAGCATCAAATAAAATATTAGAAGGCATAGTAAGACAGGACAATTGAGCAAAAACCTGAGGAAAATGAAAGATATCCAAGCGTAATCAAACAGGAAGTTGCAAAAAATAACAAGAACATTATCAAAATAGAGAACTGATGGAGAATTTAAGTAGAAAATCAATAAGAAGGTCAAATAGAAATTTAGAATTTAAAATACGGATTAAAGAGCAGAGAGGAAGAGAATTAGTGAACAGGACAGTAGGTTGTCAGAAAGTATCCAGATTTATCTAGAGAAGTCAATAAGAAAAAAATATTTTAAATGGGCTAGAGACTTAAAAATGCACCAGACAAAAGAGAAAGTCAAAATGGCCAATAAGTTTATGAAAAGGTGCTAACATTATGAGTCATCAAGGAAATACAAATTAAAACTACAATGATGTACCACTAGCCACTCACCAGAAAGGCTAAAGTTAAAGGACTGAAAATACTAATTGTGGGTAAGGATACAGAGCAAGCTAATCTCAAAGAAAAGGTGTGCATATGGCCTTTAGAAGACATGTACAAGAATGTTAATAATAGTCCCAAACTGGAAATATTGTCTGTCAAATCCCAATATCAATACTCATGGTGCTTTCATGCATTGTTTTTATGTTTGTTTGTTGTTTGCAAACGTACGCAGAGTGGTGAAAATTTTGAGTTGCTGGACCCGCACATTCCTAGCTGAGGTCTAACAATGGCAGTGCTCAGCATTCTCATTTCAGTTCATACAGAGATGATCAGAGAATGGCTGGAGACAGGAGAGGGCAGCACAGCATGGTGGAAGAAGCTCTGGCTCTGGGGAGAGGTGGAAGGGGTTTGAGTCCCAGTTCTGAGGCTTGTTAGTGAGGCAACCTCAAGAGAGTCACTTAAGACTTCTGAACTTTGTTTTCTCTTTTGTAAAATAAGGAAAACAGAATATACCAGGATGAGTAATTTCTACGATTTAAGATTATAATCTGTGTGAGATGTAGGTATATGTGTGTGTGTACATAGTTCCCCGAGGAGCAATGGTTCAGTGTTTGCTAATTCAGTGTTCATGTCAGCTTTATATATAGCAACCAGGAATAACAAGAATCAATTGTGTGTGTGTTTGTGTGTGTATCAACTGTGTGTATATATATACTATATACATAGAGAGAGAAATGCCCACGTTTGTTTTCATATATATGTACACATATACAGTATATGTCTTACATGTAGATATGTGTGTATATATGTGGTATATATCTATCTATCTATAGAGATTTACTGCTACAATCAACATCATGGATCAGTCTAATACAAAGAGCATTAAGTAAAAGAATCCAAACTAAGAGTTCAAACTGTATATTTCCACTTATATAAAGGTCAAAAAATGCAAAATTAGCCTATAGTAATAGCGACCAGAGTACTGGTTACCACTGGGAGAAGACTATTGACTTGGAGAGAAAGAGCCATCTGGAGTACCATAAATATGGTTATATTGATACATACACAAGTAAAATTTTAACAAGCTATTCACTTCAGATCTGTGAACTTTATTAAAGTGCAATAACACATTAAAATAATATTAAGACAAGACAATGCCTCAAGTATTTTTCTTGAAATGAATACTAATTCATTAATTATAATTTCAGTTTTGATCATCTTCATTTCAAAGATGTCTTATGAATGCAGGAGCCTAAATATGTTTAGATATATCTATCATATACACATACCCAGAAGATTATTTTATCTAGTGACACAGAGAACATTATGATGCCTGGAAAATCAATAAGCTTGACTATACCAGAACTTAGTATACCAGATAATGGAATTTTTTAAATATTCTTTTAGTATGGTTTTTCAACTAGTTCATTACTCTAACAATATTATTAATATTAGGCTAATGACAGTATAATGACATTCTCACATTTTCTAACTCCCAACAAAGTAGGTAATATATTATTAATGTTACAACGTGAAGGAAAGTTTATTTTTATATGAAACCATTAGTCTATCAATGGTTAAAAATAACCTTTTATTAACCAAAAAAGCTATCTGATTTAATGATATTTCAACAAACTGTTCGATTAGAACTGCTCGGGTTAAGTGGATCCCACTTATATAGGTTAAATAGACAGTGGGAACTCCGTTAGGAGAGACTGCCAGTGTTTCTAATTTGTAGCTAAAACTTATTGCTTCAAGGCAACCAAACAATTACAGCTAGACTAAAACAATTACAGCTAGACTAAAACAGCTAGACTAAAACTGCTGCAGATGTAAGAAAGGAGAAAAAATAATCAAATTACCTTAGCACCAAAAAAAAAGGGCAGTGGGGGGCACACAGAAGAAAATGGCTGACACCAGGACAGCAGAAAGTATCACCAATATGCCTAAGAGATACTGGTACTTACTGATACCTGCTCTCAACCTCCTTCCTACTCTTCACACACATTCTTCCCATCAGCCACACCTTTCAACCTCCCCACAAAATCTCTATATATTTTCAAAACAAACGCTTGGAATTTTCAGTCAAAGGACAGATTTTCCAACATGTTTATGCTAAAAAGCAGTTCCAAAATATTTAAGCTATAATACACAGTTAGAATGTGATGACAAATGATATATATTTGAATATAGCTCCTTTAAAGTAGACTTTAAGTCCACTGGGCTCGGTGGCTCGTGCCTGTAATCCCAGCACTTTGGGAGGCCAAGGCGGGCAAATCACCTGAGGTAAGGAGTTTGAGGCCAGCCTGACCAACATGGTGAAACCCCGTCTCTACTAAAAATACAAAAATTAGCCGGGTGTGGTGGCACGCACCTGTAGTGCCAGCTACTTAGGAGGCTGAGGCAGGAGAATAGCTTGAACTCGGGAGATGGAGGTTGCAGTGAGCCGAGATCGCACCACTGCACTCCAGCCTAGGTGACAAAGTGAGACTTCCATCTCATAAATAAATAAATAAATAAATAAATAAGTAGATAAATAAAAAGTAGACTTAATCAAATGATTTATTAAGTGCCTCCTTCATTTATAGCTCTGTTATAGTATATTACAGCACATACATAACACCTGAATTCATTATAGTCTGGAGTTGAGCCTACACACAGACACACACACACACACATACATGCACACACACACACAGGTTTCTCATTAAAATATGAAAAATGGAATGTCTTATACACTGAACACAAATTCGCACAAGGTATTTGGCAGAGATTTTGGTCTCTGAAAGCAACTGATTTTGTGATATACCTCCAAACTCTTGTGTTAAACATGACATGGACAAAAAAAGAAAATTAGTTGTAAAAGATAAAATTCAGACTCATTTATTATGTGGTGATATATTCAGGGTCAATCAGTAATAAATTAACTCACCTCCATTTTCAAAAGCAGCAATGTCAGTCTTTGGTTTCCCATGCAATGATGTTTTTATTTCACCTTGCCTTTCATATTGGCTAAGTTTTGTCGGAACTGTAAGACTATCTCCTAGAAATAAGAAGAAAAAAAAGTCACCCCAGAAATTATTAGATGCTTAAATAAGAAATTTATGATAGAATGCATGATGAAAGTAAAAAAGCTTTAAAGTTAATGCAAGTATTGTTTGCACAGTGATCTGATAAACAATAAATTAATAAATACATGAGTTTTAAATTCTGTGTCAACAAAGAAGTAAGCAAGTATATTCTCCTATTTGGATTATTTATTCAATGGCAATTAAAAATTGTAAGCAATCTAACACTATTGTATATACATAATATATCTAGTTTGATATGTTTCTCATATAAGGAATTTTGTAATATTACTTTTGATTTTATCTGTTCACCATGAACAATCAGATAAAAAGTATTAGAGTCACTATTGACTACAAAATGCTAACTACACTGATAATTAAATAATACTCTCAGCTTTCCCCATGCATTTCTGGATAATTTTCTTCTAAAATAAACTATTAAAAGCAAAATAAAAGAGACATGACAACCTAATGCAATGTGTGATTCTGGATTGGATCCTAGACTAGGGGAAAAAATTTATTTTACTATAAAGCACATTAATGGCATAATTGGTAAAATTTGTGGGAAAAGAAGGTTATAAATGATATTCTATCAGTGGTTATTTTCTGATTTTTATATTTATACTACAGTTAATGTAAAAGCAAAGAGGTATCATGTCTGTAACTTATTCTCTCGAACAATTCAGAAGATTATAATAACAATGTGTATATTTAGAGAGAGTGAAAATTCAAATGTGGTAAAATGCTAACGTTTGAAGGAAATCTAGGTGAAGGGTATATAGGAATTAACCAAAACTATTTAAAAATAAACAGCCTTTTAAAGCATAATATAAAGCAAAAGTACATATAATTGTCTTTATAATCTGCCCTTTTTAATGTTCATTGCTAACTTGTTTTCTTCTTTTGTTTTTGTTTCCTTTTGTTTTTTCTTCTCTGAGCAGTGCTGGCCTGCAATCTGTCCTTCCCTATATGGTTCCCAAGGTTTGCGGGCTCTTCTCCGTCTGATGGTGTGTTGCTGCCACCTATCGCCACGTTTGAATAGTTCGCTACAAAACAGACTTGCACAACATATTGCAGATGTTCATCCACAGTAAATCAGATTCTCCAAAGGTAAGCGCCATAAAAAGCAGAGCCTTCGATTTGTTCTCCAGCATGGCCTCTGAAATAGTCTGGTCCACAGAAGACTTTCATTCAATGACCAAATAATCTCTGTTCTGCCACTAGTGTCATTCTGTGATCTCTCTTTTGTTCTTCTTGGGCTAGTCTTACTTTTCTATTCAGAAAGAAAAATCTAGACCTCTTTGGCAGGGGGATTTATTTCAAAGACAAATAAAATGGTAAAAGCAAATTATTTACAGCATTACCCCATGGAGTGTGTAGTGTCATTACGTGTTAATGAAGTCTATTCATTCTGTCACCTCTCTAGGATAACATAATCCCATTAATAGCAGCTTTGGGTCATCCAATACAAACACTTTCTTCTAGTGCTCAATTACGATGTATTATTTATCACTTTATTCTTCTGTACATCATACTAAATAATTCAGTCTATCACACCAAGTATATGTTATAGATCACTATGAATGCTGCCTTTTCATTTCTTACCTTCTTGCAATTCACTGCCATTTTCCAAAGGCTTTTCTAACTGTTTTTCTGCTGTAGGTGTCATGCTTTTTGATGACAAAATATCTGGAGGAGTATGAAATCTGTAGTATTCCCCTAATCAACCATAAGAAAAGTAATGGTTAGTATATTTATCACATCAAGTATTAGAAAATACAAAAATGTTTGATTTCTTACCAGATTTATAACACATCTCCTTTATTGCTCTTTTTTCTTCAATTTCTTCAGGGGTCTTTGTCCATAAACTAGAAGCATCTATAGGATATAGATTTTTTAAATTAAATTGTCCCAAAGCCAATTAATCTGAAAATTTATAAACCAGAAAGGAAAACCCCAAATACTGTTCTCATGGATAGATTACTTTTTTATATTTCTAAAATCAATAATTTTACATACTAGTACATGTTTCAAATTGCTACATTTTAAGTATTCAAAACAATGTCAAGAGAAAACAAAGGGCTATGTATTATGTACTTTGAAATGAGACGCTGAATGTACAGACTCAATGTTGAGATGGTGTATGTTTATTTCGAGGTTGATGTAGGCATGAGAGACATGGAGCTGCAGCACACAGAAATAGTAATAAATAGCTCAGTGTACTCCTAAGCACAGAAACTATGGTGTCCCGTAGTCCATAGAAGGACATATTCCAGCACAAAGACAGATCGAGAGTTTTTCTTCATGTTTATCTTGTATATACACACTTTCTGGCACCACTGTGCTGGGTTGATATGGGAGGCAAAGGATGAACTAAAATGCAAAAGACATGGGTCCTAAGCCTGTTCATACTCTTGTGAGGATGACTTAGAATAATGCAGATGACAGTGATTTATAGATTATTAACTACTACATAGATCTCTATAACTTCCAGGATTAAATGTGAAACTGATATATTATTAATACATATGTAGATAAACAGATACACTTGTGCATCAATGTTTTAGAAACATATATAAAAAACATAGCTTATTAGTATCTCTATAAGCATCTGTAGATATATAAATATCTATATATATACATTTATATAGATATACATTTTACTTTAAGTTCTGGGATACATGTACAGAACGTGCAGGTTTGTTACATAGGTAAACACATGCCATGGTGGTTTGCTGCACCCATCAACCCGTCATCTACATTAGGTATCACTCCTGATGTTATCCCTCCCCTGGCCCTCCACCCCACAACAGGCCCTAGTGTGTGACATTCCCCTCCCTGTGTCCATGTGTTCTCATTGTTCAACTCCCACCTATGAGTGAGAACATGTGGTGTTTGGTTTTCCATTCTTGTGTTAGTTTGCTGAGAATGATGGTTTCCAGCTTCATCCATGTCCCTGCAAAGGACATGAACTCATCCTTTTTATGACTGCATAGTATTCCATGGTGTATATGAAGCACCTAAATATACTTAAGCATCAGATCTGTCTCCCAGCTATCGTACAACAAAAACTTTCCAATCCAAAAGATCATAAATATGTAGCAAATTAGAACATAATGAATTAAATTAGTTTAATACAATTATAGTTATTTTCTCAGCAAAATCTGCCTTATATATTACATCATAAACCTTTACAGTTAAACACATATGTAAAAAATGTGAGGTTTTTGAATGTGTATTGTAAACCTGAAAAAAGTTCTACTAACCATTTTGTTCATCTACTTCCTCTTCTTCCTCAAAATTAGTTTTTAAAACTAAAGGATGGTGGATGGGTCGTGATATATTTTCCTGAGGTTTCAGAGGTTCTTGACTCTGGGACTGGAGTGGAATTCCTTCCTGAATTTCTTTCTGTAGTGTGATATCTGCAGAGAAAATGCAACATTTCAGTCTGTTCAAGATATATGTGATGATAAGTAGATGTAACAATCAATCATTGCCCTCCTAATTAACTATATATTATTTTAAAATGTGTACAATAATAATACATTAATGGATTGTGTTTCTACACACTAGCAATGATTAAACTGAAAATGAAATGAAAAATAATCCCACTTACAATAGCATCAAAGAGAAAAAAGTATTTAGGAATTAATTTTAACATAAGATGTGCAAAATTTATATTCTGAAAAAGATTCTGAAAATATATATATTGAAAAAGATTTTTATCTTATTTCAATAAAATAAAAATATTGTTGAAAGAAGTTAAAGAAATGTTGAAATGGAAAGATATCCTTGTTTATGGACTGATTTGTATTTGGTATGGCAATATTTTCCGAATTAATCTATAGGTATGATACAACTCTTATCAAAATCCCAATGGACTTATTTGCAAAAATTGAGAAGCTGATTCTAAAATTTATATGGACATTACTACAAAACTAAAGTAATCAAGACTATCTGGACTAGCATAAAAATAAAAGTAGATCGATGTATCATTGGAATAGGACTGCAAGACCAGAACTAAATCTTTATATGAATCAATTTATGCTCAGCTGATTTTCAAAAAGGGTACATAGACCATTCAATGGGGGAAAAAATAGTATTTTCAACAAATGTTGCCGGGACGACTAGATTGCCACATGCAAAGTAATTAAGTTGCACAACTTCATCACATTAGAAACAAAAATTCATGCAAAGTGGATGTAAGAACAAAATGAAAGATCTGACACTATAAAACTCATAGAAGAACCCTTAGGTCATGAAAAGTTTTTTAGATATGACACCAAAAGAAAAAGCAGTCAATGAAAAGTAGCCAGCCCCCTGGCACATGGGGGTGAGCCATGATAACACCTGCCAACAAGTCCCAGATTTTGCTGGAAAGCAGTTCCCAGCCCTCTCAGCCAGATAATGAAGAAACACTCAGAACCCCAAGGTGACACAGAAAGAATAAATAAGATCCAGCCTGGGCAACATGGCTAAACCCTATCTCCACAAAAAAATACAAAAATTAGCCAAGTGTGATGGCGCACACCTGTAGTCCCAGCTACTCAGGAGGCTGAGGTGGAAGCATCACTTAAGCCTGAGAGGTTAAGGCTGCATTTAGCCGAGATCATGCCACTGCACTCTAGCCTCAGCAACAGAGCAAGACTCTGTTTCAAAACAAAAACAAAAACAAACAAAACCAAATGAGATATCACTTCATACTACAACGATTACAATGATTAATTTCTTTACTAAAAAGACAATAACAAGTGTTGTCAAGGATGTGAAGAAACTAGAATCTTTGTACACTGCAGTTGGGAATGAAAAATGCTGCAGCTACTTTAGAAAACAATTAGGCAGTTCCTCAAAAGGTTAAATATGGAGTCATCACATGTCCCATCTATTCCATTTTTAGCTACATACCAAGAGGTGTGAAAATATATGTCTATATTATACAAATGTAATCATTTGTACACAAATGTTTATATCAACATTATTTATAATAGTCAAAAAGTGGAAACAACCTAAATTTCCATTGTCTGATAAATGGATAAATAAAATGTGGCATATCCATAGAATGGAGTGCTATCTGGCTATAAAAAGTAATAAAGTACTGTTGCATGTGAGAGCATGGATGAATTTTGAAAACATGCTAAGAGGAAAAAGTCATTCACAAAAAATAATATATTATATGATTCCATTTATACAAAATATCAAAAATAGATATATTTATAGAAACAAGAAGTAAAGTAGTGACTGTGTAGGTTTTGGGAATTGGAAAAAAATGAGGAGTAACTGTTAATGAATGTGAGTTTGTTTTTTGGAGTGATCCAATGTTTCATTGGAAAGAAATGAGAGGTAACCGTTAATGGGTGTGGATTTCCTTTTTAAAGTGATCCAATGTTCCAAAATGGAATATTGTTCTTTGATCCATTTTGAGTTAATTTTTGTTTATGATGTGATGCAGTTGTGCTACTTAATTACTTTGCATGTGACTATCTAGTTGTCTTAGCACCATTTGTCGAAAATACTATTCTTTTCCCCATTGAATGATCTATATGCCCTTGTTGAAAATCAATTGAGCATAAACTGATTGATATAAAAGTTTATTTCTGGTCTTACAATCCTGTCTCAATGACATATAGATCAATTTTTATGCTAGTCCATATAGTCTTGATTACTTCAGTTTTGTAGTAACTTGTAGATTTTGAAATCAGGAAGTGTAAGTCCTCCAAATTTGGTTTCCATTTTCCTGATTTTTTTTCACTATTCTGGGTCCCTTAAATTTCCATATAAATTTTAGAATCAGCTTCTCAATTTCTGCAAATAGGTCCATTGGGATTTTGATAAATTCTACATTAAACCTGTGGATCAATTTGGAGAATACTGGCATACCAACCACAAAGTCAGTCTATGAACAAGGATATCTCTGTTTTTCAAGGTTTTCTTTAATTTCTTTCAACAATCTTTTGTAGTTTTCGAATATAAACTTTGCACATCTTATGTTAAATTAATTCCTAAATATTTTTTCCTCTTTGATGCTATTGTAAGTGGGATTTTTCTCATTTCACTTTCAGTTTGTTCACTGCTACTGTAAAGAAACACAATCCATTACTGTATATTAATATTGTATCCTGCAATGTTGCTAAATTTATTTCTAATAATTTTTAGATTTCTAGAATTTTCTAAATAAAAGATCATGCCATATGCAAATAGAGATAATGTTGCTCTTTCTTTCCAATACAGAAGCCTTTTAGCTGATGATGTTGCAACAATTTCCCTGTCTTGACTGCAAATGACAAGAATGAACAACCTTGTCTTCTTCCCAATCTTAGGGGTAAAGCTTTCAGTATTTCATCAAGTATGCTATCAGCTGTGGATTTTTCATATATATTCTTTATCAGGTTGAAGAAGTTTTCTTCTGTTTCTAGCTTGTGGAATATTTTTTATAACGTATGTGTGTCAAATTTTTATCAACTGTTTTTTATTCATCTGTTAAGATGATCATGTGTCTTTTGCTCTTTATTATATTATTGTGGGTATATTATTATTATTATTATTATTACAGAAATTGATTTTGGGAAGTTAAACCAACCTTGTTTCTGAGTTAATCTCACTTAGTTATGGAATATAATCCCATTTTAAAGCTGTCAGATTTAGTGTAATCGAATTTTGTTGAGTATTTTTCAGTGTCTATATTCATAGGAAAAGTTTGGTCTGCAGTTTTCGTCTGATGTCTTAGAACATCTCATAGACATGAGTTGGAAAGTGTTGCATCATCTTTTTTTTTTTTTGGAAGAATTTATGACAAATTAGTACTAATTTTTCTTTAAATGTTGGTTACAATTCAGTATTGGAGCCATCTGAGCCCAGATTTTAATTGTGGCAATGTTTTCAAATACCCAATCAATCTCTTTATTCCTATAGATGTATTCAATTTTTTTCTTTTTTTCTAGAGTCAGTGATGGTAGTTTGTGTCTTTCTAGAAATTTGTCTATTTTATATAAGTTATCTAATTTGTTGAAATATAGTTGTCCACATTATTCCCTTTTAATTCTTTTTATTTTCATAATATTGGGAGTGATGTCTCATTTTTTATTTCTGATTTTAGTAATTTCAACCTATCTCTTTTTTTCTTGGTCAGTCAAGTTAAAGATTTTTAATTTTCCTGATTTTATCAAATAACCAACTTTTGATTTCCCTGATTTTCTCTATTGGTTTTCTTTATTCATATTCTCTAGTTCATTAATTCCTGCTTTAATTTTTATTATGTGCTTCATTCTGTTTGCTTTAGGTTTAATGTGCTTTTCTTTTTCCAGTGTCTTAAGGTATAAGTCTAGGTTATCTATTCGAGATTTTTAAAAAATATATAGGCATTTACAACTTATATTCTTCTAAGCACTGCTTTACTTCATGTCATGAGTTTTGGTATGCTATGTTTTACTTTTACTAAACACAAAGTATTGGCTGATTACCCTTGTAATTTTCTTGTGATTTCTTGGTTATTTACATGTGTGCTATTTAATTTCCATATATTTGTAAATGTCTCAATTTTTTTCTCTCAACTTTTAAAACCATTATATTCAGAAGACATACACAGCACAATTTCAATCATTTTAAATTTATTCAGGCTTACCTTATCACCTAGAATGTGATCTATACTGGAAAATGTTTCTTGTGCACTAGAGAAAAATGTGTATTTTACAATTGTTAAATGGAGTGTTTTGCTGATGTCTGTTAGGTCTAGTTGCTTTACAGTTGTTCGAGTCTTTTATTTTCTTGTTTATAATTGTTTGCATGGTATATATTTTCCATTCTTTTATTTTCAGCTTGTTTGGGCTATTGAATTTAAAAAGTGTTTTCTGTAGACAGCATATAGTTTTATCTTTAATTTTATTTTCACAATCTCTGCCTTTTGATTGAATTTTTTACCCATTCACATTTAATATAATTATTGATATAGTTGGATTTAGGTACACTATTTTACTTTGTTTTCTATATGTTTCATGTTCTGCTGTTTCTCTTTCTTTTACACTGATGAATATTTTCTAGTATAATATTAAATTCCTTTAATTCTTCATTTTTATAATATTTTCTTAGGTTGCTCTATGGCTTACTATATGCTTCTTAACATCAGAATCTATTTCACTTTTATACTAATTTAACATCAGTGAGATAGATATAAGAGGTTACTCCTATATAGCTCTATGCCCTCTTCCTCCTTTCTGTGCTACTATTGTAACATATATTACATTTCTATACATGACAAACCCAGTAATACATTGTTATAATTATTACTTAAGATAATTGTATGTTTCTTAAAGGAGCTAAGAGGGGAAAAAGATCAAGTAGGTATTTATAGTTTGTTCTATAAACAGAGACTATTAACCTTTTTATTTATAATTTCTAATTCTCATCATTTGTTCCTATGGATTTGTGTTACTATCTGGTGTCATTTCTTTGTCATCATACAGTTTTGCTTCCATCTGCCTCTTTTGTGTGGCTATTATTAAATATATTACATTTCTAAATGTAACAGACTAAAAAAAATTGTATGTATTGTTTTATAAAATTTTAAAATCAGATTATAGAAGGAAAAGAAATATGCCCTTATGATAGTTTTATACTTACACAACTACCTTTATCAGCATACTTTGTTTCTTCATATGGATTTGAAATACTGACTCAGGTCACTTGCTTTCCACCTGAAAGTTTTCCTTTAGTATTTCTTTTAAGGTAGACAAACTGGCAACAAATTCTCTCAGTTTTTGTTTTCTTTGAATGTCTTTGTTTGCCTTTTTATTTTTGAAATACAGCATTTAAAACTAGTTTTCTGGACAAAGATTCTCGATTGCCACAATTTTTTTTCTTTCAGTCTACAGTGATTACTGCCTGTATTGTTTCTGACGGGAAGGTAGCTGTTAATCATACTGGGGTTCTATTATATGCAATAAAACATTTTTATCTTGTTGTTCTCCAGAATTTGCCTTTATCACTGGTATTTATCTTTTTTCATATGATGTGTCTGGCTGCAGGTATATTTGTGTATATCCAACTTAGAGTTTGTTGAGCTTCTTGTATATGCAGATTAATTTTTTAATTAAATCTGGGGAATTTCAGCCATTATTTTTTCTTTCCTTACATTTTGGTAAAATGCCTCATATTTCTCTTAGGCTTTGTTCATCTTTTTTTTCATTTATTTTTCTCTTGATTTTTCAGATTGTATAATCTCCGTTGATTTATCTTCAAATCTACTGGTTCTTTCTTTTGCAGTTCTCAAATCTACCCTTGATCCCTTATAGTATTTTTTTCCCATTTCAGATATTGTGTGTTCAACTCCAAAATTTCAATTTGTTAGGGTTTTTTCGTAGTTTTTACCCATTGATAGTCTCTATTGTTGAGATGTTGTCATAATACCGTTCTTTACTTCTTTATGCAGGAGTTTAGGTCTTTGGACATATTATAATTACTGCTTTAAATCATTGTCTGCTCATGAACACTTTTCAAAAGAAGACATATACGCAGCCAACAAGCATATGAAAAAATGCTCATAGTCACTAATCATTAGAGAAATGCAACTCAAAACCACAATGAGATACTATCTCACACTAATCAGAATGGCTATTATTAAAAAGCTAAAAAAATAGCAGATGCTGGCAAGGCTGCAGAAAAAAAGGAATGCTTATACACTGCTAGTGGGAATGTAAAATTAGTTCAGCCATTGTGGAGAGCAGTTTGGCAATTTCTCAAAGAACTTAAAACAGAAATACCATTTGACCCAGCAATCCCATTATTGGGTATATACAGTCTACCATGAAGACACATGCATGTGTATGTTCATCACAGCACTATTCACAATAGCAAAGACATGGAGTCAACCTAAATGCCCAACAATGGTAGACTGGATAAAGAAAATGTGGCACATATACACCATGAAATACTACATAGCCATAAAAGAGAATGAGATAATGTCCTTTGCAGCAACATGAACGGAGCTGGAGGCCATTATCCTAAGCGAACTGACACAGTAATAGAAAACAAAACACTGCACCTTCTCACTTACAAGTGGGAGCTGAACATTGAGTACACATGGACACAAACAAGGGAAGAACAGACACTGGGTCCAACTTGAGGGTGGAGGGTGAGAGGAGGGTGAGGATTGAAAAACTACCTATCAGGTACTATGCTTATAACCTGGGTGACGAAATAATATGTACATCAAACCCCAGGACATGCAATTTATCTTTAGAACCAACTTGCACAAACAAACCTGTACCCCTGAAGTCAAAATAAAAGTTAAAAAAAAAATCAATGCATAGTTGAACATCACAATCCTCTCATAAGCATTCTGTTGCCTCCTTTATTTCTGTATGTGGATTATAATTTTCTGTTTCTTTGCATGTCTTATAATTTTTATTGAAAGCTCAACATGTGTGATAATACATTGTAGCAACTCTGAATATTGACTTCTCATCCTAAACCTGAAGCTTGTTGTTTGCTTTTTAATTTTTGAGTGACTTTGTTGGAATATTTTAGTAAAATTTATTTTCTCCCACAATATGCAGCCTCTGTTGTCATTCCTCAGAGGATGTAGCCTTGGCATGTCCACAGTTAACAGGGATAACACGGACTTTAGCAGGGCTCATTTTGCTCCATTCCCTGGTTTCTCTGTTAAGCTGTCCACCTCTGTTGGTATCACACTGAGATGTTAGCTTCCATTCATTGCTGGTGTAATGCCCCATTGTTTTCATCAATGCACTAGGGCATAAATTGCTCCACAGTTTAACCCAAGTAAATTGACTCCTTTGCAGAGCTAAGCTTTGAGCCCAATCTTTCAAGTTTGTTCCAATCCCAAAAGAACTCTTTTTATTTTATGTTATTTATTTTATTTATTTATTTATTTTTTGGAGACGGAGTCTCGCTCTGTCGCCCAGGCTGGAGTGCAGTGGCGCTATCTTGGCTCACTGCAAGCTCCGCCTCCCCGGTTCAAGCGAGAATCCATGTTTTTAAACACCAGGCGAAATTGCCTGCCCAGTAGTTACCTGCAAGGTGTTCCAGTATCCCCTTCTGGGATAACTAGAAATGGAAGGCCAGGAGCTGTTAATAGATCAGAAGTAGTAGACTAAAGATTGACAAAGGACTATGTTTTTTTGTTTTTTTGGTTTTTTTTTTTTTTTTTTTTTTGAGACGGAGTCTTGCTCAGTCGCCCAGGCTGGAGTGCAGTGGCGCAATCTCGGCTCACTGCAAGCTCCGCCTCCCGGGTTCACGCCATTCTCCTGCCTCAGCCTCCCTAGTAGTTGGGACTACAGGCGCCCGCCACCACGCCCCGCTAATTTTTTGTATTTTTAGTAGAGACAGGGTTTCACCGTGTTAGCTGGGATGGTCTCGATCTCCTGACCTCGTGATCCGCCCACATCGGCCTCCCAAAGTGCTGGGATTACAGGCGTGAGCCACCGCGCCTGGCCCAAAAGAACTCTTTTTAACTGTGTCTTTACCGGGTTGTCTTTGGTAAACTTCTAGCTGGTTTACAGTTTAGTTTGCTGCTCTCATGGAGCTACTAGCCTCCTCTTAATTGCTTATCCCCAATCACCATTGTTTTCAGAGCGTCCCTAATCTTAAACTTCCCCACACTATGTTCTATTCCAAATAAATTCAGTTCTCTTTCCGAGAGCTTCAGAGTTTTCTACTCTCTGCCTGCACAAAATCTCAGTGCTAATGCTAAGAGCAAGGACAGTCACTTAATTCTTTTGGAGTGACGCCCTGTTTTAAAATTGGGGCACAAAGCAGGGGTGGTAATTTCTGGTGTTTACAACTTGTGCCTCCTGGCATGGGACCTCTATCCATGCTCCAACTGAGGCAAAGGTAATTGAGGTCCTGTTATTCCTAGCCTGCTGCACGTGGGATAGAACTTTTGCTTTATGCTTGGGGCTGGATGAAAACAAGATTCAGGCCTGAAAAATAGAGCTCTAGCAACATGGAGTTGGGAATTGGAGAGGATGAGAAATGTTAGCAGCTTTCTCCCCCCAGAAAGGTACTATAGTTCTTGACTGGAAGCTGGACGTAGAAAGAGCTCTGTGTTCTTGGCTGTATCCATTCAGAGTAGAGCTTCTGTCACACTAAACAGAGAGGTGGTGAAAGGAGTGGGTGGTGGTTCCAATACAACTGACTTGCCATTTTTACTGGCTTTAGTATATTTTATTGAATTAATACGATTTCATTTGCTGTATGCCCTTAGGACAATTTCTTAACACTTGGAAACATTTTTAACATATAATTTTCATCAACCATTGAAATCAATTGTTATTTCACTAGGGAACAGGTTCATGGAATTCTTCGCAACATCATTCTGAAAGTAATCTAGTCATCACAATTTTTTAAATGCAAGTAGAATTATTTACAAGTTTGCCAAATTGTTCACAATATCTTAGAAAAAAACCCATAGATACAATTTTCAAATAAAATCTTCCAATTGAGATAGTTAAGATCTCTTTTATAATATTGTGAAATCTTCTAATTGAAGTGAGTCCTCATCTTATTTAAGTTTATAAAATGTTTACTATATTGTAACTGACTTAGCAAATATTAGAACAACCTGCTCGTTCTGAATATTAGTTTTTAGCAAGTGTCTTAGTCCATTTGTGCTGCTGTAACAAAATATCTGGGTAATTTATAAACAACAGAAATTTATTTATCACAGTACTGGAGGTTGAGAAGTCTAAGGTCAAGGCACTGGCAGGCTTGGTCTCTATTGAGGACTCCCTGCTTCCAAGATGGTGCCTCGTTACTGTGCCCTCTGGAGGGGATAAATGCTGTGTCCTCACACAGAAGAAGGCAGAAGGGCAAAAGGGCAAAAAGGGCCAAGCCCTGTGTGAAGCCTCTTTTATGAAGGCCTTAATCCTATTCATATTCAACATGGATTTTGGAGAAATACAAACAAGCCATGGCAGCAATATATACCTTTTTTTGTTTTATAAACAGATAAGAATAATTTTGATCATTAATTCACCTAATGAAGAGGTAATTTTCTTATATAATTGTACTTTGATATGCAATAATTATCAATATTTGTAATGTAATTGTTGTTTTAATAAATTAAATGCCAGTGATAATTGTAATAATAATTCAATCCTAAAGGCATGTTAAAGACCATATGGCTTTAAAAGTGGAACTTTATCATCGTTTAAAAAAATGAAAATTTAAATTTATATATATTTTTGTTATATTAATTTTAATAGGTGATCAATAAACTCAAGCATAAAAATATTAGGTTAGGGTAAAGATATGTGAAGAAAGTTAAACAGCAATAGCTTTTTTTTTTATCTTTTCTTTTCAGTTCAGGGGTACACGTGCAGGTTTGTTATATAGGTAAACTTGTACCATGGGGGTTTGTTGTACAAATTATTTCATCACCCAGGTATTAAGCCTAGTACTCATTAGTTATTTTTCCTGATCCTCTCCCTCCTCCAACCCTCTACCCTCTGGTAGACCCCAGTGTGTGTTGTTCTCCTCTATGTGTCCATTTTTCTCATCATTTAGCTCCCATTTGTAAGTCAGAACATGCAGTATTTGTTTTTCTGTTACTGCATTAGTTTGCTAAGGATGATGGCCTCCAACTCCATCCGTGTCCCTGCAAAGAATATGATCTCATTCTTTTTTATGGCTGCATGGTATTCTATGGTGTATATGTATTAATACCACATTTTCTTTATCCAGTCTATCATTGTTGGGCATGTAGCTTGATTCCCATGTCTTTGCTATTGTGAATAGTCCTAAGTGGCAATAGTTTTAACAGAAGGAAATAAAGAATTGTTTCTTAATATAAAGAATTATTTATATAATTCTTAAATAAAGAATTGTTTGCTTAAGCATTTTTTACCTATTTAAAACTGTGAAATATAACACATACACAGAAAAGTACAGAAACTATAAAATATATATTGTAACAAGTATCACAAAGCCAACACCTAAGTCATGTAATAATAGCCTCCTAAACATCCTCTTCATTCACACAATTTTCCTTCCCCATACCCACAATAGGTATCTTCATCCTAACCTATTGTAATCACTTTTTGTTTGTCCTTATGATCTCACTACCAAGTATGCATCCCTAAACATAAAGTTTAATTTTGCTTATGTTTGAACATTTTATAAATAGAGTTAAGCCATATCTATTCTTTCTTGCCTTCTTTCATTTAATTTTATCTGTTAAATACATCCTTACTCACCTGTTTCTCCTATTTTCATCACTGTCTAGTATTGAATGAATGTACCACACTTTATTTATGCATTCCACTGTTGTTGCACATTTGACGGTTTCTAGCCTTTGGCCATTACAAACTGCTGTTACGTGCATTCTTGTATTTAATACATGTATCCAGATGTACACAGTAATGGATTTCTCTAGGATATATGCTTCAAAAGTGGAATTGCTTGGTCCTAAGTTATGCATAATTTTAACTGGACAAGATAATGTTAGGCTGTTTTCCAAAGTACTCGTATCCGTTTATATATCCTTCTACAGTGCACAATAATTCCTAATGTTCTTTGTCTTCACCAAGAATTGATAGAATTTTTGATATTTGCCAATAATATGGGTATATTATATCTCAAAGTGCTTTCTGTTTGGATTTCCCTAACTATTAATAAGACTGATCATCTTGTTTGTTTACATTTTAATTTCTTCCTTTTCAAATGCCTGTTTATAAGCTTTCTGTTTATTGTTCTATGATAGCAGTTCTCAAGCAGAGACAATTTTACTCCCTACGTACTAGGAAATATTTGACAATGTCTGGATATATTTTTGGTTGTTACAACGAGGAGATTTCTATTAGAATCTAGTAGGTAGAAGCTAAAGATGCTGCTAAACAATCTACAATACATAAGATAGGTTCCAACAACAAAGAACTATCCAGTCCAAAATCTCAATAGTGGTAAAACAGAAAAACCTATTCCATTAGGTTCTCTGGCCTTTCTTGTTGATTTGTATTCAAGTATTGACTTCAGGTCTTTCCTTGGAGTCACATAAGCACACATGCTGCAAATATTATCTTATTTGGTGGTTTATCTTTTTACTTTTTTATGGTGTTTTTGATAAATACAAATTTTAATTTCAGTGCAGCCAAATTTATTCATATTCTCTGAAATGGTCAATATTTTGTGACCTTATTATCTTTTGAAGTATTCAAATATTGGCCTTTTACATTTTGATCAATAATTGACTCAAATTGATTTGTATCTATTGTGTGAGAGAGAAGTCCATTTTTCCCTCATTAACTGAAAAGACCACCCATTACTCATCCATGCTACCTACTACAAATCAAGTGTCCAATCCGTTTCCATAATGTAGTGGTTATCATGTTCACCTAACAAATCAAGTGTCCATCTATGGAAAGGTCTGTTTCCATCTACTCTGTCCCACTCACCAATTTGTTTATCCTGTGGCCAGTGCTAGACTGTCCTAATCTCTATCACTTCATAGGCCTTGAAATCTGGTTGAACAAGTTCTATTATTTTGCTCTTCTTCAAGCATCTCTTGACTATTTCTGGCTCTTTGCACTTCCATGTAAGTCTTAGAACCTGTTTAGTTGTAATTGAGATTATTATTCTTGTATTTTTTAAATAGATTATAAGATTAAAATTATTATAATCTTATAATAAGATTATAAGATTAAAATTATTATAATCTTATAATAAGATTATAAGATTAAAATTATTATAATCTTATAATAAGATTATAAGATTATTCCATTTATAAGATTATAAATGGAATCATTACGGCAAGATGTCATTAGATACATTTATAATGAGAAAATTTTTACTTTTAAAGCCAATATTGATAAAATGTTGAAAGTTACACCATTTCAACTAAACTTATAATGAAAAAATTTAATCAAAAATGTTGTAGTGGATATTTCATCAAAAATAAAGACCACTGCTCATCACACCTTTCTATTTAATGTGTTTAAATACATATCAGAAGGAGAAAGAGATAGGATGGGAAAGAGCACATATAGTTAACAGAAACTACCCAATTAGAAATATGAAATAAATAATTCAAGTGCATTACTTGACAACCAAGTAATGCAGTAAAACTTCAGACACTGGTTAAGTTTACCTCTCTACAATGGTTGAAACAAAAGGGTGCTGAATTTGACATGTATTATTATATCTTCATTGATTTGAGCAACTTTCCTATGAGATCACAAATACTAATGGTCTTTGCATTTTAAGAAACTACTATAATGTACTTTACATGAATTTACACATAGATAATTTTTGTCACCTTGATTTTTCTACCAAAAGCATAACTTCATGTCACTATGATCAACTTTGGGGTGATCACATATATTTCATATGATTCTTCTGAAAGACATATTTTTTATATATTATGTAGTGATTACCTATTATTTTTGCTTGTCCTGTAATCATTTTATTTCTCTTAGGTAAAGTGTATCAGAGTTTTTTTTAAGGGAATAACCTTTTTCCCATTTTCAATCAACTTAGTGTGAGTGAGGATGACCCCTGGGACCCAAAGATTAGCTCATCCCCTAGCTTGAACAACTATTAGGGATGAGCACATTTTCTACACCATTAGATGACATTCAATAATTGGGCTTTAGTTGCAGAAGGACTTACTTCTTCTGAGATTAATTTAGAATGATGATGATAATGATAACACTGATTACTCACTCTTTGCCAAGAATTCTAAACAATTGATAATGATAACACTGATTACTCACTCTTTGCCAAGAATTCTAAACAATTGAGTATTAATCTGTTAAATGTCTAAAACCCAATGCAGGTACTATTACTATCTCTACCATACAGATGAAGAAATTGGGCCAGAGAGACATTAAGTTGCCCATGTTTACAGTGGCAAATATGTGGTAGGTTGATATTTCAAACTAATCTGAGCTAGAGCTACTATTCTTAATATTTGCCTATTCTGCTTCCAAAATCTAGTTCTGGAGCTTCTGGAGTAACTGTAGTACATAGAGAAGGACACCTAGCTCAGAACTAAGGGTTGGTGAAGGAAACACGGATCCAGCTGGGTCTGAGGTCAGTTCTGTCCCTAATCTCTTTAATTATATAAGCCAAGAATTCCAGTTTTCCCTTAAATCAAATTGAGTTGGGTTTCTCTCCTTAAAACCGGTAATATACTGGAGTGGGCTCAGATAAGCACGTAGAATTGGCAAATTTTCAGGAATTTTGCAAGAATACTGACGTCACATTTATAGTTTGAAATTGGCCGTAGAGAAAATATTTGCTTCACAGCAAATGACAAATGTGAACCAACAGAGCTGTTTTGTTTTGCATTTTTTCCCATTTGTTTTTTGGGGTAGGGGAACAAGGTGGGGGAAAGGAGCCAGTTAAAACATTTAGCACTACTCCACTCTTTATGACCAAGGGAGTCGGAGTCTCTACAAGGGAGTACTTATGAGAGACTACTATATCGCATCATGCCAGGGCATTTCATACATGAACATCTACTTTCTATGCTTTGTCAATTTTCAAAACAAATTCAGTTTTTTTTAAACAGATGTCATAAATGCAATCATAATGCAGTATTTCCTACTCCCATAAATACCTCCATAGCTAGAACACACATGCAGTACAAAACACATAGGTTAAAAGAGCCTTTTGTATAAACGAATTATTTATAACTAAACAAATTGTTTTCATTTAGACTCACAGGAATTGGGCACTGTTCTTCTCTTGTCCTTCAAAGAGTACAAGAAATGCTAATTTTTGTAAAATTCACAGAGCAGAGGTTCTTCGCAAATTATTTTTCTTCCCTTTTCACTAATTCTTTAAGAGCACCTCCATGGAATAGTTTGGTTAGGGCATTAGGGCAAATCTATACAACACTTGTGTAAATTTTAAAATAACTGACTGATCTTCTTTGTACTATTTTTGCAAAACAAAAGTTTAATCTAAAAGTAATTAGGAGGAAATAAATGAACAAATCCCCAATTTAAAAGATATCCTACAAAGCAACTAACCTGAACTCTTTTAAAATGTATATGACATGGGGAAGGGTGCAGTGGTTCATGCCTGTAATCCTAGCACTTTGGGAGGCCAAGGTGAGTGAATTGCTTGAATCCAGGAGTTGAGACCGGCCTACATAATATGGTGAGATACCATCTCTACCAAAAATTACAAAATTAGTCGGGCATGGCGTCATGAGCCTGTGGTCCCAGCTACTCAGGAGGCTGAGGTGAGAGGATCACTTGGGCCCAGGAGGAAAAGGAAGCAGTGAGCTGTGTTCACACCACTGCACTCTGGCCTGGGCAACAGAGCAAGATCCTGTCTCCAAAAAATACACATGTATATGACAAGGAAGAAAAAAAAATCCTGGGATTTTTTTTAAAGAGACATCAGATTTTTAAAAAGAGATTAAATAAAGAGACATGACAACCAATTGCAATGAATGATGCTTAATTGTAAATTGGATGGGGGAAAAAAAATAAAACTAACAATTTTAAGGCTGCTCTACCCAACACTTGGTCCCAAGAACCTATGAGCTTATTAGAAATTCAGAACCTCAGGCTCCAGCCCAGATATACTGAATCAGACAGCAGTTTAAACAAGATTGTCAGGTGATTCCTATACGTACTAAATTTTGAGGAAGCATTGCTATTACAAGTATTATTGGACAATTAGGAAAATTTGATACAGACTGAATATTACACATTGTTGATTCTATCATGTTAAATTCCCTACATATGATAGTCATGTGCAGTTATATAGGAGAATGCTCTTGAACTTAGAAGGTACATGCTGAAGTATTTAGCAATGAAGTGTGAGGATATTTGCAACTAACTCCCAAATGGTTCCAAAAAAACAAAAATAAAGAAATGTATATTTATACCTTATATGCAGATATGTAAATACAGTAAAGAAAAAAGAGAAAGTAAATGTGACAAAATGTTAATTGGTGAAGATAGGTGAAGAATACATGGACAGCTGGTGTTCACTGAACTATTCTTGCAAATTTTCTGTAAGTTACAAAATGTCTTAAAAAGTTGGGGGGAAAACAAAAGTATAATGAAGCATCAGTTTAATTGGTGGTTTAGGTGGTGGCTGAGAACTGTTTGGTTTTTGGTGGTTGTTGTTTTAAGCTCCCCAGGTAATTCTAACGTGGAGCCAGAACTGAGAGCCTGTGGGTGAGACAAACTTCAGATTGGGTATCCGGGCTTCTGAGCTTCACGTGATATAAGAGAACAAGTTTCAGAAAAGACAGGGAAATATAAATTGAGAAAGAGAAAAGAAGCCTTATTCAATGGAAGTACACATAACTCAGAAGTGCTAGAATATCTCACTCTAATACTGTAAATTAAAGGGGAAAGGCAGTCTTCTATAAAATATAAAAAACTTTAATAGCTTTGAAAAGAAGTCTATGGGGTAGAGTGGAATAGAATTAGCCCCTCAGAAGGCAGAAGACAGATCAGGAGGTCTGATGCATGGGTCATTCAAATGACAAAAAGCATTGGAGTATACTTTAAATGTTACGTCTGATTTTTGTGAGATACTTTTTTTAATTTTTATTTATTATTTATTTATTTTTTAGAGACAGAGTCTCGCTCTGTTGCCCAGGCTGGAGTGCAGTGGCGCGATTTCGGCTCACTGCAAGCTCTGCCTCCCAGGTTCATGCCATTCTCCTGCCTCAGCCTCCTGAGTAGCTGGGACTACAGGCATCTGCCACTACGTCCGGCTAATTTTTGTATTTTTAGTAGAGACGGGTTTCACCGTATGAGCCAGGATGGTCTCGATCTCCTGACCTCATGATCCGCCCGCCTCGGCCTCCCAAAGTGCTGGGATTGCAGGCGTGAGCCACCGCGCCTGGCTGAGATACTTCTAGAGTCAGACAGCACTATGTTTGAATTCAGAAACTGCCACTTATTGAGAGGTATTATCTTGCCTAAGATATCTGGCCTCTGTGGACCTCATTGTCTTCATCTGTAAAATCGGGAGATTAACTGTATCTATTCGGCCAGTTTTTATGATGATTAAATAAAATCAGGCACGAAAATTATCCAGCATAGCGCTGCCACACGTAATACACTTAACAGATTATTCTAAAACACTGGGTATGTGATTTTCTAATCTCTTATAACTCCACTTCATTTTTAAAAGCCATAATTAAACTGCAAGTTTATAAGTCCTAAAAAGCAAGATGTGGAGTTCTTAAACATGACTAACAAATGTTAAGCCTGAAGAAGTAATATTTGAGTTCCTGCCTTTATTTTTTTGCATGTTTTGATGCTCTTTGGACCTTGGATGAGAACAGAAGCAGTATGTAGTCAGGATAAAGAATCTGCCATCCAACACAAATTATCTCGGGGGCTACCATTTGATGTGCTATGGCATTTTCTTATCCCCTCTCTTCCTTCCCCAGAGAGGAAAGAACTAAGCTGAAGAACTTTTATCCTTATAACCATTATGAATTGTCTTCTTTTCTAAAACACACACGCACAAAAATTAGTGTGTGTGTACTGACTGAAATATTCAAGTCAAAGTGTTTATTAAATTATTTAAAAACAATTTATTAGCAAGTGGCTTTTCAAAACTTTAACTAAAAGGCAGATAATAAACACAGAGGCTAGACATTCTAAAGAAAGCTGACCAAAGTTTAATTTAAAGTGGCCAAATCAGTTGTCCAAGGCATCACTGGACACTGACCTAGAATAAATAAAAATCAAATGATCCTATTCAATTGTTCATTACAGAATAAAGTGGCAACTAGCCAAGGAAAGATGAGCAATTTCCATGTTCAAGCTAGCTACTGTGTTTGGAACAAATTTTTCTTCAGCAAAATATAAGAACTTTTTTAAAACAAGTTTGTCTAAGAGATTACACTAACTTCTAGTGCATACCATAGGAGAAAGAATAAGTGCCTACCAGGCTTGCAAAAAAGTACGAACTGTACTCAGAAAATGTCTAGGGAATTTTTATGGTAAATATTAACAGAATTATGTTTTCTTAGCATTCTCAATTGGTTTAGCAGCTATTTGCTTTTAAACTTAGAAATGATAACCAGAGAGATTATGTCTTTTAAAATTCCATGGTTTATAAACATGTAAATAAAATATATTTTAAAAGAGTCCAAAACCTTTTAAAATTCACTAGCAGGTTGAAGTTTAAATTGCAAAGAGAGTAACTGGCAGTTTTATACCCCTAGACAAAAAAATGTAGGACTCCTGATAATTGCACTTAGTGCTTAAAGATAACAACATACAATGGCAAATCATCTAATAGGAAATTGCCTTTGGCAAGTGCCTCATACTGGAAGAACACAGCCGGTGATTTAGATAGCACTGCTGTGGCTCCAACTCATCTACTTAATATGGACTATGTGACAGGTCTCAATTCATCAAGCAGAAGCCCTAAAGTTTCACAGGTTGCACATTTAAATATCTAAATTTTATCTTATTTTAACCTGAGACAAAATTACACACATTTGTACAATGCTCTGTATGAACCTATACTTAGCCAGTTACAGTTTGCTATGAAATGGTTTGTAATAACCTCACCCTAAATTTATCAATTAATCATATGCATTTACCGACACTCATAAAGGTAGATATTCACAAAGGTATTACTTTATAATTTAATCTTTGTCTAAGGTGAAAAGATTTATGGCCCCAGTTTTGGTTATTATGGGCATTGGTAGATAGAAGTTCCTGGAAATATCATAGGAAATATTAGGTCTGCCAGGAATCAAATTATTACTTCTGAGGTATTGAAATATTTCCAAATAAAGAAGCAATGCAGTAGTTCAATACATATTTCAGCTGAGCTTGTTAGTTTATCTACAGTCTGGAAATTGAATCCTTTTTCCTAGAGTACAGAAATGTGTCAAGCAGCGGGAAAATAGTTAACAGATTTAACATAAATAAATGCTGTTCATGGATTCCCGGAGTAGAACTGGCCACTATGTGAGAGCCAGTACTATGTGGCTATGTTAGGTGCTTGAGATTCATCAGTGAACAAAATAAAGATTCTTGCTCTTATGGTACTTTCATTCTATAGGGAGGAGTCACACAACAAATAGACATATTAAACCAGTAAATTATATTGTATCTGAGAAATCATAGGGAGTATGGCAATAAGAAAGTAGAACAAGGCAAGGAAGTTTGGAAGTGTGTAAGGCATGCTTGGGAAGGCTGACTACATTTCAAATACAGTGTTCAGAATAGTGTTATGTAAAACATATTTTAGCAAGGCTGTGAAGAAATGATGGAATTAGCCATGAAGATATTGAGGGAAGAGTGTTTTGCACAAAGCCCCTAAAGCAGGAACATGCTAATATGCACTAGGAAAAGCAAGTATACAGTATGATTTGAGTAGAGCAAGCAAGCATACGGGTGTGTGATATAGTTTGACTATGTCCCTACCCAAATCTCATCTTGAATTGTAACTTCCCAAATTCCCACATATCATGGAAGGAACCTGGTGAGAGGTAATTGAATCATGGGGGCGGGTCTTTTCTGTGCCGTTCTCATGATAGTGAATAAGTCTCATGAGACCTGACAGTTTTAAAAACAAGAGTTTCCCTACACAAGCTCTCTCTCTTTGCCTGCTGCCATACATGTAAGATGTGACTTGCTCCTCCTTGCCTTCCACCATGATTGTGAGGCCTCCCCAGCCATGTGGAACTGTAAGTCCATTAAATCTCTTTCTTTTGTAAATTGCTCAGTCTCAAGTATGTCTTTATCTGCAGCATGTCTTTATCTGCAGAATAAAAACAGACTAATACAGTAAACTGGTGCCAGTAGAGTGGAGCACTGCTGGAAAGATACCCAAAAATGTGGAAGCAACTTTGGAACTGGGTAACAGGCAGAGGTTGGAACAGTTTGAAGGGCTCAGAATAACACAGAAAAATGTGGGAAAGTTTGGAACCTCCTAGATACTTGTTGAATGGCTTTGACCAAAATGCTGATAATGATATGGACAATGAAATCCAGGCTGAGGTATTCTCAGTTAGAGATGAGGAACTTGTTGGGAACTGGAGCAAAGGTGACTCTTATTAAGTTTTAGCAAAGAGACTGGCAGCACTTTGCCCCTTCCCTAGAGATTTGTGGAACTTTGAATTTAAGAGAGATAATTTAAGGTATCTGGCAGAAGAAATTTCTAAGCAGCAAAGCATTCAAGAGGTGACTTGGGTGCTGCTAAAGGCATTCAGTTCTAAAAAGAAAACAGCATAAAAGTTTGGAAAATTTGCAGCCTGACAATAAGATACAAAAGAAAATCCTATTTTCTGAGGGGAAATTCAAGCTGGCTGCAGAAATTTTCATAATTAACAATAAGCCGAATGTTAATCCCCAAGATAATGGGGAAAATGTCTCCAATGTATGTCAGGGACCTTCTTGGCAGCCCCTCCTATCACAGGCCCAGAGACCTAGGAGGACAAAATGGTTTCATGGGCTAGGCCCAGGGTCCCCATGCTGTGTGCAGCCTATGGACTTGGTGCCCTGTGTCCCAGTCACTCCAATCACGGCTGAAAGGGGCCAAGATACAGCTCAGGCCGTGGTTTCAGAGGGTGCAGACCCCAAGCCTTGACAGCTTCCATGTGGTGTTGAGACTGCAAGAGCACAGAATTTAAGAATTGGGGTTTGGGAACCTCTGCCTAGATTTCAGAGGGCGTGTGGAAATGCCTGGATGCCCAGGCAAAAGTTTGTTGCAGGGGCAGGGCCCTCATGAAGAACCTCTGCTAGGGCAGTGTGGAAGGGAAATGTGGGGCCAGAGCTGCTACACAAAGTCCCTACTGGAGCACTGCTTAGTGGAGCTGTGAGAAGAGGGCCACTGTCCTCTAGACCCCAGAATGGGTAGATTCACTGACAGCTTGCACCGTGTGCCTGGAAAAGCCACAGACACTTAACACCAGCCAGTGAAAGCAGCCAGGAGCAGGGGCTCTACCCTGCAAAGCCACAGGGGCAGAGCAACCCAAGACCATGGGACCCCACCTTTTGCCTCAGTGGGACCTGGATGTGAGACCTGGAGTCAAAGGAGATCATTTTGAGCTTTAAGATTTGTCTGCCCTGCTGGATTTTGGACTTGCATAGGGCCTGTAGCCCCTTTGTTTTGCCCAGTTTCTCCCATTTCGAATGGCTGTACCTACCCAATGCCTGTAACCCCATTGTATGTAGGAAGTAACTAACTTGTTTTTGATTTTACAGGATCACAGGCAGAAGGGACTTGCCTTGTCTCAGATGAGACTTTGGACTGTGGACTTTTAAGTTAATGTTAAAATGAGTTAAGACTTTTGGGGAATGTTGGGAAAGCATGATTGGTTTTAAATGTGAGGACATGAGATTTGGGAGGGGCCAGGGATGGAATGATATGGTTTGGCTCTTTCCCCACCCAAATCTCATCTTGAATTGTAACTCCCACAATTCCCATATGTTGTGGGAGGAATTCGATGGGAGGTAATTGAATCATGGGGCAGGTATTTCCCATGCTGTTCTCGTGATAGTGAGTAAGTCTCATGAGATCTGACGATTTCAAAAAGGGGACTTTCCCTGCACAAACTCTCTTTCTTTGCTGCTGCCATCCATGTAAGACGTGACTTTCTCCTCCTAGCCTTCCTCAATGATTTGGAGGCCTCCCCAGACATGTGGAACTATAAGTCCATTAAACTTCCTTCTTGTAAATTGCCCAGTCTTGGGTATGTCTTTTGTAAATTGCCCAGTCTTGGGTATCTCTTTATCAGCAGTGCAAAAGAAGTGTAAAAGCAGACTAATATAGTGTGGTAGAAAACTTCAGAGAGCTAACAGGGCACTAGATCAAATAGAGTCTCTTGTTACATTTGGGAGTCACTGACATGTGGATCATATTCAAAATCATAAGGCTAGATGAGACTACCAAGAAAGTAAACAGAGAAAAAAAAAACCAAGAACTAACTCTGCACATGTAAGAGATTGGGGAAAAGAGGAAGAACAATCCAGGGAGAGTGATAACAAAGCACTAGGAAGGTAGAAGAAAAACAAAGAAACCAAGTTTGAAACAAAAGAAAAAAAATGTTAAAGACAGCTGGAGAGAAGGGTAGGTTACCTACAAAGCGAAGTCCATCAGGCTAACAGTGAACCTTTCAGAAGAAACCCTACAAGCCAGAAAAGATTGGAAGCCTACATTCAGCATTCTTAGAGAAAAAAAAATTCCAACCAAGAATATCACATCCAGGCAAACTAAACTGCATAAGTGAAGGATAAATAAGATCCTTTTCAGACAAGCAAGTGCTGAGGGAATTTTTTACCACCAGACATGCCTTACAAGAGGTCCTGAAAGATACACTAAATACGGAAAGGAAAGACAGTTACCAGTCACTACAAAAACACACTTAAGAATGCAGACCAGTGACACTATAAAGTAACCACACAAACAAGTGTGCACACAAACCAGCTAACAACATGATGACAGGATCAAATCCACACATATCAATGTAACCTTGAATGTAAAGGAGCTAAATGCACCAATTAAAAGGCACAGAGTTGCAAGCTCGATAAAGAAGCAAGACCCACTAACATGCTGTCTTCAAGACACCCATTGCACATATTATACAATGATACCCATAGGCTCAAAATAAAGAAATTGTGAAAAATCTACCAAGCAAATGGAAAACAAAAAATATCAGGGGTTGCAATCCTAATTTCAGGCCAAAAAGACTTAAACCAACAAGATTAAAAAACATAAACACATTATACAATGGTAAAGGGTTCAATTCAACAAGAAGACCTTACTATCCTAAATATATACACATCCAACACAGGAGCACCCAGATCCATAAAGCAAGTTCTTAGAGACCTACAAAAAGACTTAGATTCCCATACCATAATAGTGGGAGACTTCAACACTCCACTGACAGCATTACACAGATTGTCAATGCAGAAAAGCAAAGATATTAAGGACCTAAACTCAAAACTTGACCAAATGGATTTAATAAACATCTACAGAACTCTCCACCCCAAAACAACAGAATATACATTCTTCTCATCATCACATGACACATCCTCCAAAACTGACCATACATTTGGACATAAAACAATACTCAGCAAATTAAAAAAAAAAAATACATCATACCAACCATGCCCTCAGGCCACAGCACAATAAATATAGGAATCAATACTAAGAAAATCACTCACTACCATACAATTACATGGAAATTAAACAACCTGCTCCTGAATGACTTTTGGGTAAACAATGAAATTATGGCAGAAATCAAGAAATTCTTTGAAACTTTTGAGAACAGATACAACATACCAGATTCTCTGAGATACAGCTAACTCAGTATTAAGAGGGAAGTTTATAGCACTAAATGACCACATCAGAAAGAAAGATCTCAAATTAACAACTTAACATCACAACTAGAAGAACTAGAGAAGTAAGAGAAAACCAACCCTAAAGCTGGCAGAAGACAAGAAATTACCAAAATTAGGGCTGAACTGAAGGAAATGGAGACACAAAAAGCCATACAAAAGACCAGCAAACCCAGGAGTTGATTTTTTGAAAAAATTAATAAGAAAGATAGACTGCTACCTAGACTAATAAAGACAAAAAAAAAAAAAGAGAAGATCCAAGTAAACACAATTAGAAATGACAAAGGGAGGCCAGCTTCAGTGGCTCACGCCTATAATCCCAGCACTTTGGGAGGGCCAAGGCAGGCAGATCACTTGAGGCCAGGAGTTCGAGACCAGCCTGGCCAACATGGTGAAACCCAGTCTCTACTAAAAATACAAAAATTAGTCAGGCATGGTGGTGCATGCCTGTTATCCCAGCTACTTGGGAGGCTGAAGGAGGAGAATCACTTGAACCCTGGAACCAGAGGTTGCAGTGAGCCAAGATCGCACCACTGCATTCCAGTCTGGGTGACAGAGTGAGACTCTGTTTCAAAAAAAAAAGACAAAAGGGACATTACCACTGACCCCACAGAAATACAAAAACCTATCAGACACTACTATAAACACCTCTATGGGTACAAACTAGAAAATTTAGAAGAAATGAATATATTCCTAAACACATGCAACCTCCCAAGACTGAACAAGGAAGAAACTGAATCCCTGAAGAGACCAATACTGAGTTCTATAACTGTATAAGTAAGAAAAAGCCTACCAACCAAAAAAAACCCAGGGCCAGATAGATTCATAGCCGAGTTATATCAGATTTATAAAGAAGAGCTGGTGCCATTCCTACTGAGACTATTTCAAAAAATTGAGGATGAAGGACTCCTCCCTAACTCATTCTATGAGGCCAGCATCATTCTGATACCAAAATGTGGCAGAAAGAAAACCAAAAAAAAAAAAATTTCAGGCCAATATTCTCAGTGAACACAGATGTCAAAATCCTCAACAAAATACTAGCAAATCAAATTCAGCAGCACATCAAAAAGCTAATCCATCATGATCAAGTATGCCATATCCTTGGGATGCAAGGTTGGTTCAACATATACAAATCAATAAATGTGACTGACTACATAAACAGAACTAAAAGTAAAAACCATATTGAGATATGATTACCTCAATAGATGCAGAAAAGGCTTTTAATAAAATTCAACATCCCTTCATGCTAAAAACCCTCAATAAGCTAGGAATTGAAGAAACGTACTTCAAAATAATAAGACCCATCTATGTAAAACCCACAGCCTACATCAGACTGAATAAGCAAAAACTGGAAGCATTCCCCCTTGAAAACTGGAAGAAGACAAGTATACCCTCTGTCACCACTCCTACTCACCATAGTATTGAAAAGTCCTGGCCAGAGCAAACAGGCAAGAGAAAGAAAGAAAAGACATCCAAATAGGAATCAAGGAAGTCAAATTATCCCTGTTTGCAGATGACATAATTCTATATCTAGAAAACCTCATAATCTCTGCCCAAAAGTGCTTTGATCTGATAAACAATTTCAGCAAAGTTTCAGGATACAAAATTAACATACAAATATCAGTAGCATTCCTATACAACAACAACATCCAAGCCAAGAGTCAAATCAGGAATGCAATTCCATTAATAACTGCCACAAAAAGAATAATATATCTAGGAATACAGCTAACCAGAGAGGTGAAAGATCTTTACAATGAGAATTACAAAACACTGCCCAAAGAAAGCAGAGATGATGCAAACAAATGGAAAAACATTCCATGCTCATGGATAGGAAGAATCAACACCATGAAAATGGCAATGATGCCCAAAGAAATTCACAGATTCGAAGTTATTTCTATCAAACTACCAATAACATTCTTCACAGAATTAGAAAAATATATTTTAAAATTAATGTGGAACCCAAAAGGAGCCTAAAGAGCCAAGGCAATCTTAAAGCAAAAAGTTCAAAAAGGGAGGCATCATGTTACCCAACTTCAAACTATACTACAGGTCTACGGTAACCAAAACAGCATGATACTGGCACAAAAAAACACACATAGACCAATGGAATAGAATAGAAAGTCTAGAAATAAAAGCCTCATGCCTGCAACCATCTAATCTTTGACAAAGGTGACAAAAATAAGAAACAGGGAGAGGACTCCCCTTTCAATAAATGATGCTGGAATAACTGGCTTGCCATATGTAGAAAATGGAAACTGAACCCCTACCTTATACCACATACAAAAATTCACTCAAGATAGATTAAAGACTTAAATGTAGGCCAGGCACGGTGGCTCATGCCTATAATCCCAGCACTTTGGGAGGTTGAGGTGGGTGGATCACAAGGTCAGGAGATTGTACCGTCCTGGCCAACATGGTGAAACTTCGTCTCTACTAAAAAAAAAAAAAAAAATTTAGCCTGGCATGGTGGCACGTGCCTGTGGTCTCAGCTACTTGGGAGGCTGGGGCAGGGGAATCACTTGAACCCAGGAGGCGGAGGTTGTAGTGGGCGGAGATCACACCGTTGCACTCCAGCCTGGCAACAGAGTGAGACTCCATCTCAAAAAAAAAAAAAAAGACTTAAAAAACCCTGGAAGATAACCTAGGAAATACCATTCTGGATATAGGACATGACAAAGATTTCATGACAAAGATGCCAAAAGCATACAACAAAAAAGTTAACAAAAAGGATTTAATTAAACTAAAGAGTTTCTGCACAGCAAAAGAAACTACCAACAGAGTAAACAGACAATCTACAGAATGAGAAAAAATATTTGCAAACTATATATCCAACAAAGGTCTAATATCCAGAATTTATAAGGGACTTAACAAGCAAAAACTAACAACTTCATTAAAAAGTGGGAAAAGCACGTGAACGCTTTTCAAAAGAAGACATAAATGTGGCCAAAGCATAGGAAAAAATGCTCAACATCACTAATCATCACAGAACCACAAATCAAAACCATAATGAAATACCACCTCATACCAATAAGAATGGCTATTTATTAAAAAGTCAAAAAATAACAGATGCTGATGAGGTTACAGAGAAAAGGGAACACTTATATACTGCTGGTAGGAATGTAAATTGGTCCAGCCACTGTGCAAAGCAATGTAGCAATTATTTGAAGAACTTAGAAGAGAATTACCATTTGACCCAGCAACCCTATTATTGGGTATATACACACAGGAATATAAATCATTCTACCATAAAGACACATGTACCTGCATGTTCATCACAGCACTATTCACAATAGCAAAGACATGAAATTAACCTAAATGCCCATCAATGGTAGAACGAATAAGGAAAATGTGGTATATATATGCCATGGATTACTACACGCCATAAAACAAGAATGACATCATGTCCTTTGCAAGAACATTGATGGAGCTGGAGGCCATCATCCTTAGCAAACTAATGCAGGAACAAAATCCAAATGCCACATGTTCTAACTTATAAGTGAGAGCTAAATGATAACCCAAAGAGAGGGACAACAGATACTGTGGCCTATTTGAGGGTGGAGGCTGGTAGAAGGGAGAGGATCAGAAAAAATATCTATCAGATAGTATGCTTATTACCCAGGTGATGAAATTATCTGTCCACCAAATCTCCATGACACACAGTTTACCTATATAACAATCCTGCACATGTACCCCAGAACCTAAAATAAAAGTTAAAGAAAAAAAAGAAAGATAAATGAAGAGAATGTGTCCTGCAAGCTAGATAGGAAAATTATGTCAAGAAGGAAGGGGTGATTAAATGTGTCAAATCCTGCTCGTGGTTCAAGTTACATAAGGACTGGAAATTGGCCACTGGATTTAATAATGTGTATGTGACAGGTGAAAGGAGTGAATAAGCCTGATTTGCATGGGATTAAGAAAGAATGGGGGAAGGATTTGGTGACAGCAATAATAAATAACCACTTTGAAGAGAATTATTGCAACGGGAAAAAAACATGGGGTGGTAGCTTGTGAGAGAATAGATCAAAATGGAGAATTCCATAAATAAATAAATACATGTTTGTATACTGATAGAAATGATTCAGTAAGAGTGAATAATGTTTATGTAGAAAAAGAGGGAAGAATCATTAACTCAATGTCTTAGAGTAGACAAGAGAAGGCAATGTCTAGTTACCAAGTGGAAGGATAGGCTTAGATAGGAGTATGGATGATTCATGGTAAGAGCAGGGAAGAAGTTAAGTACCAATGCTACTAGGTGGGTGGATGTGGTGACAGAAATATGCAGAAGTTCTCTTCTTATTAAAAGTTTCTCAGTTCGTAAGACATAAAGTCATCATCAAAGAGGAGGTGGCAATGGAGGTTTAAGGAGAGGGAAGGAGGTATAAAAAGCAGTCTGGGAGAATAGGAATGAACTGGGGGAGTACCATGTAGTGTTATTGGCAGTCAGCAGTAAGGGCTCATTTGAGATTTGTGATCATGAATTTAACCCAACCAGCATGGTTGTATATTTTTCTGCAAATACAAAAATTAGCTGGGTGTGGCGGTGCGTGCCTGTAGTCCCAGCTACTCAGGAGGCTGAGGCATGAGAATTGCTTGAACCCGGGAGGTGGAGGCTGCAATGAGCTGAGAGCGCACCACTGCACTCCAGCCTGGGTGACAGAGCGAGACTCCGTCTCAAAAAACAAACAAACAAACAAACAAAAAACCATTCCATCAGAGAAACTTGGTGGCCATAGAAGGAAAGTAGAGTAGTTACAAGCATCAGGGAAACCTAATAGCCCAACCTTCTTCAGCAAGGTTCTTACCATTCACTGGTTTACACTGTGGTGTCTTCTGTATCCACTTCCCAGAACCAACTTTAAGGTACATCACATGGTAGAGTCTCAGTACCATTTAGTTAGACTGAATTGTGCCACGGCTTTTGTAGCAATGGCATTGCATTTTTTCCACAATTAAAGTGTTAGAAAGAACCATCACACATAGCTGTTCTGCTAGAAACAGAAGTGTGTAACCCAGATCCTGCCCTTGCTCTCTCCACCTACGAGATAGCTTTCCGCACATTCACAGAGACCACCAGTGAAGGTATGACCTCTAAGCTTGGCTTCAGTTGTGCGATACTTTGCTGAGACACAGCCTCCTTCTATTTAGTGAGGTCAGTAGCTGTCTTACTTTTCATATGAATAAAATCCATTTTAGATACACATAGAGAAAGTTTAACTTGCTCTTTGTTCATTTCATCTTGTTAGTTACTTAATGGTTCATTCTAAGCTTTCTCTTGTCTCATGTAGAATCATTCCAAATTACCCATTGGCTATTAAATTGCATTGCTCACCTTGTCATACTTTTTAAATGTGTCATTCTATGCTGCTAGTCCAAAACCAGATTAGAATATGGTAAGTCTATGTTATTCAAAAAATGTACTCACTGCTACTTGGTGGCAAAAATAATCCATTGATATTTCGAGGTTTGCTGTGATAAAAGATACAGCTGATCTTCACACAACCAAGAGGCTGAGTTTCCCAGAAGCATGAAATGCTGCAGTTTTGCTAGATAAAAGGAGATTGGGGGAAATGTAATGATTAGATGCCATATTTACAACAAATACAATGTGCTACAATACAGCACAAGGACACAAAAACAATTATAGTTAACTGATTTAGGATCATGTGTGTCTTCCAGCTTTCAGTGTTTCTAAGCCCTGCTATTCAAAAGATGGAATGGGTATTTCTAAAACATGTTCCTCCATTAAGTTGAAAAAATTGCAAAATGCCTAAAATCAAATAGTAGAAGGAAGAATGATTTCTTCCATATTGTTTTGAAAAAGTATAATTCAGCATTATTGAAGGGAAATACTTTTTGACAAAAATGATGACGCCAAGTAATTCTACCTGCATTTCCATGTGTCTAAATCTGCAAAGTGGATCTAAACATTTCCTCTCTCTCCATAATGAGCACACAGTGTCACTGCCAAGGGCCTCTTCACAGTGTCGGAATCGGCACTGGGAACCCTAAAAGAAAAAGTAAACAGTGTAGAAAGCTCAATATGTTGACATTAGTGTTCAACAACAATAGGTTGCTAATTAGTTAAACGAAATATGAGTAGATTACACTAGAATCACAAAGATATACACTATCAATTTTAGGCCATAAGTCTAAATTTTAGCAAATTAGTCTAACTTTAGTGAGAAAGCAACAAGATAGTCTAATGGTTACATAGTACAACATGCCACAAATCACTGATAAAATGCTACCTTTTGTTATTCGTTAATCCATATGGTTCACTAGGAATAGAGATATAAGAATCCAGTGACACTTTGATCACAATTCAATGACAGAACAACTTAATTTCTCTTTTGGAAGAAAGCCAGATGAAATTTTTAAGAATCTCTACCTACATTCTAATTGTGAAAATGATTTCTATTAATCAATCCTTTTATTAGATAATCTATTTTCTCAGTCTATGGAGATACTGTTAAGTTTTTATGGAGCTTAAAATTTATGTTATTGTGGAATTTTAATTATTGTATTATGATATACTACATTAAATATATGTGCTTTGTGCCTTTGGCTTAGAAAGATAAACAATTGCCTATACATATACTCACTGACTTGTTAATATGCCAACAAAAGTAGATGTGGATTGTTTTAATGGGCCGCTATTACTTCTTAAAAATTCTATGTTCTTTTAAATGTAAATGCACATTTGGTAAAAACTACAAGCCCCTGTTGTGTGGGAAGAGAGGTGGATAACATTCTTCCCTCTTTTGACACATGTTCCATGGTTGTTCTTTATCTTTTATCTCTCTCCTACTTCCATCTTCACTCTCTCCCCCTTGTTAAAGTAGATCCATATACTCTCATAGCACGGGTTAGTAGGCAGGGGTTTTCAAGTCAATAAACTGGTATTTGAAACCCTGGGCGCCACCACTTGCCCATTGTCACAAAGTTAATACTTAACTCATACTCTCTGTGCTTCAGTTTTCTCATCTGTATACAGGAAATAAAAACTACTTTCCTTACAGGTTAGCTGTAAAAATGATGTGATATAAGGTATTGTGAGCTATTATTATTATTTATTCATTTAATTATTTACTGGTAACTTACTCATTAGCCACTCTGCTAAGTACTTGGGGATACAGCAGTGAAATAGACAAAACACTCTGCCCACCTGGGACATGAAATCTGTTATTATTCTTTATTATCCTAGCATTTAATCTAACAGGTAATAGAAGTGAATCCAATTTCTGTGGTCAGAGAGGTTGACTCCATTCAGGTTTCCTAACAGAGAGGAAACACTTGAAACCAGACATATCATCTTTTTCACTGGATTATTTCTTGCATGAGCACAAAGCTCCAAATATTGAGTTTCTACCTTTATCTGGTTTTACTAAGATCTATACATCCTAATACATTGGAGGAATTCTCAGTTTTTCCCATTTAACTTTATAAAGTTTAATTTATATGTGGCCAATTTGTTTATATTAATTTTCTTTTTTAATGATATTTAAATATTTGTTATTACTTAGACTTTTGACAGAGGAAAATTCAGTAATTGGGTTAATAAATTTCAAATAGGAAAACAGATTTATTACACTAAGATTGACACTTACCTGAATTCAACTATTTGAATTATAATGACTGGAATCATATTAACTAAAACAATATCTTGTAACCTATGATGTTTTAATATTAGGAATTTAATGTCTCAAGGTGTCATAATATAGGCAAAAGTGCCACATGAAGATTCAAAAGCTATAGACATATAACTGGTATATATAAGGGTAGTTTCAAACAAATAATAATTTTAAATTATCTCAGATTTCTTCAGAGAAATTCAGTATGTCAAAAATACATGATAAGCTGTTACTCCAGATTTTACAAATATAAGATATCTTGCAAGAAAATAGTAAATTTTTGTTCAGCAATACAAGTTATTGCCATATCTCCCTTCATTCTACTAAAAAGATTAAGCATGTGAAGTACTGTCAATTGTACAATATTTACCTTTATGCATGTGGAATTAAAAAAGAAATAGCAGTCATTCCCAACTTCTGCCATTTTCAACTCTCTTGCTGCTAATCCAATGGTTTTTTTTTTTTGAAAAATATATATGAATTTCAGGAATGCAAATACAAGAACTATCAGTGTGTAAGGGGGAAAAATAATTTCTTTTCCACAGTCTTTCAGGCTATCAGTAGTATTCCTTTAAAACTGACCTCCTGTTGACAGTATATTACGCAATAGATAATTCTTAAAGACATTTAAATTAGAAGATACCTTCTCTAGCTTTGCAGAAACGCTGAAAGTGGTTGCTAGTAAGCACACAAACTCAAACTTCTAGAATTTTCCTCATTGTTACCTAATCCATTGTTTGCTCATCATAAATGACCTCACATGTAACTGCAGGCCAATGTTCACTCAGGTAAACTACAGTTTACCTGAGTGAACACTGTATTTCCCTTACTCAGTTTTAGCATATTAACTACAAAGGACTAGCAAAAATAAAATAGCATACTTTAATCTTTCAATGTTCTCGTTGAATATGGACTATAAACTAGTTTATACTTTTATAATAGAAAGTGATAAGTATTTCACAAGTAAACAGCTATTTCTAAATCTTCGTTTCTATAGAGGTTTTGGGAATAACACTAAAAATTTGCCATAGGTAAATGAGCTACTCATATTCTAAGATAATAAAAACAATTATTTAAATATGTACTCTCTACTATCCATTGATTTGGGAAAAATCATATTCAAATTGTGATATATTAATAGGTACCTGAAAATATATTGGGCTACTTATTCATCTTGTGGCTATATTCCATTTATTTTTCATCCATCATAAAAAGAGGAATATCTTCTTCCTATAGCAGAAAGTTTCCAGAGTGCTTGAAGGCTTTGAGAATTTGTTGAAAACAAGGGAAATACTCTGATTTCCAGAATGAAACATTTCAATCAGCAGTTATTTATATCTTCCTCTTAGTATCTTTAATCAAATAATTAAAACCCAGCAGAAATTAATAAAAAATATTCCTCATAAATGTATTAGTCCGTTTTCATGCTGCTGATAAAAGCATACCCAACTGGGAAGAAAAAGAGGTTTAATTGGACTTACAGTTCCACATGGCTGGGGAGGCCTCAGAATCATGGCAGGAGGTGAAAGGCACTTCTTACACTGCGGTGGCAAGAGAAAATGAGGAGAAAGTAAAGGTAGAATCCCCTGATAAACTGATCAGATCTTATGAGACTTATTCACTATCATGAGATTAGCATGGGAAAAACCCGTACCCATGATTCAATTACCTCCCCCTGAATCCCTCCCACAACATGTGGGAATTCTGGGAGATACAATTCAAGTTGATATTTGGGTGGAGACAGAGCCAAACCATATCATTCCACCACTTGTCCCTCCAAACTTCATGTCCTCACATTTCAAAACCAATCATGCCTTTCCAATAGTCCCCCAAAGTCTTAACTCATTTCAGTATTAATCCAAAAGTCCACAGTCCAGTGTCTCATCTGAGACAAGGCAAATCCCTTCCACCTATGAGTCTGTAAAATCAAAAACAAGCTAGTTACTTCCTAGATACAATGGGGATACTGGTATTGGGCAAAGCCACTGCAAGTGGGATAAGTTGGCCAAAACAAAGGAGTTACAGGACCCCTGCATGTCCTAATTCCAGCAGGGCAGTCAAATTTTAAAGCTCCAAAATGATGTCCTTTGACTCCAGGTCTCACATCCAGGTCATGTGGATGCAAAAGGTGGGTTCCCATGGTCTTGGGCACTCTGACCCTGTGGCTTTGCAGGGTACAGCCTCCCTCCTGGCTGCTTTCACAGGCTGGCATTAAGTGTCTGTGGCTTTTCCAGGTGCATGGCACAAGCTGTCAGTGGAGCTACCATTCTGGGGTTTGGAGGATGGTGGCTCTCTTCTAAAAGCTCCACTAGGCAGTGCCCCAGGAGGGACTCTGTGTGGGGGCTCCAGCCCACATTTCCCTTCCACACTGCCCTAGCAGGGGTTCTCCATGAGGTCCTTACTTCTGCAGCAAACTTTTACCTAAGCATCCAGGTGTTTCCATACATCTTCTGAAATCTAAGTGGAGGTTTCCAAACCTCAATTCTTGCCTTCTGTGCTCCTGCAGGCTCAACAGCAATGTGGAAGCTGCCAAGGCTTGGGGCCTGCACCCTCTGAAGCCACAGCTCGAGCTCTATGTTGGCCCCTTTCAGTCATGGCTAGATTGGCTGAGACACAGGGCACCAAGTCCCTAGGCTACAGATGGCACGGGGACCCTGGGCCTAGCCCATAAAACCACTTTTTCCTCCTGGGCCTCTGGGCCTGTGATGGGAGGGGCTGCCGTGAAGGTCTCTGACATACCCTGGAGACATTTTCCCCATGGTCTTGGGGATCAACATTAGGCTCCTTGCTACTTATACAAATTTCTGCAGCTGGCTTGAATTTCTCCTCAAAAAATGGGTTTTTCTTTTCTACTGCATCATCAGGCTGCAAATTTCTAAACTTTCATGCTCTGTTTCCCTTTTAAAATGGAATGCTTTTAACAGCACCCAAGTCACCTTTTGAATGCTTTGCTAAGCATTCAATCTTCCAGATTCAGCAATACCAGATACCTGAAATCATCTCTCAGGTACTTTGTTCAAAGTTCCACAAATCTCTAGGGCAGGGGCAAAATGCTGCCAGTCTCTTTGCTAAAATATAACGAGAATCACCTTTGCTCCAGTTCCCAACAAGTTCCTCATCTCTGTCTGAGACCACCTCAGCCTGGACCTTATTGTTCATATCACTATCAGCATTTTTGTCAAAGCCATTCAACAAGTCTCTAGGAGGTTCAAACTTTCTCACATTTTCCTGTCTCTTCTGAGCCCTCCAAACTGTTCCAACCTCTGCCTGTTACCCAGTTCTGAAGTCACTTCCACATTTTTGGGTATCTTTTCAGCAACACCCCACTCTACTAGTACCAATTTACTGTATTAGTCTGCTTTCACACTGCTGATAAAGACTGGGAAGAAAAAGAGGTTTAATTGGACTTACAGTTCCACATGGCTAGAGAGGCCTCAGAATCATGGTGGGAGGTAAAAGGCACTTCTTACATGGTGGCAGCAAGATAAAATGAGGAGGAAGCAGAAGTGGAAACCCCTGAGAAAACTATCAGATCTTGTGAGACTTATTCACTACCATGAGATTAGCATGGGAAAGACCCACCCCCATGATTCAATTACTTCCCCTGGGTCCCTCCCACAACACATAGGAATTCTGGTGGATATGATTCAAGTTGAGATTTGGGTGGGGACACAGCCAAGTCATATCAATAAATAACATAAAAGGTGCCATGAAAATCACACATTACTCTAGATAAAAACGTATTTTTAAATTGTCATGTATGTTTAATTAGAAATGTAAAAGACTAAGACAAATATGAATTCCCACTTCGGTTATGTAAAACAAGCTAAGCTGCTGGGAACTTTTGGAAGACAATGTTTTAGGATAAAAATCTGATATGTAAAATAAAATAAAATATAGAAAAAAGTTTTTAAATGTAAATTGAACATAATTAAAAAAACGAGGTAGTGTGAGAGGTAAATGAAGTAGAGAATAAAGATTTGGCTAAACCCTTGAAAATACTGGCAAAGATACATAGAAAAATATAACTACATTTTGTTTTGCCCTATCTTCTAACTCTAGAACAAAGCACCCATGAAGTAAGCACTTAAGCTACTGGGAGAAACATCCCTAAGAAATATTTTAAGTGTGTTTTGCCTCCAGATAAACACTGTCTACACCTGCGAACTTGTAGCTTCATTGGACTGTTTTCAAATATTCTTACCAAACACTATTATTGCATGTTACATGTAACATCATGATTAAAGTCATTGTGAGAATTCCTGTTTTACAAAGGAGAAAGTCTGAAAAAAAGTGTTTACTTCTTGAAGTTAGGTGCAAACAGCTACATTCCAGTAGACACAGCAAAAACAGGTCAAACTCACATGGGATTTTTTTTTTTTTTTTTTTTTTTTTTTGTCATTGCAGAGCACATAAAATAGATCTGTACATTTTGGTAGTGTTTAGAATGCCTGGAGTCTTACCTTCTCTACCTTTTTAAACTCTCTTTTCTTTTCCTTCTCCCTCAGCCCCTTTTTTCTTTTCCTTATTCTCTTCAGTTCTATTCTTTACTGTTGTGAATTTCATTCTGGTCTTAAAAAAAAAAAAAGCTGTTACGGCCAGGCGTGGTGGCTCACACCTGTAATCCTAGCACTTTGGGAGGCAGAGGTGGGCAGATCATGAGGTCAGGGGTTCAAGACCAGCCTGACCAACATGATGAAACACTGTCTCTACTAAAAAAAATACAAAACCTAGCTGGGCGTGGTGGCACACGCCTGTAATCCCAGCTACTCAGGAGACTGAGGCGGGAGAATCGCTTGAACCCAAGCCGTGGAGATTGCAGTGAGCCAAGATTGAGCCACTGCACTCCAGCTTGGGTGATAGAGCGAGACTCCATCTAAAAAAAAAAAAAAGCTATTACAGCCCTATGAGGATGATTACTCCTGTAATGAAGAATGATGGGAAATTTGTCTCCAGGGCTGGAAGTAGGCCTGAAAATTCTGTAAGTACTTTGTGTTGGCCAAAGCAGGCTCACATTGTGTGTCTTTCATCTTTGATGCTTACTAGAGCACTAACATATTAGTCAGAGAAGAAAGACTTTCTTCTATTTTGTAATCCTGTGACACCACTTTAAGTACAGTGGCTGGTAGCAACTCCTTGGTGACCCTTCAGAATTATGAGAATCGGGCAAAGTTGATGGCTGCTACCCGTCAGAGCAGGAGTCCAGTTTATAACCGTGAGTTGATCCTGTGCCTCTCCCCTGATGAGGATTTGTGTTTCTGCCAGAAGCTTTGCTCCAGGTACTGATGAAACCAAAGTTTTGGAAATAGAAAGTGCTTCCTGAGAGATGACTAGCTTTGCAACTACTATTCAAAGAATAAGTAGAGTGTGTTTTAGAAGATGAGTATTTCCCACAAATGACAGAATGTTGGACTTAAAAGGTTCTGTGGCAGTTTGGGAGGTGACAGTTGATAGTTGTGAAAGTTGTTGTCTCTGAGATTCGTGAAACACGCCGCTTTTTAGAATGCCTCTGAAAGAACAAAGAAGTCACTGGCACTCGACTATAATATGCTAAAAAGTTTCTGGTTCCAACAGCACACAGCCAGCATCAGGTGTTTTCTTTTTTGATAAATGCAGGCGGGGTGTGATGTGGGAGAACATTTTGTGTTTTCCTGTGAGAAAAAGATAGTAGAAAAGAAAGTAAACACTTTGAAATGGCAAATCTCTTTCTTCCTCCCTCCCCTCTGAATCCAGTAATCAAAAAACTGTGAACTTTTTTTAAATTTTATTTTTTTTCACTGTCAGTATTCAATATAACTGTGAACTTTTTAAAGGAAGATGTTTTATTCTTTGAGAACCCCCTTACTAGTTAGATACCTCTAAGTGAGATATAGTTGTTTAATTTTTCCAAGGGCTAAGTCAGTAACATGCTGGACAGTTGAGTACATGCAGATAAGACAAAGAAATGAGACCTGGGCCTAGTCCAAGCCCATAAAGGATGGCAGTAAAGTCAAAATTCCCCTACAACTTCAGGCTAGGAACTACTACATTCAATGAGATGGAAAGGCTACTATTCCTAAATATTTAGTATTTATTTTATTTAGTCATTGTCCATCTTATCACTTACCCTCAAAATATTCTTTTGAGCAGTAAGTTAAGGCTGTTTTTAGCTCGCAGTTGATTGACTACCATTACTCAAGCCATTTGGGCTGTTGGAGCTCACCTTTAATTAAACAAGATTCTTATGAAAAACTTGAGAATGAAATCTGGTTGTAGGTATTCCTGTACTTTTGGATTAGTCTAAGGCTGAAATTTCGCACTCACTCCGAAAAGAACATCAGAATCATTTCGACCATGCTATGCTGCACAATAAGGAGTAGTTCAAACGACAACTTTTTTTGATCCCAGGTGTTTTATTATAGGGTTTTCTGATAGTCTTACCGGAAAGGAAGTTTTCATTCTGCTTGGGAATCTGGGGATGTCTCTAGCCATTTCTAAACTTCTACAGTGCTTCCCCCACGAACTAAAGATAACAGGCAAGCAGTTTCCATTGGAACTGTGTTAAATCGACATCTGAAATGTTCATTGCTTATAATTTGATCTTATTTAATTTCCCAAAAAATCATTAGTTACTAGGTATTGCTAAGTACCCACGTTCGGGAAACGCATCTTTTTTTTTTTTTTTTCACGGTTATTAAAACCGAGGGTGGGGGGCGGAGGACGCACGTGGGAACCCACCAGGCGCCTCAGCTTCTGCACTACAACTCCCAGAAGGCGCCGCGGCCAGGAAGCCGCTTCTGGACGGGCGTTCCCGCCCCTCGCTGGGCTTGGTAGTTGGGGCGCAGCCGCGGTGGCTGGGCGCGGAGTGTGCGTGGCCTGAGCCGTGCGGGTGACTGCTTCAGGGCTTCTCCGCGACTGGACCGGGCGCCGCTCGAAAGCACGCCCTCCATTCGCACTGCTTGTTGGGCTCATCATGAAGCGCTTGGGCTCCGTGCAGCGGAAAATGCCGTGTGTGTTTGTGACGGAGGTGAAAGAGGAGCCTTCCTCCAAAAGGGAGCATCAGGTACGGAGGAGCGCCGGGCAGGCTTGGCGGCCCGCGTGGGCTCCTCCCCGCGGCGCTGGCTCAGTGCGAACCCGGCGAGGGCGGCTGGGCGCTTTAGAACTGCCCTGCAGGCCAGGAACCTCTGTAGGTTTCCCTGGGGAGGTCTGGGGTGGGAGTTCCGTACGCCCTGAGCTCCAGGTTCTTGTACTTTTCTTAGTTGTGAGGGAGGGAATTTGCGAAAGAATTTTCCTTATCAGGAGATTCAAACTTGTCCTCGCAAGGAAATGGATAACTCACATCCACAGCATGTCCCTTCCTTTTCAGGTCAGCACCTTTTGGGGAAACCCCCTAATCAGGTAATTGCCACAGTCCAAGCTTTACTACTTTTCAAGAGTGCAGTAAGAAAGGGTGGATATTAGAAGACTTGCTTTACCTGTTCTGTCCGAACCAGTGGCGGTGTTGACAGTAGCCTAATTAGGTCACTGAAGTTCACACCTCATATTACCAGTAATTACTTAATTTATTCTAACTTTGGTGTTCTCAAGGTTTTCTGTTGCAGCAACGTGTTTTCCATAGTGTGCCCTCGGTAAATGCTAGTGAGTAACCTATATTTGGGTAATTTTTTCATATTGTACTATAAAACGTTGTAGTCTTTGATCAGTAGAATCCCCAGTGATTAGTTGGGTGCTTCCCAACTTTGCTGATTTCAAACAAAACCAACATGTCCATTGGAAATCCACCTCACTTGAGTTTCATCATTGGCACTGGCTTTCTCGTCTTCTGGACTAAAACTTGTTTAAGGCAAAGATTGCCCTGTTATCTTTAGTCCCAGCTTCTAGGACCTGGCACGTGGTAGGCACTGGATAAATATTTGTTGAATTAAAGAATGAACCCTGGAATCATTTCATGCCAGTTTTCCATTCACCTTGATGCTTTTTACCTTATAGCATCTGATCTTTTCCTGCTTTCTAGTGCTGTCACAGCTGTTACAGTTAATATTTCATGTCCTGCTCATTGCACCACCTAACTGGTCTTACTTGCCACTCAGACTGATCATCACCATGTTCTTTCCTCGTCAGAATACCACAGTTATTACTCAATGTTTGTAGCAGTAATTGGCTTTTTTTTTTAGCTGTAACAAATGTAATCCATATGAAACATTATCATCTGTTTTAGTATTTCACTCTACTGTGATTTTCAACTTCGTATGTTTGAGGGGAGTAGTTTGTGAAAGTATTCTCCACCAGGGAAAATAAGCAGCCCCTTCTCTTACCTCTCTGCAGTTAAGAACAGCTTACAGTATCGTTTATAGCATAGCATCCACATTCTTAATTATAATTCAGGGCCTCCCACTAATGAGGCTCAATCTACCTTCCATCGTCCTTAAAGTGGATTCTGTTTTAACCATCTATTTCATCCTGTGAACATATCAACCACAATCCTGTCTCATATTTTTGCTCAGACTGTTCACTCTGGATCACCTCTAGAGTGTTTTTAATTTTTCAAGTCAGTTCTTCTCCATAAAATCTTATCAATTTAGCCATTTCAGTGATTTCCCCTACCCAGAAATTGTAGAGGGCCACTCAATTGATATTCACTATTTTAATACACGTACCTTGTTTTTCCGGTAATAGTCTAAAGCCTTTTATGACAGGTGGAGAAGGAGAACTTTGTGTACCCCTCAGTGTCTCGTGTTGTCCTTTGGATATGTCGATAGCAAAGAGCAGATGATTGATTTTTATGGAAGGAATGTTTATACTCATCAGGAGCTCCATGGGGCAGAGTAATCTTCCCCCCCACATAGGATCTTTGATAAATTTAGATACACACACACTGCTATTGGACCAGACCCTGTGGCTCTACCACCCTGGGTTAAATTGATATCCTTTGAAACCAGCATCATAAGTTAGTGAAAACCAGTTGTATTTTTAAAGTACTGAATCCCTACTAGACGATTATATTTTAAAAGTATTGAATCAGTACTAGAAGGGGCTAATTTCTTAGTTTACCTGTTTGCAATAGTGCATAAGTCTTAAGCTCACACACAGCAGTATGTTTATATTGTACAGTGTTGTTTCACTTTGTAAGATGATGCTACTTCAGATACAGACTATAGAAGTGGCATAAGTCTTTTTCAGAAATGAAAATAAATTATAGATAAAAAGTTAGTAGGAACCCAAGAAACTGCCTTTTCCTCATCCTTGGTGCCCTTCTTCTTCCTGACAGTAGAAAAACCATAAATTAAATATGTAAACAGCTGACTACTGATAAAGCTGAAAGGGACAAAAAGTGAGTACTCTCAAAGCAAACAAACTCAAAGGAAAAACAAAAGGCAAGTGATTCTTACTAGTTTTAACGGTGAAAATTGTTAGGGGAAAAACATGAAAAAAACAAAATCAACTTCAAATCTTGAGTACTCATGGTGCAAAGACATAGAACTAAAATGGTTCTGAAGTATACGGTATAACATCTCTAAGATGGCATAGTGGGCCAGCTTGTGCTATCAGTGGGGCTGTATTTACAGGAGTGCTAATATGAGGTCTCGTCTAAGAGGTGATGCCAGCGGGTTTTACTCCTTTTTTTATATTCTGCCTGCATAGTCTAGGACAAGGCCGTTCACAAACTAGATGCTCAAGCTTTGTTGAATGAGTTACCACAAAGATTTTTAGATCAACATAGACTCCTAAATACAACTTTCAAAGTAAACAATTCATCAGACTACATGGGGATGTCAGGTAACTGTGAAGAAAACTGTTGTCAAAGTGAAGCCTAACTCAAGAGTCAAGAGATTTGTTTTATAGAGGCAATTTTTCTTTTGCCATCTTGAACATTTTTTAAGTAAATAAACCATAGCTGATACAGCTCAGAAATTTAAGTTTGTAGTACTGTCATGTCTAATATAAATCACTATTAATGGTAGGAAACCATCGGGGTGAACTTTCCTTTCAGGCAGATAATATATTTTCCTAAGAGTATTTGTTGAACTTTATGATGATACATCTGAAGATTTTTAGGATATAAAACTGAATCAAGGATAGAATAGTTCTGAAAATTAAGATGCTTTTAAAGTCTGTGATCTGTTATGTTTAGACAGAGATGCAAGCTCTGTGACAATGAAGGTATACTAATGATAATTGCTTCATGAAAAGGATGAAGATCATTAGTTTTTCAGCCTGTGCTTATAATAGCACTTGTTTATCATGCAGTTGAGGAGGAAAAACATGAAAAAAGTAAATCCAGAAACCATTTGATTTTGGCTCTTAAAGAAACTTCTTGGTAGCAAATAGAAACTGATGTCAATTATATTGAGAAAAATGCACTGAAAAAGAGACAAGAAGTATGCCAAAACGTTCTTTGTGATACATCTGAAGGGTGATGACGTGGGTGATTCATTTATGCCTTTGTATATTTCATTTACAAATTTTCTATAATGAGCATCTATTAGCTTTGCAAGGAAAAAAAGGTTAAAAAAGGCAAAAACAAAGTATGAACTATCTTCCGTCTCTTTTGCCTGCTCCCTGAGAATGTGACCTGAGACAGGAGTACATTACCACATCCTTGCTAAGACTCCTTATGAACCAAGTCTTAATTAAAAAACAAGTTTTGTAAATCACAAAAATGTTTGTGCTTATAAAACAGGGGGAAAGTCTCATGTACTGAAGAGTAGATTGACTCTTGGGAAAACTGAAAATTACAATTGAAAGATACTTGTATTGAACTACCAGAAGCACTTATGAAGTTTAAGTTAATTAAGCATACAATCTAGTTTTACTTCACGCAGATCCAGACTCAATGTCTGCCTTGCATTCTTCAGACACATCAAGAAACCTTACCTTTTGTTTTTTTCCTCAGATATTTACATGGTATTCCTTTGCTTCAAATTTGGTTAAAGGTTGCCTCCTCAAAGTTTCCCTTTCCACCGTATCCAAAATAGCACCTCATCCCTCTTTCCTTTACCCATTTGTTTTTAGCACTTGCTTGTCATAGCTAACATTATATTATGCATTGTGCTTCTTTTGTCTCCCTCATTAAAATGCAAGTTTCACCCAAGGCAGGTACTTTTTTGTTCACCTCTGTATTTCCAGTGCTGAAGACAATGCTTAATCTTAGGCATTTAGTAAATAATTGCAGGTATATGATTAAATATACTGAATGCCTTTGCTAGGGATGCAGCATTGCAAAGAACAAAGGTGGATAAAGAAACGTAAATAACTACAGAATTGTGTAGAAAATCAGGTGTTGCTGTGATAGTACAGAAGGGAGCAAACAATTCGGAACTTCACAGAATAAATATTTTTAAATCATTCTGAAAGATGAACTGGAGATCATTCCTTAAAACTAATGAAATTAAGAAGATTTCAGGTGAGCATGTGTGCAAAGACATAGAGGCTATCTATCTTAAACCGGTTTTCTCTCTCTCTTTTTTTAAGCCATTTAAAGTTTTGGCAACTGAAACTGTAAGTCACAAGGCATTAGATGCAGATATATACAGTGCAATTCCAACAGAAAAAGTGGATGGAACATGTTGTTATGTTACTACCTATAAAGGTAAAATAAAACTATAATATTTACTACAAATATTACTTATTTTTCTTAATCACTTTACAGTCTATCTGAAATGAGGCATTTGCTCTTCATAAACACTTGGAAACCTAAGTATAGTAGCAAAACAAAAAGGTCACAATTGTTATAGTTCACTTATGTTACTGTATTTTCTTCCTGGTGGAAAAAAGAAAGGTAACTAAAATATTTACTTAATACCCTTAAGGGCTCAGGCAGTATGGTGCTTGACATATATTATCTCCAATTTGTACAAGTAGCCTCTCCATTTCACAGACAATAAAAATGAGGTTTAGCAAACTTAAATAATTTGTCCAAGACCCAATAGTGACTGAATGGCTGAACTGGCAATGGGACCTATGTTCGTGTGACCCTTAAGCTTGTTCTTCCTGCACTGATTCCAGGGGCTTTATTCCTCTTGGCAGTGTCTCTAATTAATTTCACTTTAATGTAGTTTAAAAGGTAGAAATGCAAATAGAAATTGTCAGTCATTTTAAGAAGAAATGTACGGAAAAGAGATTTTTTTTTTTGCAATTATTTTTGGACGGTGAGATTACCTCTCACTTCCAGAAAAAAATAGCATCTGGACACATTCCTGGGGCATTAAATGGACATCTGGACACATTCCTTGTATCAGGAAATTTATTCTGAAATGCAGTAAAATAACTGGGCTAAAGCATACATAATATTTGCCATCTTAACCATTTTTAAGTATGCAGTTCAGTGGCATTAAGTATGTTTACATTGTTGTGCTACTATCATCACCTTCCATCTCAAGAATTGTTTTCATTTTATAAAACTGAAATGCTACCCATGAAACAACTCCTTATTCTCCCACCACCAGCCCCTTGTAACCAGCATTCTCCTGTCTCTATGAATTTGACTACTCTAGGTATTTCATATAAGTAGAATCATACAGTGTTTATTTTTTGTGACTGGCTTATTTCACTTAGCATAATGTCCTTAAGGTTCATTCATGTTGGTTGCATGTATCAGAATTTTATTCCTTTTTAAAGCTGAGTAATATTCCATTGCATGTATCTAGCACATCTTGTTTATCCAGTCAACCATTGCTGGACAGTTGGGTTGCTTTCATCTTTTGACTATTGCGAATAATGCCACTGTAAACAGGCATGAACAGATATCTGAGGCTGTGCTTCCACAGAAGTGGAATTACTGGATGATATGGAAATTCTGATTTTTTGAGGAGCCACTATACTGTTTTGCATAGTGGCTGCAGACATTTACCTTTCTACCAACAGTGCACAAAGGTTCCAGTTTTTCAATTTCCTCACCAGCACTTATTTTCTGCTTTTTTCTGTTTGGATTTTTGTTTTTGTTTTTGGATAGTAGCCATTCTAATGGATGTAAATAAATTGCATTTTTTATGTTTACTGGTAAAAAAGAAACAAAAGGTCCATTGAACCAGAAACGATAATACAGTTTTAATCTGGTTCTTCATATTATTTATCTGGATAGCTAATAAGTAGTACAGAATATTTGGACCACTGTGCAGCAGTTTCTTTATAAACCTTGGATTTGTATACTTGAGAAAACTGTAAAAGATTTTTTAGACTTTGATGTCTATTAAGAAACTATAGTGTGTATCATTATGCGTGAGGACGGCAAACTGGGTTAGAATTTAACTGCTAAACTCAAGTCACAGAACCCAAAGTGACAATGCTTACAAATCCACATTTATTACTACTAAAGAATTACTACTAAATTATTACTACTAAGGCATTAAAAGTAAAGATGTGTATTATAGCCAAGGACTGTCTCACAGTAAGGAGTATGGAGAGGCCAAGTAAAAGCTACTATTGTTCCCTGCTTTAGAGCCTTGGCAGGACACATTTTCTTAGATCAGGAACCACTTATGTGTGCAGGCAAACAGCTTGGAACCAGGGAATGCAAAATGGACTCACAGCTGGAGATTTTTATATTTTTGCTGGTCACGTAGGTAGGCAGCTGATGCTCAGCTTCAACAGCAGAGCCCTCCAGGGTTCTCAGACCAAGCTATCAGTCTCACTCCTACCAATAAAGAATACTAGCACAGTGCCCTGCAACTCCTCAGATCCATGAGTACAAATCAACATTATTAGTATTTTCATGCCTTGATCAGGGGTCAGTGCCATGCAGAACAGCTCAGCCTGATTCCAGATGTGTCAGAATTAACCCTTACAGCACAGTGTTATGTTTGGGGGGAAGGGGTGGGGTAAATACAGTTATCTGGTTATGTTTCCATTTTGAAGAGGTAGCTTCAGTTGTCCATAAATGCTGCTAACTCATACAATATGACTATGCAGTGTCCTTATAAAAAAGATCATATATTTACTTTTTGTCTCATCCCCCTCATTCTTTAACCAGAGAAATAAGTCTTCTCATAGCATCAGGTACTGCTAGGAGGTATATATTCTTAGACTCCATATTTCCCTTTGTCTTCTTTGAGAAATTAGCCTCCTGTTTGTTGACAAACTGTATTCTGAAATGTCTTTCAAGATAAGTTTTGTTTGCATCATACTTTTCCTTTTGTTATTACTTTTTTAGATCAGCCATACCTTTGGGCTCGACTAGATAGAAAACCCAACAAACAAGCTGAAAAAAGATTTAAAAATTTTCTACATTCAAAAGAAAACCCAAAAGGTTAGTTTTTTTTTAACTTTTCATGTTTAAATAGCTGAAATTTGTGGCATATTTATTGCTGTGGTATTTCTATACATTATATCCTTCTGTGTAATTTAAGCAATTTAGGAAAACTATAATTGAATACTTTTATATATAAAAGGATATTATTGAAAAATATTGTAAAATATTTTTGTAATATTTGTCACTTCTTTATAGTATGAGTCTATTAAAACATACAAATTACTGCATATTGAAATGAGTGACATTTTGTGTAAGAGACAAATACGTAATTTTATAAATCAAGTACAAATCTCAGGAAATTAATATTTTTAATTATTAAAATGCTTTTAAATATCTGTAGTAGATACTCATTGTATATCTATGCATTCATGTATTTATGTTTATATTTGTATTCATAGTATATTAAAAATTCATAAATCTAATACTTAATGGAATATGATTACTTTAGTTTGACTGTTAAATACTGTATACAAATGGCGTATATGAAATTGAATATTTAAATTGTTAGTACCCTAATCTTAAGTACAGTCATGTTGTGGTGATAATGAATGGAGAATAATTGTATCACACCTGATATTATGAGGTTTTAGTAGCTGTTCCCATTTTGAGTCTGTTTAGTATTTTACGTTTTTTAAGTATCACCACATACAATATTATCTTTTTAATATTTTTTAGAATTTTTTTGGAACGTTGAGGAGGACTTCAAACCAGCTCCGGAGTGCTGGATACCAGCAAAGGAGACAGAACAAATAAATGGGAACCCAGTGCCTGATGAAAATGGACACATTCCTGGTATCATGATATCTCTTCTAGTGCAGTTTTGTGTTTACTAGTAAAATGATCAAAATATCCATTCAATCAGAAATTACAGAATTTTAATCTGGGTCTTCATTAATATGTATAGCACAGAATTTCTGAATCAAATTTATGTAAAGTCCTACATACATTTTATATCAAAGATGTTTCATATCAAGAATGTCCTCTTAGGTTTAGAATCTTTTCTAAGATGGGCATTTTTTACTAGCTGTAGTCTGTGACAATAAAGCGTCAAAAGAGAATAGCCTTGAGGCCAGGTGCAGTGGTCACACCTGTAATCCCAGCACTTTGGGAGGCTGAGGTGGGTGGATTGCTTGAGCCTAGGAGTTTTAAGACTAACCTGGGCAACATGGCAAAACCCTGTCTCTACCAAAAATACAAAAAATTAGTTGGGCATGGCATTGTGCGCCTGTAGTCTCAGCTACTCGGGAGACTAATGTGGGAAACACCTAAGCCCCGGAAGTTGAGACTGCAGTGAACCATGATCGTGCCACTGCACTCTAGCCTGAGAGTTGGACTGTGACCTTGTCTCAAAAAAACAACAAAAGAAGAGGGAATAGCTTCCAAGTTCTTGTCAGGATAGATGAGATGATCTAGTCTGAAATGAGATTTCAAGAAGTGGCTATACCTTTAGATTAGGGATGGGAAAATTTTGCGAAGGTATGCTGAATAGGAAGATATCCCAGATTAAGGTTATAGGTTCTCAACCGGCATGTCTTGAGTGCCCATTATGTGCAAAGTCCTCTTAGTTTCTGGTAATACAAAAATGAAGGTCAGAACCCTTGTCCTCAATGATCTTTAATTAGACATTGGGAGAAATTAACCAATAATAGTATGATTTAAGAACTAACAGGAATGAATACATCAGGTGCCACTGGAGAAAAGAGGAATTCCTCATTCAGCTTGTGGTTAGTGGAGGCTCCCAAGAGGAGTAGACATCTGTACTGAAGCTTAAGGACCAGGAAGTCAGCTGACAAGGAAGAGGGAAGATCAGCTTAGGCAAACTCCCAGGAAGAGGGAATATCAGCTTAGGCAAACTCCCAGGAAGAGGAGAGGGCATGGGGTATTTTGAATATTTTATGTAACACTTTATTGCAGCTAGAATGTTCAGGGTATATGACATCATGAAGTGGCTGTAAAAGTTGAGGCTAGAAGTGTGGTGGGCTCAGATCGGAAAGGCCCTTTTATTCCATCTAAAGGAGTTTGAAGTTTATCCTGAAGATAATGGTTTTTAATCAGTGGTACAGCAAAAGCAAATTTAAGTTTTAGAAATAGAACTATGATAAAAGTGGGTTGGATTTCACTGGAGGCTAGGTGACCAGCAAAGAAGTTATTACAGTAATCTAGTGTGAGTAATGAAGGAATTCTGGCAATAAGAATGAGAAGGGTAATAGCAATAACATTCAATAAACGTGGCATCAGTAAATTGTTCGGTATATATTGGAACATTTTAATAAACTTGGAACACTTAACTGCATTATGTCCATTGTCCCTGAAGCTTGAGAGAAGGCAGAGAGAAAACTTATTTTATATAAAAAATTTTGAGTGCTGTGTCTTAGAATAATGTTCAGTTCTTAATGAATAAGGGTGAATTTTCTAGTAAGAGAATGCTAGGTGCTGTGTAGTGAATAATAGGTTAATTCTACAGAATAAAAAATGAACCCTTATGATTTTTTAAAAAGTAATAAACTGTTAACTTTCCCACTGAATTTTAAAGTAATATCTCTTTGCGATAGACACCCAGAAAACATGAGAAATTTACAACAAAAATATAAATTACCTGTAGTGTCAGTCCAAAGAAAAACGATCTAATAACAAATAATTTTCTTCTTTATATGATAGGTTGGGTACCAGTAGAGAAAAACAACAAACAGTATTGCTGGCATTCCTCTGTAGTTAATTATGAATTTGAAATTGCCCTGGTACTAAAACATCATCCTGATGATTCTGGACTTTTGGAAATTAGTGCAGTGCCACTTTCAGATCTCTTAGAACAAACACTGGAACTCATAGGAACAAATATCAATGGAAACCCATATGGTGAGTGAAGACTTTTTCTTGTTCAGTTATTGTAACTGACATTTATAAAGAGAACTTTCTAGGTCAACTTAAAAAACATACACACACTAAAGAAATGACTAACAAATTTGAGTTAGTTTCCTAGGATTATATCCATTTCTGTTAACTTTACATTCACAGAGAAATGAAACCATTTTATTAATCCAAAAGGTTGATTTTTATCCTCATTCTTTCCTGTAATAACATTACACAACTATATATGAAAAGTAATGACTCAGTTGTAACCCCCTTGCTTTTAAAAATTCAGGTGAGTTGAGTCGATTGATGAAAATGCACTTTTCATGGTTATTATAGCATCAATTTAAATAGCCAACGGTATAAAGAATTGGCAATGAATAATACCATGTTAAGTATCAAAATATATATCATGATGAATTGAGTGCAAGTACTGAGAGCACTATGGGTTACACCTTGCTGACAAGGGGATGGGAAGACAGACCTAAGGATGCTAAAGCTATAATAGGAAAATCCTATATGGAGATCAAAAGAAGACTGCCAGGTGTAAAGAAGCTAAGATGGTAGTTAGACAAGTTATCAGAGATACAGTGCAGCTGTTTGGCAAACGTTGAAGAATAGTTGAATGTGGCCAGTGCCACACTGGTACCAAAGGTTGGTAGACTTTTTCTGCCAAATGCCAGAGTAGGTATTTTAAGTTTTGTAGGCCACTCTTCTGAAAGGAGCTACAGACAGTACTTACATGAGTGGGTGCGGCTGTGTTCATGGAAAACTATTTACAAAAAAAGTATCTGTCCAGACTTGACCTGCAGGTCATAGTTTGCTGAACCGTGGTGGAGAGTACACCAAGGTGGAATTTAGAGTTATTGGAATAAGGTGCCAGTGCACTGGGTTATATTCTTTTTAAGGAAACCAACCAGCCTTTCTACCTTTATTCCTAAGTGTTTCAAAAGACTTTATTTGAAGAGGTACGTTTTCTAGTTCTGAAAGTTCCTTTAAATGAATATGGCTAATGGCAAATTTTCCCACTTAGGGTTAGGGAGCAAGAAACATCCATTACATCTTCTTATACCACATGGAGCATTTCAAATAAGAAATCTACCTTCATTGAAGCACAATGATCTCGTGTCCTGGTTTGAAGATTGCAAAGAGGGTAAAATTGAAGGAATAGTGTGGCATTGCAGTGATGGCTGTTTAATAAAGGTAATGGCAAAAATAGCTCCGGTGGGGTTATGTCATCTTATATTCCTACAATAGAGTAGAAGTGACACTAAAATTCTCTCTACAAATGGCAGCAATTCTTATTTGCAGTAAAGAAATTTAATTTTCTCATCCCATGTACCACCATTTTTTAAGAGGTAAAACAGTGCTTCCCAGTGTGTATTGTGTGGGGCATCGATCATAACAGGTGTGCTTCAGAATTAAAGTGATAACTATATATCCCCTGCGTGGAAATTCATGTTGCACAGTAGTGCTCTCAGAGACATCTTGTACTAACTTAACTCAGCATCTCCCAGACTTGAGTGTAGAATCTGTTGAGTAAAAAGAGTGCCAAGGTAGCAGTTGATATATACAGAATGAATTATCTTATACTTTGTTCCCTTTCTGTCTCCTGGACTTGTCTGTTTGATTTCTCACAGGTACCTGAAATTCATAATATTCAAAACTGGGCCTAGTTGTAACTCTCTGAGTCCACATAATTCACTGAAGTAAAAACTTGGATATTAATTTTAACCCCTCTTTTCATTACTTCATACATCCAGTTATCAATTCCTAACAGTTCTAATCTATGTACTTCTTCCCAACTGTTAATTTTAATTTAAGCCAAGATTCATGCTTTAACTATCATATCACCCTCCAAAAATAGTATCTTTCAGTTTTAGCCCTGTCCTCTCCATTCTTCACAAATGAATGAGCATATTACTTTCCTGCATAAATCTGTTCAGTTACATTAAACATTCATGATCTGGCCCCTACTTAATTTCCCAGAACTGCTCTCCACCTCTGCCCCCGCAAACACACTCACACTGTGTTTGCTGTAACCATATTTACATGATTGCAATTAGAGCAAAAAACTCCATTCTATCATATAACATTCCTTTCAATTAGAATGCCTCCTTGCCCACATTTTTCAGGTAGCTAGTCTGTACTCAGCAACAGGCTCTATGATTCATAACATTTTATGGAGCCCCTGATAATGTTCCTGGCATGTTTCCAGGTGCTGGACATACACAGTCAACAAAACAAGGTGTCTGCCTTCATGAAGCTCACATTCTAATGGGGAAGATAGACAATAAACAAATATGTAATATGTCAGGAGAAGACCAGCTATAAAAAAAAAAACAGTAAGATAAAGTGGAGTCTTACCCAGTACCTGGCAGACAGTGGGCACTCAAATATTTCTAAGTGAATGAAGATAGTATCTGTATGCTAAAGCTAATACCTTTTTTCTCTTTCCAGGTCCATCGCCATCATCTTGGCTTATGCTGGCCAATTCCAGATACTTACATGAATTCAAGACCAGTTATTATCAACATGAACCTGAACAAATGTGACTCTGCCTTTGATATTAAGTGTTTGTTTAATCATTTTTTAAAAATAGATAATCAGAAATTTGTTAGACTCAAAGATATAATATTTGATGTATAAAATGCAAATAAAATTAGTTTATCATTATATTCTAATCTTGAATATTCTACCATATTTAAAAATATCTCAAGGTTTCTGTTCATTATGAAACATCAATATGTTTTCTACCATTTGTGAAGAAATGAATTTTCCAGTTTCAAGTACCTATTCAAAATTTTATTAAAAACCAGCAAATTAATTTTAATCTCTAGCCATAAAAACATAAGTAATAGTAAGCTCCTAAGCTTGGACAAAGGCTGGATTCTCTTCACTATAACTGAGTGGTAATTTAAAGACAACAATTTAATGTCACTAATTTTCAAAATTAAATAGTTTAAGCTCAATTTAATTTTGCTAGATATTTAACAAAACATACGGCTCAACCTCATAACCTATATGTGTGTATGTCTACATCTGTGTATATATCATAGGATTTGAGAATCTTAACACATGTATAAATAAGTATATATAAACTCCAATTTTAAATCTTAAAATTGCTGAATTTACCCTCATATTCTTTAAAAAACTTAAAGCATTATGAATGTAGAGAAATTCACCAGAGCTCACTGCCTATTTGATGGCTGTAACAAGTCTTCAAGTATATACTTTTATAATAAGTTGAAAATTTCATATAATTTTATTTATTAAGAATTCCAATCTAAGTATAAAGGTACAAGGTAGTGAGAAGGAAATACTACAGTTCGGAGAACTGCTTATTTCCAAGTATATTTAACTTATAAAGTTAATAAATAGTTAAATGAAACAAAGTTTATAGGTGACCTTTAGTAAATGGGGAAATTAACAGGACTTTCTTCTTCATCTTCAAACTCTTCAGAAGCAGCAACAGGGCTAGTTAATTCAACTCCCAATTGTTCTGAAAGTTTTTTTACCTTCTCTTCTAAGAGAATATTCTTCTTCACTTCTTCCTTGTAATTATACTTAAGATCTTCAATTTCTTCAAAAAATGAAGGATCAAAATTTTCCAGTTCTTTTTTCAGCTTCTTTATTTCCTCCTAATGGAAACATTATCTTTAAAAGTTGCATATAGGAAATATACATATTTTACGTTTGAACAAGGAGATTTAATTGTAAATATGAAAGCCAAAGTATTCCTGAATGGTCAAATACAGCAATAAAGGCAGAAGAATTAAGATTTTTCTTTGTTCCATTGTACAGTGTAAATAACTAAGTTGTTAACTGTCAAGTCCAGTTATGTATTCTGTAAGTTGTGTTCTAGTCTTTGACTAAAATTTATCATCTCTTATAATGGGACTTAATCTTTCTCTAAAAGCATATAAGAGCTTGTCAATAGAGCAATCAATCAAAAAGATTTTGTGATTCATAACATTGAAGTTAGTCTGGTTAAGAGTTTTGGTTTAGACTTCATTTATATTTTCCTTACTAATATCTAATATTTAATGAATAATGATCAATTTTTTATAAAGTTATTAATATGATCAGGGAAACCTTTGGGACTTCTGACAGGCATCTGGTGAAGAGACAATTCAAGCCTTAGTGACTATTTAGAATAGCCAGTGATCACTAGCTAATTCTCATATCCATGCCTTTTTGTCCTGTTTACAGTCTTAAAAGAGGTAAAACAGCAAATATTTTTTTAAGGGAACTATAACCTTAGGATTCCTGAAAAGAATTTCAAAAAAAAAATAAAGACACTGTTGCCAATGTGACCCAAAACTTAAGAACATACTAATGGCATATATTTGTTACAATTAAAAAATAAATTTACTACTTAATCCTATGTTGAGTCTGAATTTTTTGTTAACTCTAATATGTTAGGAATAGTCAGATGAACATAATTAACTTTGCAATATAAAGGTCAAATATAAGATGTTATTACTGAATTTTTTAGGATACGTAGTTAAAGATGGTAATGAAAATAGTTTTCAACAGCTGTTTTCACAAAACGATACTAAAATATAATTAAATATTACCTTCAAATGCTGCTTTTCTAGATCTGACATTTTGAGCTGTGTCTCTAGATCTTTTATTTTTTCCTTTAGTTGATCAGCATCTGTTGAAAAAGTCATACAAATTAGACTCAGCTTTTTCCCACTACGAATGAGTTCAAGGTAATGGATTTGTTCTAGAGAACAGAGATACATTTTATGAAACCTAGAACCTGGAAAACACTGGATGTTATGGCTGAAATACTTCAGGATGTAAACACTTAATGCTGCCTCCCTCCATCAAGTATTATAATTTCATAGCAGGCAGAAAGAGGTATGTGCTAGGTATTAGAAGTGTAGGCCAAGTTATTTTTTCTTCACATGATAGAAATTTTACATGGAAAAAATCCTAAAGCCAGGGAAACTTGTTAGGTACTAAAAGTACAACAGAAGAAAAGCAGACTGTTGGGTAAGGGACTATAACCATAAGCTAGCCAAATGCTCCCGCTATCCAACACAACACTGGCTATTCCATGTAGGTTATTACACATTTACTGTGCAATTACTATGTGCAAAACGTGTCATGCAGGCTGTGTAATACAAAGATAAGTAAGACATAGCCCTGATACTTTGGTAGGAAAACAAAAGTCTCCAAATATAGCACAAAAGTTCTAATTTATTGGATTCACCCTCCAAGTTAACACCTCTAACTTTATCAGCAGGCAAATAGGATTTTTGCTTTAATGCTATCTTTGCTAGATATCTCTTTTCTTTATATTATACTACATTTAATAAGTCATATTTTACAGCCATTGAAAAATAATAAAATACTAAAAGTTTGCGAAAGTAAGGGGCAGCAAACATTTTCATGGCTGGGACAAGTATCTTTTTTTTTTTTTTTTTTTTTGAGACAGTCTCACTCTGTCGCCCAGGCTAGAGTGCAGTGGTGCAATCTTGGCTCACTGCAACAACCACTGCCTCCCAGGTTAAAGCGATTCTCCTGCCTTAGCCTCCCTTGTAGCTGGGATAACAGGCAAGTGCCACCATGCCTGGCTAATTTTTATATTTTTAGTAGAGACAGGGTTTCACCATGTTGGCCAGAGTGGTCTCGAACTCCTGACCTCATGTGATCCACCCACTTCAGCCTCCCAAAGTGCTGGGATTACAGGTGTGGTGTGCTACTGTACTGGGCTTGGTATAAATATCTTAAAAGTTATCTTGCCATTTATATAGACAGTGATTTAGAATTTCCAAAACAGTTCTGGTTTGATCTTAAGCCTTAATCTTTGAAAAATGACAGGTAATCTGTCTACTTAGGAAATAAGGAATTTTGAGGGTTCAGAAATTCCCTTAAGAAACTGAGGAATGGAAAGATTAGAGAACTATCTATGGCCATATGACCCTTAATGCACATGCACCTGATCTCTGATCTCAGAAGCTAAGCACTGTTGGGCCTGGTTAGTATATGGATGGAAGGAAAATTATAAAATTTTCCTCACATCAACAGCATTAATACTGTGTCTAGTGTACATACCAAGCTGGCTGCTATGAGACATATTTTGAGAGTATTTAATATGTACTTTTAGTTACCAAGACGTAGCATAGCATAGCGGGTTAAGGACTAGGAATGCCAAGGAGCTGTGGAGTTTCATACATTTAGATTTTAATCCTGCCTCTATTTCCTAGCTGGCTTAGGGAATGGTTACTTAACCACTTTGAATTTGTTTATCACATAAAATGGAGACAGTAATACCTATCATATATGGTTGTAAATATAGAATGCTTGTAAGGCAATTAGCATAGTGTCTAGTACAACTCACACATGATGGCTTTTATTACAAATTAGTAATAGGACTACATAGCATACTGAAAAAGCTACAAGAGATAGTCAAAGATAGTTCAGATATAAATTGGTATAATCCTTTGGAGAGAATGGCATCTCTATCATCCTATCACAATGGCATAATTAGGTCAATAGATTAATCATATTTTATAGAAGCAGAAACTTGGAAGCAAACTAAATATCCATCAAAACATAAATGGTTCGATGTGCTTATACATGCAATAATACACTATGGAATTATTAAATGGATGAGATAATTTATGAACAGACCTCAAAAGATGTCCATGATAAACTGTTAAAGGCAAATATGCTAGAAATGTGTATAGTATTAGTTCAATTTTATGTTACTTGCCAAGAAAATATATATACGTAAATGCAAACAAAGTATTCTCTATCCATAGTAGTTTTGGTCTATAAAGTTAGCCCAATTAGTGAATATCAAACCACTGCTGCTACGGGAAATATGTACAGACATGCATATATATACATACACGCATATATATACATACACGCATATATATACATACACCTACATATCTCACACAGATGATAATCTTAAATCCTAAAGATAACTCATCCTGGTAAATTCTATTTATTTACATAAGAAAACAAGATTCAGAAGTGTTACATGACTCTCCTAAGGCTAGAGCAGTAACAAGCCTCAGAATTGGGATTCAAATCCCTTCCACCAGGCCCCAGAGCCACAGCTTCTTGCACTATGCTGTGCTGCCCTCTACTGTCTCCATCCTCTGCTCATTTCTCTATGAAAACTGAAATGAGGATACTGAGCACTGCCTTGTTGGACTTCTGCTGGGGACATGTAGGTTGGATTATTCAAACTTTCCAAGGCTCTGTGGATGTTTGCAAATGTGCTGCGAGTGTTGATTTGGGATTACATACACACTTTAGTGAGGAGGTGATTTAGAAAATACAGAATCCACAAATAATGAGGATATGTACATTGTACATATGAACATACAAACACATGTATGCATATGTGTGATATATATGTATACAAAATATGTGTGTATGTATATGCAGGAATGAGGAATGATTAGTAATCACTTTTGAATGGGAATGGAAGGGAGCAGAAAGATTTTCTTTTTACTTTGTAAACGGAAAAAAATATAGGCAGTATTTACTTATTTGCAGTTTTTAAAAATGTTCAGAGGACTTGAAAGAGCCTATACTTAGAAACTGGAAGCAACAGATTTAGTATTCATTGCTTAGCACTGTATTGTGATTAAATCTGTAACACCCAGATGGAGAACAAAGAGAAGAACACTTGGGTACTTGCTACTCTATAGTATAAACAACACAAAGAGAAAAATGGGAATATTTTTATATTAATAGCACAGAGAGACAAAAGACCCAAAGCTTATCAGGAATTCGATTTTACAGGGAGACAATGATCAGAAATCTGAGCCAAAAAAAAAAAAAAAAGGCAAACCCAAATTCAAAAACTTGGGGGTAGCTAACATGTTTTTTAAAATACATTACCAGGTATGGTGCTTTCAGCTCCACTTTGGTCCTTGTTAGCTTCTATCTGATGGATTAATTCTGCTTTCTCTTTATCCAGCTGATGATTAGCTAATCTAGAACACAATGATAATGTGTTAAAAAAATAAAGCAGATATTGCTTCATAAAATATATGGGCATTTCTTATGAACTAGTGATGTACAGTAATCAGAACAAGCTAGCCTTTATCGAAGTAAACATTTACTCTCAATGCTACAATGTCACCATTCTCAAACAAAAAGCCTGGAATACAAAAGCCTTCACGTTTTTCTTAATATCTGACCTGATGGCATTTGCAAGTGTGGTTTCGTTATAAGAGGAGCTTAATGAAAGCAGGCTACAGAGACCCCTGAAAGTAAAAAAATTACTTGTTCTCTTTCATTAGTATTTTCCTCTGGGAAGCTAAGGTTTAACTCATTCTATGCTCTTAGAAAAGTTTAAACTAAATTACAAACTGGAAACTTAGAGTTGGGTTTATCCTTTTTTTCTAGTGTGTATTATGAAAAAGAGTGATTAGCATTAGAGGGAAGAAATAAGGACCTAATAAGCCTGTTAGGCAGTAAAGTCGAAAAATGCTTGTCTCTAGTTGTAGCAATTCGGAGTATATAAAAACTAATAATTTTTTTTTTAAAGAAAAAAACAAAGTAGTCATATGAATACATGATGTACCTAAGAACTTGAAGCTCCCGTTTAAGGCCTTGCTCTGTCTCAGCACCTTCAGGAACATGTTTAAGAATCTTAATCTTTGAGGACAATGAAAAGTTAGAAGATAAGGTTTGCCATGGAAATATGAGGATTTATAAAGATACACATTTTTAACAAAGCGTAATATTAAAATATGGTTTTCAAAAGCACGCATAGGCAAATTTCTATGTTCTATTCACCATTCATTCAACAAGTATTGAGTAACTACTGCATAACTGGCATTGTCCTAGGCACAGAGGCTAACAGCAGTGAACAAAATGGCAATGTTCCATCTTGCATGGTCCTTGTTTAGTGGGGAAGCACAAAGAATGTGTGTTTAATATGATATGATGTAATATAGTGCCAGATGGTAGGAAGAGCTATCAAGAAAAAATAATCCAGGGTAAGAGGATAAAGAGTGATGGCAAGTAGTATAGGGTTAGGGTTAGGGTTAGGGAAGGTCTCTCTAAGGAGCCTCTATTTCAGCAGAGACATGAAGTCTGGGAGCAAGCTATGAGAATATTTGGGTGAACAGTATTCTAAACAAAGGAAACAAGTATAAGGACTTGACGCTTAAACGAGTTTGGATTGTTTAAAGTACTGAAAGAAGGTTACTGTGGTTAAAACATTGTGAATGAAATGAAGGGAAAAGTAGTAGAAGATGAGATTGGGAAGAAAACTGGGTGCCAGACCTCATATGTTGTTTTGGGATATGAAAAGAACTTTTAAGTTTTATTTTAGGGTGATGGAGAACCACTGGAAGATTCTGAGGATAGGACTTTGTGCTTTGTGATGTGCTTTATGTTTTAAAAGGGTTACCTGGCAACTGTGTGGAGACAGCCCAGAAATAGAAATAGGGTGAAATAATCCAAGAGTGGAAGCTGAGATACCAGCTTGGAAATTATTGCAGTTATTCAGGTATAAAACAATAGCTTGGACAAGACTGGTAGTGATGTCTCAAGATACCAAGAAGTGGTCATATTTAGGATATAGTTTGAAAATAGAGCTGACATGATTTAATGATAGAAAATGTGGAGAATGAAAAGAATGAAGTCGTTGATGATCCAAAGTTTCTGGCTTAAGCAAATGGGTGAATGGGGTGCCCTTCAGTTAGATGGGTCTTCTTAATAGAGTCCATTTTTATCTATATAAGACAATGCAAGGAACATCTTGCGATATTATGCATTATTTTATCATGTAAAGAAAAATTACGTTACTTACCTGTTGTTCAAGGTCTTCATTGTATTTGTTAACTTTTTGTTCTCTCTCTGTTGCTTCTTTTACAAGCTGTTTAAGGTCAGTAATGCTTTGATTTTTTTTGGCAATATCAGTTTCCAATTCTTTTAACTTGGTTTCATACATTCTAAAAGTATAAGGAAAAAAAGTATAGACATGGCAAATAATTTATGTCACTGATTTAAAAGTCAGTTCAAATAACTGTACTAAAAATAAGCAAGAATATCTTATTTTACTGTTTCTTCTAGTCAAAGTTTTAGCTACATATTTATTTAGCATTAAAAAGTGGTGGCAAGAGATAAGGTATCCCTAATTAACAGATGGCCCAATCAAAATAAAGGATTTGGGTATTTTCCAAGGATGGAGCCTGATTTGACCATTTTAAAATTAATACCTTTTTTCAATCACAAAATAAGAAAATGCAAAGTAAAATTCTTCAGAATATAAAATTCTGTATTACTAGATATTCTTAGAAATATAAAGATGGCAAATAAAAAGCTTTTCTCACATACACAGACACACATAGGAGGTATCTAGGTAGGAAAACACTAAGGGAGAGGAAAAAATTGTGCAAAAGCATGGGTAAGAAAAATAGTGTATGATGGGAGAGGGATAAAGCTTGTAAAAATCTGAATAGATTTATAATCATTAAAGAAATGATTAATAGTTCAAAAAAATACAGACTCCAGAAAAAAAAAATTCATAATTGAACCAAACAGTTCTGCAGGTTCATCATACCTAAAGAAAAATAATGCTTACAATATCCAAACTTTTCCAGAGAAATGAATAGAAAGACTGCATTCTAAGTTAAAATGGCCAGTATAGCTTTGGCAACAAAATCTGCTAGGATAATACAAGAAAGGAAAATTATGATTGTCTAAATATATTCAAACAGCTTTTGATAGATCTTAGAAACTTAGATTAGAAGGGAATGTTTTTAACCTGACAGAGATTATCACAGATCTACCACAAGTAAACAGTGAAATATCAGAAGCTTACTCCTTCACTTCATCTAATTTTCTATTCAAAAGCCACCCAAACAGAGAGGCCTCCTCTGATCACCCTATCTAAAACAGCCCCCACATCACCCTGGTTTGTCCCAGTAGTCAGGAAAAGGCCTGACATAGAATACGTGTTACTAAGTTTGTTGAATAAATAATAAAGCAACTATAAAGATGTCAGCATGAGCAAGACCTGTGTCATGGGTCCCAAAAGAGATCTCTCTAAACTGCTTTATTGAGAAGGGTATATAATCCTCCCAGATTTAAACTTTAGTAACTTTTTTTCTTTTTCTTTCTCTTTTTTAATGGATTTAGGGAACCTAAATTTGAGGTCAAGGATCAAAACGAGCCTTCTCTCTGTCAAGAGATTTCTACTTAGACTTATGTCTTCTGCAATGTCTTCTGCAAATGATTTACTGAAGGCTTATGGTATGCTCAGTGACCTGTATCGTTCTCAGACGAAAAACACGTATATGATCTAAAATGCAAAGTCATCTTCAATTATGGTTAAATATCATCATCACCTCTACTAACCATTTATAAACCTTATAAACTCTTTTTGCACTAACAATTTCTTTTGTAGCCCCAAAGAGCCCTCTTAGAAAGAACTTGAGCCCACAGAAAGGATATAATTTACTTAAGATCATAGTAAGAATTAGGGTCTTTCAAAACCAGGGAAGCCACCTGGTCCTTTGAGGAAATCTAGGCAAGGTGGGCTTTTAAAAAATAATATCCAACATAAAGCAGAGTCTGGCAATAGGAGGTACTAAGTAAATATCTGTTGAATAAATAGATTTCAGAGTAACTCAAAATTCATTCTGAGTCCACATGTGATTATAGAAGAAAACAAAGGAACGACCAAGAAATCAACTGACAGGACTGCTGGCTCAGAGCCACTGCTAGGGTCCAATAAGACAGTAGAAGAGACCCCTTCTCCCACTCCATATCATCACATTTGTTATTTGTTCTCACCTTGACACTGGCTTTCTGACAGAATAATTTTTCCCAGTGTGTAGATGGGAAAAGTGAGAGCTAGAGTGGAGAAGTGTGGATTCTGGGTACTCTAGGTTTAGTATTAGGACAGGAACCAAGGCCTCCTCCAGGACTTCATGTCCATCTGGGCTGTCCTTTAATATGCCTGCTTAATCTTTCTCCTTAGACTTGGTTGACAGAGGCAAGTACAGTGCAGCAGGCCCTCTGTGGGACTTGCTGTAGCCTCACGGTACTAAGACTCCCATCCTAGTTGTAGTGATCACTATCTTGCCTCCCATCAAGACCATTCCAAATAGCAGACATGGAAGATGAAAACCTCAAAGACATCAAAGGGGACATTGGAGGTGCATGGACATAAGGAACTGTATGAGAATGTTGAGATAAAGATGAGTATGCCTTTTGAAATGGGGGCGGCAGATGTGCTAGATGGTAAAGGATACCACTTCATACAGGATGGCTTTAATGGGAAAAGACACAGGCAGGATCCCACTGGTCAATGACTTCCAGACTCCTTGAAGCAGCTGCTTAAAATTGGAAATGAGAATGACACAAAGAGCCTTTTACCTACTCATCACAGTCATGATGAACCACACATGATGATAGTGGCAACAGACTGAATGTTTACTCATAAACTACCACTACCTCTTTCATAGCCACAAAAATTAGTTTCACAGGTTGGAATCCCATGTGTTCGGGGTGGGAGAAAATCAAGTACCAGAAAGCAGAAGCTAGTAAAACATCAAAGCTGGTGCTGAATTCATCTCTTGGGGCTATCTGAAGAGAAAGTTGCCCAGGATATAACTCTAAAAGCATTGCAGCACAGCCTAGATCCAGTATGCCACACATTGTGACAAGACAGCTCAATTATTCCTGGCTCATACTTGAGGAAGCAAATTATACAATCAAGAAGCTGAAGCTGCAGTTGGAGAAAAATAGCACCCAGGAGAAGCTGAGCAGCCTCAGCCCAGGCTCATAGCTGATGACAGCTTCATGACGCACACACAGCTCCAACTCCTTCGCCCAGCCCCAGCTCTACACTGTTCCATGCCCTGCCACCCAAACAAGGTTAAACAAGTTAAACATTTCAAGGAAGAAAAAGTCTCCAACAATACTACAACAGAAAAAAAGTATTATGTTAAAACAACAACCAAACAAACTGTTCATCAGGAAGAAACCAGGTTATCCAGAATAGTGTTGTCTTTTAAAACAATGCCAAAATTTGAAATGATTAAACTTTGTACAAGTTTAAAACTCTGTTCCTACCTTGTAACCACAATGGATTTCCAGCTCTTACTGTCAGCACCTTCAAGCTGTGGACCTCTGCTTTCTGCAAACTGCAATCTCTTACCAGTCTCTTCTAGTTGAACTGTCATCTTCTCATTTAATATCTCTAAATTATTCTTTGCTATCCGTAATTTCTCTGCAGCATCAGTTTCCTATCATTAAATGCTAATTAGTATTTTATGAGAAAACATAATACTGTTCTCATAGATTCAGTGTATTCAAAATTATCATTACAAATTGGAAAACAAAAATAACCTGGGGCTCTAAATGCTGATTAAAATTTCAACAAATTCAACATCTCTCCTTTAAAGCAGCAATATGGCCAATAATAATTAGAACAACAGATCACGAAAATGAGGTCAGAGGAATATATTTAGTTACTAGTGATTACTTTAAATTTGACACTTTGTTCCTCTATATTTTTAGAAAAATGGGATAGTTTATACCTTTACACATGTAAAAGATTCTTTGTTTTGACTTCCTAATGCTTACGAGACCTAGCTATAAGCATAAGGTATGTGTAAGCAACGTAGATCATTTCTTTTTTTTGTTTGTTTGAGATGGAGTCTCGCTCTGTTGCCCAGGCTGGAGTGTAGTGGTGCGATCTCGGCTCACTGCAACCTCTGCCTCCCGGGTTCAAGCGATTCTCCTGCCTCAGCTTCCCGAGTAGCTGGGACTACAGGCGCCCGCCACCACGCCCGGCTAATTTTTTGTATTTTTAGTAGAGACGGGGTTTCACCGTGTTAGCCAGGATGGTCTCGATCTCCTGACCTCGTGATCCACCCGCCTTGGCCTCCCAAAGTGCTGGGATTACAGGCGTGAGCCACCGTGCCCAGCCTAAATGTATTAACTTTTATTATCAATGTTTTTCATGGTGGAATGTGATGACAGCAGGCATAGAAACACAATTCCTCAATCTCTTAATATCTACCTTTACAGACACTCTCATCAAGGATCTACTTCCAGTTTTTCCAAGAGGTATTAAGTAAAATAAAAATCAAAAGTTATAATCAGTCATAAAAGTCATACTTTTTTAAGTTCTTTACGAAGCCTTTCATTTTCAGCAATAATTTTTTCTGTGCCTTTGGTCTTGGATTCATAGTGCATGCTCAACTGATGCCCAAGATGAGCTTTAAGTTTTTCTAATTCAGCCTAGTAAAAAAACAAACAAAATAAAAAGTATACATTATCAAAACAAGGAAATAAAAGATAATCTTATAAACTCATAAATCTTCAAAGTAGTTTTAGAAACCATATTTGATATGATTAGAATTAAAGTCTTCATTTGAATATTAGTGAGAACGAAGTTCCCAACGTTGGCTACATATTAGAATAAATTGATGACTTAAAATAACAACAACATACATATCTGTGTCAGGACCCACCCTAAAATAATTAAATCAATTTCAGGGATGGGAGCTTGGGCATCTGTATTTTCACAAAGAGACACAGAGGCCGCAGTGGGCGGATCACGAGGTCAGGAGATCGAGACAGTCCTGGTTAACATGGTGAAACCCCATCTCTACTAAAAATACGAAAAGTTAGCCAGGCGTGGTGGTGGGCACCTGTAGTCCCAGCTACTGGGGGAGGCTGAGGCAGGAGAATGGCATGAACCCGGGAGGCAGAGCTTGCAGTGAGTCAAGATTGCACCACTGCATTCCAGCCTGGGTGACAAAGCAGTACTCCATCTCAAAAGAAAAAAAAAAGAGAGACACAGGTAATTAATCTATGCTGTCAGAGAGAAAAGTGAAAAGTATTGGTCTTGAAATAACAAGAAAGATCAGGTAGACCTACTCTATAACCCTTAGCCTTGCCTCTCATAAGTTTTTTTCTATATTTATAAAATATGTATTGTATTCATTAAAGCCATTTTATATAGTAATGAGCATATTTGAAATTTTCCTAAATAGTAACAAAACGTAAAATATTCCCCTAAAAATGATCACATTAAAAAAAATTACCTTCAATTTTTCATTTTCCTGCTCAATATTAGCCATTTTTTCACTAGTCAATATTCCTGATGCTTTTTTCAACTGTTCATTTTCTCTCTGGACTTTTTCAACTACTTTTTTCATTAAACCAATGGTTTTTTCCAGTTCTGGGATTGTCTTTCCACTTCTACCAGACTACGAAAGAATATGTTAAATCTTTAATCAAATATTTTAGTAAGTATAATACGAAGTACCAACAATACAACAGGCTTATTATACTCAATAATTCCTAATATTTGAAGTCAAAACTGTATTAATTCAATTCATCCTTAAAACAATTCTATGAGATAGGAATTATAATTTCCATTTTAAATACAAGAAAACCAAGACTTAGGAAATTTGACATTCCTAAAATCATGCAGCTAATAAGTAACAGCTTAAATAGTCTAGCCTTGATGTCTGATCAAAATGATTAAGTCTAAATAGTCTATTTAGCTAATGTTCTCTCCAGTATATCAGAGTTTTTCTTTATATGAAATAAAACCACACAAGAGAAATTGTGTCTTTAAAGAGCTCATGAGTAATTAAATTTTAATTGCAACATAATAGAGGCAATTTTCTCTAAGAAATGCTATTGCTTAGAAATACAGTTTCTGTTTAATATAAATAGAAGAGTTATCTGAAATAAAAAACCTTGCATAAATATATCAGCAGAGATGAGTCATCACTTAATAAGTTTAACTGCTTATCATTTAAAATAAAAATAATTTTTAACAGTTTAGCCAAACAGTATGCTTAATTTCTTTTTGCATTTTAGTTAATCATCCATGAATAAGAATAATCCTGAAATATAAACTTTTACATCATTTTAGTATGCACTTTCATAATTAACTTAGATAGAAAAGGTCAAATTAACACATATTTTCATTGATGAAACAAATGTTGCTGCCAGCAAGATACTGTTCTGAATATTTTTCCTTTTTTTTTTTTGTTTTAAAAGATGGAGTCTCGCTCTGTCGCCCAGGCTGGAGTACAGTTGTGTGACCATGGCTCACTGTAACCTCCGCCTGCCAGGTTCAAGCAATTCTCCTGCCTCAACCTCCTGAGTAGCTAGGATTACAGGCATGAGCCACCATGCCCAGCTAATTTTCATATTTTTAGTAGAGATGGGGTTTCACCATGTCGGCCAGGCTGGTCTTGAACTCCTGACTTCCAGTGATCTGCCCGCCTCGGCCTCCCAAATTGCTGGGATTACAGGTGTGAGCCACTGCCCCCGGCCTGTTCTGAATATTTTTCTAATAACACATAATATTTTCACTGAATCCATCATATATTTAATATTACTACCAGAATGACTCTGCATTATGATTGCTTCCATTTATGACACTCAGCAACATGAAATCAACAGGAGCTTAAGTCTTTGGCCTTGACCTCATAAGCAACATTTATTCATTATATAAAATGAATACAAAATAACATAGGGAGAAAATTACAAGAACACAAAAAAAGAGGGGGAGGAACAATGTAATTATAAAACATTATACCAAGCTGGGAAGATATCATAACAAATGGTTACAAAATGGCAGCATTGGACCAAGGACCAGTTAGCAGTTACCTCCATAAACAAAAGGATTCCTGGAAGTTAAATGTTTTCAAGGTATGGAGGCATATTCAATAAAAAGAGAGATGAAAGTATGTAAGGTATAACAGATGATAAAATACTTTGAGACACATAGAAATGCTTACTGTTTTATATTACAGATGCAGAATAAACACTGAAACTACAGGGCACTTGTAGAGGCATATCAGTACTTTTACAACATATCTAAACTTTTCATTTCTGGCTTATCACTGCTGAAACCAAAACAAATGTATGGTAAATTCTCACATACCCCTCTAACATGGCCAAGTTTCCGCTGAACTTCTGCTTTTTCTTTCTTAAGAAATTCACACATTTCCTTCAAATCTCTGACTTGATTCTGAAAGATAACAAGCAAACATGTAATAATTTAACATAGCTACAGCCATTGAAAAGAAAAGGCAAACAATTCATAAGAACCATCAATCTCTTCAACTGTATTGCCAAACCAAATAATAGGGTCTCTATATTAACAAGGAAGATTTTGAACTAAGACGTTAAATTAATACAAGAATATTGTGTATATGAAATGTCAAGGTATTTCCCACATTATTGCCTGATGCAATAATACAAATTTAGAATTCTGATTTTAACTGTCCCATATATTGCACATATAGATCCTTACCCAAATATACACAGCAAAAGGCAAATGAACGTCTAACATTGGTTCTATCAATGTAAAAACCAGAATAAGAAGCAGTACCAAAAAAAAAAAAAAGGAAAAAAAGTGCGAAAAAATGGCAGATTAGTGCCCTGAGTAAATAAATAAATAAAGTGTGAGAAGCAAGACATAGCTTAACTATATCATTACCAGTGGAATTAACAGATTGCTAACATTCTAGATTAGAAAACAAAACTGAAGCAATTAGCTAGCCAAAAGAAAAAAAAGATTCCCATAAATAGGGTAAGACTTGGAAAACCAAAGATTAAAAAATCATTATTAATATCAGAATAAAGTAAAATTTCTAAAAGAAACAAATTATTCTTATATTTTACAGTGTGATAATTTTTAATGAAATATACCACGCATCCTCCCACCTTAGGACATCTGAACTTGCTATTTCTGTTGTCTGTAATTATTTTTCTAGTATCTGTATGACTCACTTCCTTTACCCCTCCTTAGCTCTCTGTTCATATATCATCTTATTAAGGAAGACCTCCCTTACTACTCTATTTTCAGTTACACCCCTTCTCTCTCCCCATACTCTTTACACCAATCATGCTTTATTTCTCTCCTTAGCACTAACATCAGATGACATACTATTTAGTGACTTGTTTATTGTCAGTCTTCTCCACTAGAACGTAAGTCCTATGAGTATAAGGAATTTTTTGACTGCTGTTTCCCAGCATCTGGAGGAGTGTTTAATATAAAGTAGGCCTTCAACAAATAAATGCTAAAGAGCAAATGTATAAAGTATACCATCACCATGATATATTAGGAATATGCATTTTTGACTTCTTAATAAGCTAATAAAAGTAAACATAACAACTAAGGAAGGAGTTTTAGGCATTAGATTTCCTAATAAAAAACATTAAATTCACCTTTAATCTTGGCAAATCTTTATTTGCTTGTTCAAGCTGAAATTTCAGTTCAATATTTTCAGATGACAACTTCAAGTTTTCCTTCTGAAGCTCCTGTTCTCTCTGACAATGATCATCTGACTCTATTCCTGAAATCTTCAGGGAAATGAAATTAGGAATATTTTTAAAGTTTAATAAATAAAAGCCATAAAAGACATACTGGATAAGAAAATACTGTCAAAAGGTAACTTTTTTTCCTCAAAGGAATATGAGAAAATCGGAGTGTTCTGGTGAAAGCCAAAAATAAATAAGTTAGAATACAAAACTTGCAGAACAAAGGTAGTATGGTTTGTTTTAATTACAATGGAAGCAAAGCAAGTATGACTTAATAATGTCCATACATATAATGCCTTCATGTATAATTTCATAATGGTTAAACTGATCTATGGTGGTTTTACTAGTCCAAAATAAAGCACGATTGTTATCTAACCGTTATGGGTTGAACTGTGTTCCCCTTACCCTCCACATTTATATATTAAAGTCATAATTTCCAGTACCTCAGAATGTGACTTTATTTGGAGACTGGGTCTTTACAGAGGTATTCAAGTTAAAATGAGATTTCAGGGTAAACCCTATTCGACTGTGACTGGTATCCTTATGAAAAGAGAAAATTTGGGGATTTAGACACAGAGACATGTACAGAAGGAAGATGATAAAAAGAAACAGGGAAAACATGGACATTTATAAGCCAAGGAGAGAGGATTGGGAAAGATCTTTCCCTCTGATTGTGCAGAGGAAATCAACCCTGCTGATGTCTTGATTTTGGACTTCTAGGTCTCCAGAACTAAGACCATAAATTTCTATTGTTTAAGCCACCAAATCTGTAGTAGTCTGTTACAGCCACCTTAGCAAATGAATACACTAGGCTACAAAAGAACTGCCATAATTCTTTACTCCTTCGGAAAGCCCTCCTTCATTCTTTGAGCTAAAGTAATGGTTCCCTCTTTGAAAACCATTAATATTATATTTTCATTTCTTTTGACCTGAATCTACATTGGGTCATTATTTATGTTGTTACTTCTCATTCTAAACTTTATTTTTTTTAACTGTGCTTAATTATATTTTTCTATGCATTTTTTCTATAAATTAGAATACCACCTACCTCATAGGACTGTTATAAGCATCATAGGAAATAATTTTTTTTAATTATTCAGCACAACTTTCATTTTTTTCTCCTTTCTCTCTCTATTGGCTTGATGGGCTGTAAAGTCAGTTACTCCACCGACATTATGGGTCTTAAAATATATTATTATAAAATACCTATTATACACAACTTTATAACATCTTTTAGATCCAATGACTGCATGTGTCCATCTGATTTTTGTTTGAGGAGATGTGTGTGCACATGCACATATGTCGTAGCAAAAAAAAGAAGACAAACATTTTTGTTGATATATGTAAATCACAGGAATACATTTCCACTTAATAAGAAAGCCCAAGTATACATTCAAATCTACCACTATTAGGTTAATACTAGGCAAATTCTACCACTACAGTTTATAAGTGAAGGCATTAGACAGGATAACTTTTAAGGTTATTTCAGATATGGACATCTGTGATTTCCTGTCCCTGAGCTCTTCTATCTCCCAAACTTCCTGTCTTCTGTTGTACCTATTTGATTCAGCAAATGATAAACACCTATTAATATCACTGATTGGTAGATATAAAATATATTAAATATTAGAGTAGAGGGTAATTCTATCTAAGGAAGATCTCACATGAGGATATTTTTAACACATTTCTCACTAAAATATGATGCAGTTACTATTAGTGATTATGGCTCATTTTTTCCCTTGCATTTTGAAATAATAAAACTAAAGGTATTCGTTGAGATAGTCCAAATTTCTGAAAAACAAATTCTAATGTAATGCTCTCTTGTAAACAGAATTCTTGTATAACGAACTTCACGAGACTTCCAAACTCTTACAGAAGAATAATCCGGTTAAAAGCCATCAACTACTTAAAATCAAATTCTTAGTGGATAGGAGTTAGAGATAATGCCTAGTGGAAGTCTCAAACTCTTATTTATTAGCATGTGAAAAAAAGTGTTATGAATTAAATCACTTTCAGCCATTTTCTCTTAACATAGATATTTAATTTTAGTTGATGTTTCCATGACTTAGGTGACTGGAATATCTCAGGTGGACAGTATAAAGAAAAAAACGATAAATGCTATGAACAAACTTTTATTCTGTATCTCAATGTAAGCTAGCCAAAAGTAGTACGTACATAAAAAGTCCATAAACTGTAGAGTTAGACTGATATTCTGCAAAGTGCTTTTTGTTTGTTTGTTTTTGTTTGAGACAGTCTTGCTCTGTTGCCCAGTCTGGAGTGCAGTGGCACAATCTTAGCTCACTATAACCTCAAACTCCTGGGCTCAAGTGATCTGCCCACCTCTGCCTCCCGAGTAGCTAGGACTACAGGTGTGCACAATCACACCCAGCTAATTGTTTCTTTTTTTTTTTTTTTCTGGTAGAGATGGGGTCTCTCAAGGCTGGTCTTTGACTCCTGGCCTCAAATGCTCCTGCTGCCTTGGCCTCCCAAAGTGCTGGGATTGCAGGCATGAGCCACTTTACCCAGCCTATGTGAAAAATATACTTAGGCACAGAGCCTAACACCATTTATCATTATCATTATTATTATTTTAGAGACAGGTCTCACTCTGTTGCCCAGTCTGGAGTGCAATAGGGCAATGTAACATCAAACTCCTGGGCTCAAATGATCCTCCCACCACAGCCTCCCTAATAGCTAGGACTACAAATGTGTTCCACCACATCTGTCTAAATTTTTTGTAGAGACAGGGTCTGGCTATGCTGCCCAAGCTGATCTCAAACTCTTGGCCTCAAGCAATCTTCCTGCCCCTGCCTCCCAAAGTGATTAAATGAGTAAGCCACAGCATCCTGCCTGAGCCTAACACAATATAGACAGCAACACATCCAAGTTTCCTTTTCTCATTATAACAAAATTATCTGTTATAAAACATGGCAAAAAAAGCCACTGAAGGAACTTAGTATACATCTTAGGACACTGCACAACACTGTAACAAAATTTTACTGATATAATTCGCTGTAGTGAGATCTTACTTCTAAATACAGCTGGATGGATTAGAAGTTTGTAAGGCAAAACAATCAACTCTAAAGTACCTTATTTTTGCTATTCATTTATCTAATATAACATTAAGTGAACACCAATTGTAAAAAAAAAAAAAGCACTAAATTAGAAAATGCATATTCACTAATTTTTGTAGGAACTAATCAAAAGTTAGAGCTTAAGATAAAGTTTACTAATAGTTAATGCTTTTTCTAAATCTTACACACTTTCCCATTTGCACTATATATGTACGTAAGCTACTTACTATAAGAAAATTCAGTTAACAAAGAAATAAAGGACGGCCACGTAGCCAAACCAGGGACGCGTCCTTTCTTGGCTGGACTGACGCATCAGTTACATCGCCTGCCTGTGCATCACCCTCAGCTCACTAAGCCACGGCATCAGCAACTGTCACATAATCACAGTCCTCCATAGCAGATTCTACGGATCTATGTAGTTGTTGTGACTCACATTTTCAGCTATGTGTCTCTTTCCTTTCTCACTCTTGCCTATCTTATTCTCTTCCTCATTTTTATCTTTATCATTTTGACAACATTCTTGATTAATTTTACCAACCTTAGGATCATGGTTCATTTTCAAAAAGGGAGTTAAAATCTGCCAACTTACCATTTGTTGACGTAAATTGACTTTATTTATTGTTTGGTCTTGACTCTGATTTATTTAACTCAATAGGATCTAAAATGTGTTCTAATTTGTATTTTTCATCATTACTGTAATACCATAGAATATTTCTAGGTACCCAATTATGTAAGTCATCTTTGGCACCTAGTCTTTTACCATTTTTAATTCTGACTGTTGCCATGATCTTTTTTGGTTCTGAACAAAGTGTTTCTTTTGTGAAAAATATCATGCCCTTGTATTTATTAATAATGGTAACAAGGATAGAAAACATAGTTGTGTCACACACCTGATTCTGCTTAAGGTGGAAGAATGAAGAAACATGGAAAGAAAAAAGAAACAAAAATAATACACTAAATATTTAAAAAATCCAACAAATAATTTTACATTAATGATTAATGAGTTTTTATAAGCTAAAAATATAGCATAAATATTTGAATGAAAACAGTCTTGGAACATGTTTTCCTATTTTATTTAACTGTATACTGCTGCTACAGCAAAATACATAATGATAACTACATATTTAAAATTTCTAGAAATCATTTATGAGCTTTATGAAAAGCTTAAGAATCTTAAGTTTACTGTTATTATGTTAAAAAGGATTAAATAAATTATTACACATCACTACCTGTTAAAAATAAAAGTTGAATTTACTGTATTACTATTAATGAGAAAGATGTAATGCTTTTGGCCAGATTAAGAAAGAAGTTGATTTCACTTTCATGCATTTTAACATGGAAAAAAGAAAAAAATAATAAAAGATATACACTTACTGAAGGCTTAGAATATGTATCCTTTGAAAACTGTTTTTCTAAAGCATGAAGTTTTTCTTGGAGGTATCTATTTTGTAAATGTAAATCTTCTACAACAGAATCTCGAGGAAGAGCTTGGTGGGCCCTATGAACAACAATCACAGACTCTTTACTATTCACATTTCATCTTTTTTCTGTTGTACTATATAAAAATACAAGATAAAAAAAGAAAAGTTCAGTGTGTTTATTAACACTATATTTTAAATTCTTCAAACCTTCTAAACTTTATAACAAATAAATTAGGATATCAAAATTAGTATTATAAAATAATCCTCTACAGAGCATTCACTGAAGGCCTCCTTTAAATGATGAGTCAAAAAGTATATTTTGATTTACTGAAATACATTAACATTTTTAAAGAACATGCATCCATTTATATGGAATTACATAAGACAGTTAAACTAAAATACTTACTATTTTAAAACATTATATAATAACTGCATAATATCCATGGTCTTCTCAAGAAGCTCAAGGATCTAAAAAGACTCTTAATGATTTCAGATAATAATTTAACACTTCAAGTCTAAAAACATCCACTTGACCTACAAGACCCTCCATGGTTTGCCACCTCCACATCTATCCAACCTTATTGTCCAGGGTCTACCTTTACTTAGGTAAATACAAATCCACTCTTACCCATACATGAAACATTTACTCTTGCCTCTTATCTCTGCTAGGGTTCTCCTCTTTGATATGCCCCTCCTCTTTAATATCTAGATGATTCATAAAATTTAGAAATTCAAACTAGAGTTCAGAGAGAAGACAAATTCAATCTTTTCTATAAAGTATTCCAATTACTTCAGCCCGCATGAACTCACATTATTAGAGAAAAAAAAAATGGCCTCTAAAAGTAATAGCAGGTTTCAAAACTAAAAGTTGATCCTTGTAAAACCTGCAAAGAAGAATAAAAGTGTTTTGTTTTGAACATATGTTTAGACAAAGAAAAACATGGAGGGGAAATATCCACTGCTGGAACAAGAGAGTAACTATAAACAGATGTCAAGAGAAAGAAAAATTCCTCAATAATTTGTGTTTTCCCTATCAAGGAAACTTCTAAAAGATTTTTAAGAAATGGTAACTTAGAAGGAAAAGGAAGGAATGTGGATTAGAAGCTCATGAGAGTGTTCGTTTAAATAAGTTCAACTTCGTATGTTCACATCACATTCATAATGACACAATAGTAAACAGACATTAACACAGACTAATGAATGGTAATTTTTGAAGATAAATAGAAAATGTGTATTTACAAAGGGTAAATACTGTCATATCCAAATGTTGCAGGTAGATATTAGCCCTTTACAAAGATCAGTAATATGATCACAGATCATTTGTAAATGCAAAGAAGAAGAAATAGCAAATCACGTAAAACCAACTGAAGTTTACCTTGGAAGAAATGAGCGAAACAGAAGATTAAATAGTTTTAGCTGTTGTCAGAATAAAATTAAAAAGTTTTAAATGTTAACACATGATTTTATTTTGCTTTTCACGACCATGACTGTATCAGAAGATATAACTTGGAAAGAGATTGTAAAGCACACACACACAAAAATCTCAAAGGCTCTGCTAAGAAATGACATGGGGTGATGCAGGGCAAGGGCATCTGGTTCCAGGTACAATGGAGTAAATACATTCAATCTTCTCTCTCCTAAATGCATGGAGCAACCATTTGAGGACTTTGCAAAGGAGTAGAAGGCAGATTACAATAGAATACCAGGACTTAAAGTAGCAGCAAACAGGTGATGAATTTACCTTTTCTTTTATTCTGTTACTGCCTGCCCTGAAGACAACATTATTTGAAACCTGAAGATGGGTGTCTGCACTGACAGAGAGAGCTCCAGGTAAACCTTCTAATTCTAGCTCGAGTAAAGAGAAAGGGAATCTTTTAACACTCAAGAGACAATATGAAAACACCTCACTTTTTTTTTCTTCTATCTGTTCTTTCATGCCCCAACCCTTAAGCCATCCCATAGCAGTGGTAATAGAGGCTGCAATGGGAACTCACAGAAGCTAATATTTTTTGGGAGGGAAATCTCCAATTGGTAGAGCTATGATACTAAGAGGGTAAGGTAAAAGTCGTTTTTTTCTTCCTCTTTCTACTCTCCTCTTGCTTGCTTGGCTGCAGAAGTGTGCAATTCCTGAAGTACATGGCATCACTGGGTAACTAAAGCCCCAAATGGAAATCCCTAGGGAAACAAAGTATCAGAGAGATGGCAAAGAGGGAGGAGCTCAAGAAAGGGACCCTATAAAGTTGTTTATGAACTTCTGGGCTCACTCTTGAGCTGCAAATGTATGGATCGATCCTAATCAGAATACCAAAGTTTCTAAGAACTGAACTAATGGTACATAGCTCACATACCAGATCACCTATTGTGAGGTACACAGGCAGGACAGATCTGAAGAGTATTGAAAAGGCTTTGAAAAATGGAACCACAGCCCAAGAAATGAGGTTGGAACTTGTGGCCTGAACCTAATTAGACCGATTGCATGCTAAAACAAAAGTATCTACATTTTCCCATAGAATTTAAACAAGAACCAGAGTCTCACAATATAATATTCAAAAGATCAAAAATACACCAAAATTATGTGGCATATGAAGAACCAGGAATATCTCAATTCACATGGGAAAAGAAAACATAACCCAAGCTTAAGACAACACACATTTATTATTTCAATTTCTAGGGGTCAACCAGTTTTTCATTACAATGGGTGGCACATTTCCACATAATAGCTTACCTCATATACAATATATCATTTTCTAAGTCAAGATTTCTCTTTTTTAATTCTTCCAATTCTTTTTCTGACTCCAAAGCTCGTATTCCCAAAACCTGATCAACAGTCATGCCAGTTGTTTTTAGTTTCCTCTGCAAAGTAAGTTTCTCTTTATCGGCTCTGTGGAATTTAATATAGAATCATGAAATATACCATTCAGTGTTTGGCTTTTCAATTGCATACTCATTACCAAACCAAATTACAATAATTGTAACACCCTATATTTGTCATAAGCTAATTTACAACGAGATCACAGGAAAATCCATCTATAATTGTTACAATATATTTAAAACAGATTTTAAAGAAAATAAAAAGTAAGTAAATCATAGATAATAAATGATCATTTAAACTAGACCATTTCTCATATTATCAACTATGATAAAGCTATATAATTTCCAGGTCACTAAAGGATTTTACACATAATTAGTTTTATAATGATATTTAAACTCACTTGGCAAAAAGATCCTTCAAAGTATTCAACTGCTTTGTTAAAGTAAAGACTTCCCCCTCTTTCTCTTTTAACTTGTTTCGAATTCCTTCTATTTTGGCTTGCCACTTTTTACCTTCTTCCCACCTAATTAATTCTTCTTTAGCATTCTGTAACAATAACGAAGGAGGTAGGAAAATTACCAGTGTTATTTTAAATTTTCTTTATGATTTATCAATTATAATTTGCCTAGAAAAATTGTAAACTAATATTTCCTAGAGAATATGTAAATATGTTCATTTTGCTATACAGGTTGAGTATCCCTTACGAAACGCTTGGAACCAGCCGTGTTTTAGAATTTGGATTTTTTTAAAAAATATTTTTGGAATATTTGCATATACATAATGAGATATCTTAGGGATGGGTCCCAAGTCCAAACACAAAATTCACTTATGTTTCACATACACCTTCTACACATAGCTTGGAGGTAGTATTATACAATATTTTTTAATAATTTTGTACATGAAACAAAGTTTTGACTGTGTTTTGACTGTGACTCATCATATGAGGTCACATCAGAATTTTCCACTTGTGGCATCATATTGGTGCTCAAAAAATTTTGTATCTTGGAGCATTTCAGATTTTTGGATTAGATGTTCAACCTGTATAACTCCTAGAATCTTTGGGCATGCCGAGCTATTAGGAAAACTGCTCTTTAGGCTAACTATGCTTTATTCTATCACAAGACAAATAAAATTCTGGGAGACAGTTCTGACTAATGCCAACACCCTTCAGGAGCCTTTAAATGAAGATTCTAATACAATCATGACTAGAGTAAGCTTCTAACAAGAATCCTCTGTACAAACGACCAACCTCATCTATTATCCCATGACAATTTCCTAGCATCAGAGCCCCTTCAAGTCTTCAATGCACATTACTTCACTCATTTGACAGGTACTTATTTAGTGCTAACCATGTGCCAAGTACTACTCTAGAGGCAATAGGAATAGAACAAATGAATAAAATCAGATAAAAAAGTGTATCTTCATGAATCTTACTATCTAGTTTATACTAGTTGGTTAGATAGATTGGGGAGAAGGGAGCAAACGATACAGATAACAAAACAAGAAATAAATCTAAATCTATTTTGTAGTAAGTTAGCTAGTTTTAAGTGCTAAAAAGAAAAAAGAAAAAGAAACGGAAGGGAATTAGGGCATTTCAGGGGTAGGTGTCATGGTTTATTATAACTATGATAAAGGAGCCAAAGAAAGCCTATCCAATGCAGAATAGTCTCATGCACTGAACAACTTTCAAATGTTCTACTGGATATTAATACAGTAAAAAATTCTGCTTACACTGGTCTGAGCTAAGAATTTATCTCCAACTAACATATTCACACTAAGTAATTTTTTAATGGTTTTACTATACACTAAGTTTTCTAGGAATACAACAGTCTTATAAAAGGTAAGATTATAGACATTGTTTTGCTGAGAACTGCACCAACAATTTGTTTACCATTTTGGAAATCAAATTACAAATGGCAATACCATCATGACCCATCAGTTGCCAATAGAACACATTTGTGTCAGTCTGCAATCGTAGCTTTGAACTCACATTAATGAAGGTGCAAGCACATGACTAGTTCATTATATTTTCCAATGGAGTCATGCCAAAGCATTTACATGTTGAAATATGAATATTCCTTTTATGTTCCCCCTATATATTTCATTTAGGACATTCATAATGACATTTTTGAAATTATGTAAGTAGGTAGAGTTTATGTTAACTATGCATTTCAATTATAATAGTAAAGGGGAAATTATGAAACATTATATTTTTTATTAAAGGGAATGTTGAATCTGAAAGGGTTGAGAACCATGGTTTAAAGTCAAATTCCTGGGGAGATGGCTCATGCTTATAATCTCAGCACTTTGGGAGGCCGAGGCAGGAAGATTGTTTGAGCCCAGAGTTCAAAGACCAGCCAGGGCAACATAGTAAGACGTCATCTCAAAAAATTAAAAAAATATGAAATAAAGCCAAATTCTCACTAAGATTAGTTGTCCTATCAAAACGACTTTCTCGAATACTAGAGAACTATATTCTCCAATTCTTGTCTCTAATACTAGTCAATTTTTTACCTTATTTAATTCAGCTAATAAGTGCCCTTTAAAAAATGTAAAAACTTCAGTCTGGGTGTGGTGGCTCATACCTGTAATCCAGCACTTTGGGGGGCCAAGGCGGGCAGATCACCTGAGGTCAGGAGTTTGAGACTAGCCTGGCCAACATGGTGAAACCCCATCTTTACTAAAAATTCAAAAATTAGCCAGTCGTGGTGCCAGGCACCTGTAATCCCAGCTACTTGGGAGGTTGATGCAGGAGAATCACTTGAACCCAGGAGGCGGAGGTTGCAGTGAGCTGAGATTGCGCCATTGCACTCCAGCCTGGGTGACAAGAATAAAACTCCATCTCAAAAAAAAAAGTAAAAACTTCACTAAGTGGTTGATAGTTATTAATTTCATTTTTTCTGAAATATGTACAAGAATTTTTCTGTACTCCCAGAAATGTAAATACTAGTGGGGGACATAAGGTATGTCATTAAATAATCCTGCAGCACACAGTACTTTGTTGGGTTTGGGCAATTTTATCCCACCTGGCATTACTTGCTAAATTAAGATTAAGGGAACCAAGACTGAAAGAACAATTGAAAAACAGAAAAACAACAAACGTGAATGGTACCATGGGTATTGTGGTGTTATTACATATAGGCTTTTTTCCATGGTTCCTGGCTTATAACTCTCATAGCCCTTGTCCTCATCTTTAGTTATAATATTGAGTGTGTTAGGCCTTCCGAGCACACCTCAGAAAAGAGTCTCTCTGACCTTCTCCCATCCTCCTTTCACCTGCCCTAAGGCAGGACTGTAATCTTCCCCTGCCTTTCTGACTGTGGGTCTTAAAACCCTAATACGAGGGGGTCCTGCCCCATACCCTAGGAGAAGAAATACTGATGTCATGAAGCTTCCCTAAAAACCAAGAGGACTGGGTTCAGAGAGGTTCTGGAGAACTGAACATGTGGAGGTTTCTAGAGGAAGGTGGCACCCCAGAAAGGCATGGAAGGTCCACACCCCTTCCCCCATATCTCTTCTTACACATCTCTTAACCTGTATCCTTTGTAATAACCTTTATTATAAACTGGTAAATGTAAGTAAATGTTTCCCTGAGTTCTGTGAGCCACTCCAGGAAATTAATCAAACCCAAAGCTGGGGGCTGGGGATGTGGGAACTTCGGAAGTCACGGAGGCCTGGACTTGTGATTTGATCGAAGTAAGATATCTGTGGGATCTGACACTATCTCCAGGTAGATGATGAATTGAATTGGACGACACCCAGTTGGTGTCTGCTACAAAACCAACTGCTTGCTTGCTGATGTGGAGAAATCCCCACATATTCTGGGGGTCACAGAAGTCTTTTGCATTGATTGTTGTTATGGTTTGAGGGCAAGATAAACATATGGTTTGAGAACTTTTTCCAAAACAGGTTATGTTCTAGACTGAATGAGAAGAGGGAAGAAGACTGGATGATAAGGCAGTAGTTCTCTTTTCATGTTTTCTGTACCAAAAGCTTCGTATGCATAGATTTCAGAATAATATTATTATAACATTTAAAAATTTATATTCATTCAACAAATACTGAGCATCTACTATGTGCCAGCGATTGTTCTAGGTGCTGGGAATACAATAATAAATAAAATAGGCAAAGTTCCTGCCATCAAAGTTTATGGTCTAATAAAAAAAGAAAAAAAAAAGATGAACAAAAGACAAGTACATGTCTAGTATGTTAAGATAGTAATAAATGCTAAGGAGAATGAAATGCAAGGCACAGGGGTGGGTTTTGTTACATAGGTAGACTACAAATTCTGTTTACAGAGAAAAGGGTACTAAAATTTCCAAACAATATGAAAGCATTTCTTGAGTATAAATTAGAAATGCCCAAGCAATGAACCTGAAAAAATATTCTCACTAGATTCCTGAATGCCAATTTTAATACTGGGCATAGACCCCTGTTTTCTCTTTCTAGTTAGTAGTAATATCTTATACTGCTATGGATGTGATGGCTTACAAAAGACTTCCGCATATCATATCATTTTATGTAAAATAATCCTGAGAAACTGGCAATACAGATAGTATTATTCCCACTTTAAGGAGGAATAAACTGAATAAATAAACTAAATAAACTGTAGCATAGAAGAGTCCAGGCAAAGCCACAAGGCTCTTAAAACATTCTGATAGGAATCAGGTTAGAAACTGGTATAGAAACACACCAGTTAGGAACAAACATACCAGTTTCTAACCTATCCCCATTTAGGGATAAGATCAGGCCTATCCCCAATTAGGGAGTTAGAAAGATGGAAATCCAAAAGATTAAGGACACTTTGATCTTACAGTTTTCACCAGCAAAGCTTCTGACAGCAAGCATGTTGTGACTCCACGCAAATAGTGTCAATAAATTACACTGACATTAATGAATTTTCATAGAAAATAATTTTGGGAGCATACTCTATTAAGAAATTTGAATTCCATTACCTATTTTCTATTCAATGCCTTTAAAGACAGAATTTTCTTTTCCATTTTCATGTGATTGAAATTATTTTATAGACATTAAATATTTTCTGGGTAAATTTTATAATAAAAATTTTCCTAACCATAGCTCCTCCATACTGATTTTCTTCAATGGCAAATATTACTGCTAACATCAACATTTCCCAGTTCACTTTCGATATTTTGAATGTTACCAACAAGTTATCTCCAATTTATTGTCCATAACAAATTTAATTACACGCATTTTAGCCAATTTTAGTTTTTTTTGGGGTTATTTCAATCAGTAATTTTTATTACAAAACAGTTTACTATGAACTATAAAATTTTAAGCAATTTCTCCCACAGAATTAATCTATGAGCAGATTGGTTACTGATTATTACTGCAAATACTGAAGATATTCCAAATAACTTTGCTATCTGAAATAACAGCCTAGTCTCCTGAAGGATTAAAAAGGACCTATTTGGGTCAAAGTGGGGTATCTTAAAATGTCTATCTTTCTGTCCCAAAAGTCAAAAGCACCAACCTGTGTAAATGATTACTTTGGAGAGAAATGATACACAGTTGAATATGTTAAGGTGTGAAGGAACTTCAGAGGTACTCTAATGTCAGAAAGATGAATGAAATTGATGTAGTAATTTCCAAATAAGAGTTACATTATAGGTATCTCCTCAAGTAGACTCTAAATTCCTACAGAACAGAAACTTAGACTTTTCTACGTTATTCAATACTGCTTATAGTCCTCAAAATTAATACAGAATTAATACAGCCAGGTCATCAAATTAAGGCAGTATATTAACTGTTAATCAGCTATGTATTTAACTTACTCTGTCACTACCTTAAGCATATAAGTCAGTATGTTTCTTCACATACCTTTTCTTTCATAGGTTTTAGGTCTACTTCCTCCACCTTTCCCTCTAATTGGTTCTCTAGTTTTTTAACTTTCCTTTGGAGTTCTTCAATTAGACTTTGTTTATTATCTGTCAGGGGTTTGCCCTAAAAAATAAAATGTAACTTTATATTTTTACAAATAAATGTAAAACAAAATAGACAGTAAATATTTCAATTATATAATAGCAACTTTCTGAAGCTATCACTGACCATACTTTCTAAATGACACTTAATACATAAGATAATCTGGTAGCTGCTTCTGCATTTTAATACAACATACTAATATGCTACTCTAGAACTATAAACACAATAGAAGTCACAAAAGAAATTAATTACATTAATCAAAGTGATTTGAAAGTCAGTTTTAACAAATACCATAGATAAAATGATAAAGTAGAAATAAACTACTACCTCTATATTGTAAATCAGACATTATCAGAGTTAAATATAAAATTACCTGTAATCCACTGGTTAGTCTTTTAATTTGCCTTTTCAGTTCATCATTCTCTTGATCAATTTCCTCTTTCTCTCTAAGTATTTTATTATAGGCTTTTTGTTTCTTTTGCAGTTCATTATTTAAGTCATTCAAATTATCAGTTAGTGAGTTTTCTCTGTTTTTACTTGTTTTAAGTGCTTCTTTCAATTTTAAAAGATTTTCATTTAAATCTTCAACTTGTGTCTAATAAGAGAAAAAGAAAGGTATTATTCATGACTCTTCAAGAAGTATCAATGATAAAAGGAACATAAAACAGAAAATATACCATTATAAGAAAAATTCAGTCTGAATTTTTAAGTACACAAGAGAAAAAAAATAACCACAAACTACATATATTTTTCCATATTCATGTCAAGTCTACCTTGAGGAAAAAAGTCGACTTTGAGAAAAAAAAAAAAAACTAGTGTAAAGCAATTCATCTTCAACAAACACCCACAAACAAAATTTTATCAAATATGCACGTTTCATTTTGGCTGAATTAATTAAACAAACAAGTATATAACAATATATATGACAACGTTTTAAACACTATGAAGCATAAGAGTAGTACAGAACAAATCTCTGACTTGAAGTAATTTCTAACCTAGTTTACAAAGATAAGATATAAAAGGGTAACTTACAATACTAGACAATATGTATGCCACTAGAAAGGAGTTCCTAGCTGTCCTATGGTGAGAATGATGGGGACACACTGTATGTTTCCATCTATAACATATTCTGGAAAAGGTGAAACTATGGAGACAGTAAAAAGATCACTGGTTGCCAGGGGTTTGGTGAGGTGCAGAGGAAGGAATGAAGAAGAGAGGCACAGAAGATTTTTAGGGCAGTGAAAATACCCTGTATAATACTATAATGATGGATACATATCATTATACATTTGTCTAAACACACAGAGTGTAAAATACCAAGAGCTAAAATAGAGGTAAACTTGGACTTTGGGTGATTATGATGTATCAATATAGGTTCATCAATTTTAACAAATGTACCACTTTCAGGGTAGGAGATATACAGGAAATCTCTGTACCTTCCTCTCAATTTTGCTGTGAACCTAAAATTGCTCTAAAAAAATAATAAAGTCTTAAAAAAAATCCTAAGTAAAATATTTCTTAAATTTAATTTCATTAGAAACAGTAGTTCATAATGGCCTATCCTTTCCTAATCCCCAAGATGATAATCAGTAAATGAGTATCATAAAGAGACTTATTGTTGAAAAATGCATGTGTGTGTCTATGTCTAGCCACCAACAGTGCATTATAAATTCCCTATTCATCAACAAAATTACTATATATCATAGTGAATTCTCTTCCAATAGGAATTATCAGAAATTTTGTTACATTAACACGTGTTGATGTTCACCTTTAGCTCTCTAGTATGTCGATCAACGATTTGTTGAACATTGAGATGGGCCTCTTTTTGAGAAGTTGCAGAAATAATACGTTCTTCAGCAGCTGCTGTCATTTCTGCCCGGAGTTCTAAAAGTGCCCGACTAAGTGCCTAAAAATTAACCAAAAAAAAAATGTAATTTTTAAAGGAAAACTGACATTTTATATGAATATATGATATAAAAAATAAACAAGCTTTATTACTTCCTACTATTTTTCTAAAATATTATGAGTTTAATGGAACATATTTCACAAATTAACAACTCAACTTTTTCAAATAAATCTTTTGTAATTACACTCAATTCTTTCCACATTGAATGTGAAAGTTCAAAATCTTAATAATGATTTTGAGAACTCAGCATTAAATCAAGCTATTACAAAAAACAGGTATGTTTTGTTTTCAAACATCCAATTTTAGATATTTATATTACTCACTTACTACATCCTTCCATATGAAATTAATTGAATTTAGGTAGACAACAAAAGGACTAGGAAAGGCTTAAAGTTTACCCATAAATTTCATAGCTAGCACAGAAAAACACCAGCATCTTCTAAAACAATTTAAATAGATCAAATCTGAGATAAACTAAAAAAAACCCTAATAAATCAGAATACACTGACCAACTCCTTCTCACAAAAACATCTCTATGACCCCCTTTTTTCATCCCTTTTTGTCATTATCATACTTCCCTCAATCCCTCAAATTGTTCAAAATTGTTCATTTGTTAAAAATAGCCTCAGTAGCATAAAATTCCAGTAGAAAAAAAGAAAATACAATGTAATATATATTATATTTTTGTAATGTACATTAAGATTTTTCCTAACTTCATATAGATAATTCACAAATCAGATTGACGAAAACATAAAAAGATAAATTGGACTATATCTGCCCACAAAAACAGCATTGTCTAAAATACCTTGTTTAACAGCATAAGATAAAGCTCATACTTTTTATTACAACACGGAGATTTATACTACCATCTTTTATAAATTTACAAATCTTCTCTAAAAGCAATCTACCACATATTTTTCCTAAATGTTGATAATTTTCTGTTGTTACTTACTTTCTGTTGTTTCTCCTTCAAGGCTAATTGGCTCTTTAGCCGTTCTACTAGATTTCTCATTGTAGTTGTTGGAGCTCTTGAATTTGCTTCTTTTTGAGCCTGAAGTTCAGATTTTAAACACTGTGACTCCTTTTGTGACTGGTCCAGAAGATACTTTAAATCCTCTACTTCCGCTTTTACTTTTTTCACTTCATCTTCATGGTTTTCTTGAAGCCTGATGTAAATAAACATATGTGTGTGTGTGTTTTTTAATTTTTAATTTTTTTGAGACCCAGTCTCACTCTGTCACCCAGGCTGGAGTGCAGCAGCGCAATCTCGGCTGACTGCAACCTCTGCCTCCCAGATTCAAGTGATTTTTTTGCCTCAACTTCCTGAGTAGCTGGGACTACGGGCGTGCACCATCAGGCCCAGCTAATTTTTGTATTTTTAGTAGAGATGGGGTTTCACCATGTTGGCCAGGCCAGTTTGAACGCATGACCTCAGGTGATAAGCCCGCTTTGGCATCCCAAATTGCTGGGATTACAGGTGTGAGCCACCACACCTGGCCAAACATATGTAATTAATAGAGTGGTTGCTGCAATTCATACCTTGATTAATACAAATTTCATATAGAGCAAATGTTCAGTCCTAAGTATCCTTACAATCTAAATCTTGATGCAGGCATCCAAATCCAAAGAAGAATAATTCTTTATTTCATTTAACTACTCTTAGACTTAACAACACATTTTTCTTCTAGTTTCTAATATTTTTGGCAACAATCTTATCAAGTTATTTTGTGACTCTAGTCAAATATACAGAGAATGAACAAAAAGGCATTTTAAATATTATGGCTCTTGTAAAATGTGATTGCTTCCTCTATATGATAGTTTCCTAACCATACTACTAGTAACATTTTTGACTGGATAATTCTTTGTTGGTGGTGGGGCTGCCTTGTGCATGATAGGATGTTTAGCAGCATCTTTTGATTCTACCCACTGGATACCAGTAGCACCCCCGAGCCATGACAATCAAAAATGTCTCCAGACATCGCCAAATGTCCCCAAGAGGGACAATGGTGAAAAACTGATCCTCTATATTTGAGAAATACTGCCCTATATTGACATATTGAAAAGACTAATATAAATTTTCACAGAAATCACATGTATTATTAATTTGTTTATGGTTCAAATTCACTAGCATTATATCTATAACTATATATATGGAAGTGGATACTATCAAAAGATTTAGTTAATTCAATTAATCTTATTGCTTATTCAGCATTAAGTCTGTTAAACTGAATTAATATATTGTTGTGCATATGGACACTGCATCCATACTGAGATTCTGACCAATAAGAGGGAGATAGTGTTAAGACATGAACAAATGTTACTCTTTGAGGCTTCTTGCTTTTGGCAAAACTTAAGTCTAACTTTAAAGAGTCATCATCAAATTGTGAAAATATCAGGATTTACTTAAGAAATCACACAGATCCATAATCTCCTAATACATATCAAAATATGCACACAGAGAACACAAGTATAATTTTGGACTAAAATGACGTAAGGTACACAACAATAACTTCAAGTATTTCCTGTGGCAAAAAAATGTATTATATAAGGTATTTCAAAAGATTATGATTTTCTACACCCACAAATTAGATGCAAAAGCACAAGTAATTTTATACTCCAAAACATGACAGAAATTTACTAGACCAAAAATAACATCTCTTGTACAAAATTTAATAGAGTGAGGAAAAGAGACTGAAAATACACATATGCTGTTGCCAATTTTCTTTCTTTTAGAGAGTAATTTCTTAACAGTGGCAGCTCCTTAGCAAAGCAAAAATAGTGTTAATTCTGTCAGAGGCATTTGAATAAGTGAGTAAAGAATCAAAGACTCTAGCAGGGGCTTGAGAGCTGAAATGGAATTATAAGTCAAGCAGTTCAATTTTCTCATGTTTTTTCAGATAATAAAATTTAGGCCCATAGAGATAATATTATAATGATTAGAAACTACCTAACTATAAACCTATTTTGAGTTTAAAATCTACGTTCTGATAAAGTGGTTGAACAATGTTTAGAATCTCTATTATATGACAGACACTCTTATAAGTGTGTAATCAAAAGTTTTCTATCTGTATGTTATTTTACAGTTTTCAAATTACTTTCATACACGGTATAATTTGACCTTCATATAACCACCCTGAAAGGGCCAGGGTAAGTATTATTATTTCCATTTTAAAGATGATGAGGCTGGGTGCAATGGCTCAGGCCTGTAATCCCAGCACTTTGGGAGGCCGAAGTGGGCGGATCACTTGAGCTCACGAGTTCAAGACCAGCCTGGGCAACATGGAGAAACCTTGTCTCTACAAAAATACAAAAAAACTACCCAGGTGTGGTGGCACCTGCCTGTAGTGCCAGCTACTCTGCAGGCTGAGGTGGGAAGATGGTTTGAGCCTGGAAGGTCAAGGTTGCAGTGAGCTGAGATTATGTCACTGCACTCCAGCCTAGGAAATAGAGCCAGACCTTGTCTCAAAAATAAAAATAAATAAATAAGATGAAACTGAGGCTCAAAGAAGGTAAAAATGAGATTCTGGAAAAGAATTTGTATTGGCTTTTGAGTCAGACTGACTAGTTTCAAATTATGGCTTTCCCATCTACCCCCAGACATGCTATTAAGCATTCCTGAGGCCATATCCTCTCTTTAAAATGGGGAAAATGATAACATATGTAACCAGCAGTCCTGAGGATAAAAATGAGACAATATACTTAAAAGTCTTAGAACAGTGCCTGGCATAGCAAACACTTATGTTTATCTTCATTATATCACTTATCATTTGCCTATTTTTACAATACATTTCGAAGACTTACTGTAATTTGATATTTTCAAATTCTTTTACTTTTAATTCAGTGATTTCTCTTTGTCTCTCCAAATCTTGTGATACTTTCTTTAGTTTGACCAAGAGTGAGGAAAGAGAGTCATCTTGTTCTGCTACTGTCTGTTCCATCTCAGCCAGACGAATAAAATGCTTGTTGGTAGGAACTGGAGTGGGAGACTGTTTCATTAAATCCTATAAAATATGAATATATTAGCAATAGGCATGTATAATTCAATGCCATACTTATTCCATATTTTTAATTTGGTTCCTCAAATGATCAAAATATAATATCTAATCTAAAATGTAATGATTTAATAGGCAATGAAGGCTTAAAGAAGACAGGAAATGCAGACTTTATTATTTGTATTTACAATAGCTAGCAAAATGTCTGCACGTAGCAGGAGATCAATAAGTGTTGACCGAATTAACGAGGTAATGCTCAAATATGCTAAGGTTACACATTAAAAGATGAAAGACATGTCATTTCATACATATGGAACAGAATGGTCAAAAGAGGCAAATATGAGCTGAATTCTGGAAGTTAGATATAGCTAAACTCACAGTGAGTAGAATTTGAAAAGAAAGGCAGGTAGGTTCATAGCAGATTGAGTACATGGCTAAGAATTATAAATATAATTTTGTGAACAGCGGTGAGCTACAGGAGGAAGAATGATCAGAGCTATGTTTTCAGAAGATTATTTTGGCAACAAAAAGGGTAACTTCCATTCCAAAAAAGAAGAGAGCTGAATTTTAATTTACATGGTCACAAAAATCAATAAAGAATGGAACAAAGTTCTTAGAATCTTACCCAAGCCGTTTGTTTGAATTTATTTAGTGAACTATCAGCCTGTAGTTCTAATCTGTGATGAAGAATATGAAGGTCTTCCTCATGTTTCTTCACAATTTCTCTTTGCTCCTGTTTTACAGAAAATCGAAACTATATCTTAAATTGTGATTAAAACAAATTCACATTTTGAAGACCTTATATATTTTCTCTTCAATCTTCTAAAATTCCTTTGAGATGAGGAAGAAACAGTATCTCCATATATGTATGTATCTAGACTGGTATGCATGTCCCCTCAGACAATGTTCAAGTTGACAAGCCCAGCCTCAGTTCATAATTTATTCTTAACATTAGAATGACATGTATCTATCATCTTTTAACTTACTTCTAGAAAAAATTAAATGTTAGCTTTCCCCCACGAAGTTCTAACAAATCTGATTTCTACTGATTACCGGTGTGATATATTTCATTCCACCCTATTGCCTCAATCCTCACCTATAAACTCAATTAAAATATTTTTCAAAATCATATGATTTCACCATGATAGCTACTCGTGGTTTAGTCAGTGTATAATAGAAAGATACATGTACACAAACTTCCAGTTTTACTGACAGAGGTGTAATCCAATCACATGCAAGTAACAATTCTTAAATAGAATCATTTGAAAGCAAGAAAAGAAATACCACTTTAGGGTAAAATAATATTTAGCATTTGCTTAAAAAAACTAATGGATAACAGCATAACTCATAATATAATAAAATACCTCTCTGGCTTTTTCTAGAAGACGTTGATACTTCTTTAATACTTCTTCTTTTTGATTTAACCTTGCTTGCATGTTTGCAATGGTTTGATGAGCAATTTTCAATGTGTGGTGAGATTTTGGTTCCATCTCTTTTCTGCCTAGCTCAGCTATGAGCTTTTCTCTTTCTGCAGTGGCAGGCAATCGAAGCCTCAGTTCATTGATTACTTTGTCTCTTGACAGTATATTTTGTTCTGCTAACCTTAAAGCAGATTCTTTCTCTTTTAGTTTCTGCAATGATTAAATTATAATAAATCATTAAAGTATCTTTTTCCCTTTAAAATGCTTCATCTGAATTTTAGATTAGTTATTAGCCAAAAAAAATTCACTTTATTTTTCACATCATATGTACAATAGCCATTTGATACTTAATAAGGTTAAACTGACTAATTCTAATTGACAGCAGTTATTTGCATGCTTATTTATAAGACTATTACATATGCTAGAAACTTCATTGTTATGATGAACATAAAATTTAATTAAGGTACTTTATTGAGATATTACAGT